>NC_000016.10:66077651-66380682 GCF_000001405.40 Homo sapiens
GACTTTCACTGCCAGATTTCAAAACTTACGTAAAGCTATGGTAATCAAGAAGCTGTAGTATTGGTAATGAAAGATACATAGATCTGTAGAGGAGAATAGAGTCCAGAGAGATCCATACTTCTATAACCATTGATTTCTGGCCAAGGAAACTAAGCAATTCAATGGGGGAAAGAATTGTTTTAGCAATAAATGGCACTGGAACTCATATCGATTTATAAAAGGAAAAACTACCACACGTCTCAAAAATTAATTCAACATGGATCATACCTATTAGCATAAAAGCTTAAAACAATAAAACTGCCAGAAGAAACCACAGAAGAATACCTTTGCAAACTTGAGGTAGATATATTTTTAGACAGGAATGAGAAAATGTTAATCATAAGAGGAAATTTTGATAAATTAGATTTTTATCAAAATTAAAAATCTTTATGAAAATACATTAAGAAACAGAATAGATAAGACAAACTATGTGAAACTATTCACAAAATATTTATCTGACAAGCTCTTAAACCTAAATATGTGAAGAATTCCTCAAACCTCAATCATTATTTAAAAATTCATTTTTTTAGGGAAATCTGATTTTTAAAAAAGTTTTAATAGCTTTTGGGATATAAGTGGTTTTTGGTTACATGGATGAAATGCACAGTGATGAAGCCTGAGATTTTAGTGCACCTGTCATCCCAAGTACTGTGCATTGTATGCAATAGATAGTTTTTATCCCTCACCCCCTCTTGTCCTCCCCTCTTCTGAGTCTGCAACGTCCATTTTACCACTCTGTATGCCTTTGCATACCCATGTCTTAGCTCCCACTTATAAGTCACAACACAAGGTATTTGGTTTTTCATTCCTGAGTTAATTCATTTAGAATAAAGACCTCTACTTCCATCCAAGTTGCTGTAAACAATGTTATTTCCTTCTTTTTTAAGGCTGAGTAGTAGTCCATGGTGTATACATACCACATTTTCTCTATCCACTCAACGGTTGATGAGCACTTAGGTTGATTTCATATCTTTGCAGTTGTGAATCGTGCTGCAATAAATATGTACCTGCAGGTATATATGACTTCTTTACCTTTGGGTAGATACTCAGTAGTAGGATTGCCATATCGAACGGTAGGTCTACTTTGGGTTACCTGAGAAATCTCCATACTGTTTTTCATAGAGGTTGTACTAATTTACATTCCCACCAGCAGTGTGTAAAGTATTCCCTTTTCACCACATCCATGCCGATATCTATTGTTTGACTTTTTAATAATGGCCATTCTGGCTGGGGTAAGGTGACATCTCATTATGGTTTTATATGCATTTCCCTGATAATTAGTGATAAGAGCATTTCTTTAAATATGTTTTTTGGCCATTTGTCTATCTTCTTTTGAGAAGTGTCTATTCATGTTATTTGCCCACTTTTTGATGGGATTATTTGTTGGGGTGTTTTTTCTTGCTGATTTAAGTCTCTTGTAGATTCTGGATATCAGTCCTATATCAGATGAATAGTTTGCCAATATTTTCTCCCATTCTGTGGGCTGTTTATTCTGATTATTTCTTCTGCCATGCAGAAGCTTCGTAGTTCAGTTAGGTCCCATTGATTTATTTCTGTTTTTGTTGCATCTGCCTTTAGGGTCTTAGTCATAAGTTCTTTGCCTAAGCCAACATCAAGCAGTTTTTCCTAGGTTTGCTTCTACAATTTTTACAGTTTCAGGTCTCAGATTTAAGTCTTTAATCCATCTTGAGTTGATTTTTGTATATGGTGAGAGATAGAAATCCAGTTTCATTCTTCTACATGTGGCTATCCAGAAAAACTCAAATTTTAAAATGAGTAAAAAGACTTGAACAGGCAGTTCACAAAAGAAGGTATATGAATGGCCAATAAGAACGTGAAAAAGGGACTCAATAGCCCTACTATCAGGGAAATGCAAACTAAAACAAAAATGAGATTATAATCCTATCTAGACACACTGAAGTGGTTGACATTTGAAAGACTAACACCACCAATGGTTGGTAAGGATGTGGAACAATAGGAATTCTCCTACGTTAATGTCAGGAGTGTAAAACTCTGTAGCCCCTTTGGAAATCTGTCCAGCAGTTTCCCCTAAAGTTAAACGTTCACCCACGCTATGACCCAGGAATTCCACTCCTATGTGTTTAACCAAGAGAAATGAAAAGATATGGGCACAATATGAATTGTGAAAGAATATTCATAGCAGCCTTATTCATAATAGCCAAAAACTGGAAATAACCCAAATGTCCTTCAACAAGTCAACAAACAACTGAGTTATAAACATATAAAGGAATGCTCAGTAAAGAGGAATGAAACATTTATACATGCAACAACAGGAATGAACCTCAAAGACATTGTGTTGAAAAAAGCCAGATACAAAAGAATACATCCTGTACAATTCAATTTATGTAGAGTTCTAGAACAGGCAAAATTAATTTCTATTGAAAGAAATTAGAGCAGTATTTTCCTGAGGGCAAGGGGGATGGGGGACAGAATGGATTAGATGAGGCAGGAGGAATATTTTAGGGATGAAGGAAACGTTTTGTGTCTTGACAGGGATGTGGGTTACGTAGCTGTATGCATTTGTGAAAACTCATTAAATTTGACTCTTAAGATCTGTGCATTTCACTGCATATTATTTATATGTCAATTAAAAAACAAGGATCTAACATTTCAAAAGGAGAAAAGGGGAAAATAAAACATGTACAAAAGCCTGAGAAAATATCGGGAGGCAGTTAAGCAGTGATTAATAGCACGCAGGCATCAATGGAGGGCACCAAATCATGTTGAAATATTTGTATTCTTTAAAAATTTGTGGCTGGTTGCAGTGGCTCATGCCTATAATCCTAGCACTTTGGGAGGCCTTAGGAGGATCACTTGAAGCCAGGAGTTTCGGATCAGCCTGGGCAAAATAGCGAGACATCTTCTCTACGAAAATAAAAATTAAATGAAATTATCTGGGAATGGTGGTATGTGCCTATAGTCCTAGTTACTTGAGAGGCTGAGGTAGGAGGATTACTTGAGCCCAGGAGTTTATGGCTGCAGTGAGCTATGATTGTGCCACTGCACTTCAGCCGGGGCAACTGAGTGAGACTATCTTAAAAAAAAAAAAAAAAAAAAGAAAATTTGTTTTTTGAAATGATTCATTCTCCAGTGTTATCTATGATTGCTGTAAGTAATTCCTCCTGCCCCTCCTGTTGAAGCATACTTACATGGAGAAATATGCTAATTTTCTAGTAAGTTTACAATGGTGCCCTTAAGTATATACAGTTGGTTGGTCAAACCATAAAGCTGTAATCTGGTCTTTACCACTTACCAAATGGCACTGTCACCTACGTGAGGCCCAGGTAGTCAAGAATAAGCACCTGTATCAGTTCATTCTCACACTGCAATAAAGAACTTCCCGAGACTGGGTAATTTATAAAGAAAAGAGGTTTCATTGACTCACAGTTCCACATGGCTGGGGAGACCTCAGGAAACTTACAACCATGGCAGAAGGCAAAGCGGAGGCAAGTGCCTTCTTCCGACGCAACAGGAGCAAGAATGAATGCAGGAGGAACTACCAAACAACAGCTCTCGTGAGAATTCACTCACTATCATGAAAACAGAATGAGGGAACTGCCCCCATGATTCAATTACCTCCACCTGGTCTTTCCCTTGACACGTGGGGATTATGGGGATTACAATTCAAGATGAGATTTGGGGTGGGGATACAGCCAAACCATATCAGCACCTGAATGCTGAGCTGCCAGATGTGATATGAAACAATGAACATGATCACAGTATAGATCATTCTCAATTCCCCCTTAGCCTTTTTGGTGTTTATCCCAACAAGTGGGGCTTTTGTACACATTGGGCTCTAGTTTTCCTGAAACCATTTTCAGATGCTTTAAATGTACATGATATACCAAGAGATATTAAAGAAGCTTTCATCAAGTCACTTGGTGGGGATGACAAATTTAACCTAATTGTAGATCATGCATTCAAAAATAAATAAGCAGAACGCCAGATAGCTTAAATGTAGAGTAAACCATTTTTATTGGTGTTGAGAGGAGTGGTCTCATCTTTCCCCCACCCTCTTCCTTGGGTCTGGAAATTACCAAAATAGGATAATAAAGAGATCAGTTGCTGAGGGTGCTGAATTCAGACATGAAACAAATCATTTTTGTATAGTAACTCCCTAGATACTTACCATGAGGAGGCCCATATTGGCAGGGTGAGATGCTGACTGGTCTCTAAGATGCTGTATTTGGAAGGGTCTGAAGTCTTAGTCTACACTCATTTCTTACTCAGAGTGCAGCCGTTGGATTGAATACCACACGTGATTAGAAGTGGTTGGGTGCCCAAGTAACAAATAAGAGTCATCCTGCTTAAGGACAGAATAAAGCGAGTGTTCAGGCCTGGGTTTTCTCTTAGCAAATACAAGAGGTTGGTCCCAAGAGTTTACTTCAAACGCCTACACCTGATGTAAAGCTGGGGCAAGTTAAATAGAGCAGATGAGTCACACCTGAATCCTTCCCACTCCCATCCTCCTGAAGGATGTAGACCTCTCACCACCCAAAGTGTGGCCATGAGTCAGCAGCATGAGCACTGCCCTGGAGCTTGTTAGCAATTCCGAATCTCAGACCCCTCCCCAGACCTACAGAAACAGAGTCTGCACTTCTACAAAATCTCCATGTCATTCATATGCACATTGAAATTTGAGAAATACTAGTGGGAGTTAATTTGCTTTTATATAAGAAACAGATTGCTATGAGGGTTAAATCAGTTAATATTTGTAAAACATGTGGGACACACACATTTATTGTTCCACATGTTTTACAAATATTAACTGATTTAACTAATTAACTGATTTAACCCTCATGGCAATTTTCTTATGTAGGTATTTTTGTTGTCTCTGCTTTGTCTCCATTTCAAGGAAGAGAAACATAGGGCTCAGAGAAGTTAAGTGAGTTACCCAAGGTCACACAGCTGGTAAGTGGCAGAGCTGTGACTTAAAGTCTAGAAACCTAGTTCAATTTTCCATGCCTTTGCCACTCGATAATGTTGTTTAACAATAGTATATTGTTTAAATGATTCCAAGGAGAAACAAAAGATGTTTTGTACATTTGGGGAGAATCCATTTGTGTGTCCGGCCAGTTAATTCTACTGTGATTTAATAATGGACTTTAACATACTGATTTTTCTACCCTAAAAGGTACAAGATGAGGTTGCACTTATTTTAAGTGCTCTCTCCCAAAGAATCCAAAGATGTTTCTCCTATATTCTGTAAAATGGCGTGCTTGCTTAGTTTTCCCATTGAGGGTTGGAGAACTTGCGTACATTATCGGCTAGGTTTACTATTCTTATATACAAACCTGGAAAGGTTGCTTGAACTAATAACATAATGACAGGAGATGATTGAATCCACAATATGGAAAGCATTAAAACAATTTATTATATGATTTATATAAACAACTGCGCATCAAACAACAAATAGCCAGATTACTATTGTACATTTCTGGTATTAATTCAAATCTCTCCGCACCAAAGAATTAGGGAAACCATCAGGCACATGTACCATAAGGAAATGATTCTGAAATAATTATCAAAATGTCCATGTCTCTGACTATTCCATGTCTCAGAGGAGTGCATAGCAGACTAGTTACTTTCTGTTAGAAGCTCTTTCCATTAATCTCAATAAATAACATTTATTAAACATTTTGGTGTTGGATTTGCAAAATGCACACAATATCTGTCTGGACTGAATTCTCTATGATCCTCTGCAGTAGGGGATTTAAACAGGCCAGGCTGACTTCTGGCATCACTGCACACAACTCTTAGGAAGTGTGCTATGTAAAAAACTGCCCCTTGTTATGTAGGAAGGCTATTCATGCTAGACTTTTTTCCTGTGTTACTCTATGAAATGTCCCCTAGGTATTGTAGCTGTTTGTATTTCCTCTTCCTTTATGTTTGGGAAAAAGGCTTAAATTGTATTTTTGATTGACTAGAGTATTCTCTAGAAGGCCTATTTGTTCTTGTCTAAATTATGACCATAACCAATGGCCTTATTCCAAGTACCTTTTCATTTTCAAACTGGTATTTACATGGATAGCACCTAAAATTCTCTGAAACATGCTTTTTGAGAGGCAGCCTGGTATAAAGCAATGATTTAAAACTTGGCCTGCCTATTAGAATGGCCTGGAGTACATTTTAAAAATACCAATGTCCAGGCTCCACCCTTAAGATTCTCATTTGATTAGCCTGGAGTAAAGCCTGAACTCTGAATTTCTAAAACAACCATGGCCACTGTAAGGATTAAATGCAATACTGAAGGTGAGGCAGTAAACAGGGTGATTGGCACAGTTATTGACTTGACAAATGCCAGTTGTTCTTTGTCACCTGTGCCCTCCCAGTTTCTGCTGAGGCAAAGGGAATGCCTAAAATATGGTTCCACTTAGGTGGCAGCAAGGTCAGCGAAGCTCATTGGAGCAACTCATTAGAGTAGAAAATGATAGCAAAGGGAGCCGTAGCCAGACACTGACAGGACAGTGACACAGAAGGATTTCATTTTAATGCAGGGCAAAAGGTCAGGAGAGTGACAGAAGAAAAAGTCAGATTTAGTAAAATACAATCACCTGGCAACTTTAAAAGGGATCATTGCCAATTCTTCTGCCACTGCATGGACATTTTACTCAGAAAAATTCGGGGGTAGAGGAGGAGAAAAATAGTCTCCATTTATCTTATTATCAGGATTTAAATAGAAAGGTCAAGTCTGAAGTTTTGGGCCAAGAAAGAGTTGCTAATGGAAGTTAGGGAACCTTCTTGAGAGGAAGATATGAGCCACAGACTTTCTCAAGTCTTAGCCAATACCCTGTTCTCTCTGTACCTCTTTTAGGGCAAAAACAACAACAACTAAAACCACAGGGAATTACCATATGACAAGCAACATCATTACTTTATATACTTGCAATAATAAACACTGTTAGGTAGATATTCATTCATTTGTTCAACATACATTTAATGAGCACCTGCTAAGTACCAGGCCCTATGCTAAGAAAACTCTGATTTCAAAAACAAACCCCATTTAAAAAGTGGGCAAAGGACATGAACAGACCCTTTTCAAAAGAAGACATACATGTGGCCAACAAACAATTGAAAAAATGTTCAGCATCACTATTCATTAGAGAAATGCAAATCAAAACCACAATGAGATACTATCTCACACCAGTCAGAATGGCTATTATTAAAAAGTCAAAAAATAACAGATGCTGGCGAGATCGTAGAGAAAAGGGAATGCTTAAACACTGCTGATGGGAATGTGATTCATTTGACAATTATGGAAAACAGTGTGGCTATTTCTCAAATAACTTAAAACAGAAGTACCATTCCACCCAGCAATCCTATTATTGGGTATATACCCAAAGCAATATAAATCATTCTATTATAAAGATACATGCATGTGTATGTTTATTGCAGCACTGTTCACAATATCAAAGTCATGGAATCAACCTAAATGCCAATCAACAGTAGACTGTATAAAGAAAATGTGGTATGTATACACCATGGAATACTACACAGCCGTAAAAAAGATTGAGATTATGTCCCTTGCAGCAACATGGATGGAACTGGAGGCCATAATCCTAAGTGAGCTAACGCAGGAACAGAAAACCAAATTCTGCATGTTCTCACTTTATAAGTGGGAGCTAAACATTGAGTACACATGGACATGAGGACAGAAGCAACAGACACCAGCACCTACTTGGGGTTGGAGACTGGAAGGAGGGCAAGGATCAAAGAGCGCCTATCAGGTACTATGCTTATTGCCTGGGTGATGAAATAATCTGCACACCAAACCCCCACGACACATAATTAACCTCTATAACAAACATGCACAGGTACCCCTGAACCTAAAAATAAAGTCAAAAAAAGAGAATACTCTGGTTTTGTAAGTGTTACTTAGCTTCATGAAGCTAAGTAATTTTTCTTAAAAAAGTAAATTACAGAGTTGGGTCCTGATCTTAGTTCTGACTTCAAATAACATTTAGAAATGAGAAGGTCTCCAGTCGCTGGGGAATTGAGAAGATGTGATATCCCTGATTTGAAACTCTTACTTCAAACTTCCTCTCCACCCTTCCTCTCCACCAATCCCAGTAAGCTTTCTCCTGTCTTACTTCATATTGAACTTCAAGTGCCAGCTTGCCTATCCCCTTCTTCTCGAAGCCTTTCTCAACCCGTGTGAGCTGACTCTCCATTTGTAGGCCTCTGGCAGCTTGTGCAGGCATCTGTTGTGGAAAATTACACTGCATTACAACTATTTACTTGTCTGTCTTCCCCAGTGGACCATGAGATCCCCAAAGATAGAGGTTACTCATGATTCATATTTGTATCCATCGGACCTGGCATAAATGCTCGATTCTGGGTGCTGGGGACACACTGGTGAACAGACAGGACAATACAGAATACAGCTTTGTCTTCACAGAGTTAGGAGTCAGGATACAAGAAAGGAAGGGATGGAGGGAAGGAGAGAGGAGGAGGAATAGAGGAGGGAGGGAGAGAGGGAGGAAGGAAAGGAAAGAAAAGGAGGGCAAGGTGGGGTGGAGCCGGGCCAGGTGAGTTGGAAAGGGAAAGGGAAGGAAGTGGAGAGAAAAGATTTCAGTGAATTTTCCAATGAGGTCTGAGCTGGATATGAGATTTGAATCAACAGGGCAGGGACTGAATGAACAGGGCTCACTTTCCCTTGCTGGGAAATCAGTTCAAGAAAAATCACAAGGAAAGGCATGTGGGATTATGTGGAGAGCCCATTAGGGCTACTGCCTGGCTTGGAGGGAAGGTTTCAGACTAAGCTGAGAAGGAGCCTAAGAGTTTAAGGTCGGCCAGGTGCAGTGGCTCACGCATGTAATCCCAGCACTTTGGGAGGCCAAGGTGGCGGGATCACCTGAGGTCGGGAGTTCGAGACCAGCCTGACCAACATGGAGAAACCCCGTCTCTACTAAAAGTACAAAATTAGCCAGGCGTGGTGGCACATGCCTGTAATCCCAGCTACTCGGGAGGCTGAGGCAGGAGAATTGCTTGAATCTGGGAGGCAGAGGTTGCAGTGAGACCAGACAGCACCATTGCACTCCAGCCTGGGCAACAACAGCGAAACTCCGTCTCAAAAAAAAAAAAAATAGTTTAAGAGGATGTCTTGCAAGATTGGCAAGCATCCAGCCAAGGGACAATTATCAACTGAGCACCTGCTATGAGCCAGGTATTCTACACACAGAGTGAATTAGGCCAGCCCCAGCCCTGCTATCAGAGCTCACAGTCCCACAGAATAAACCTGTTGTAGGAGACAAAATGAAATCAATTAGAGTCCTCACCCAAGGAGTGATGCAATGTAAGTAGAGTTTGAGGACCATTTATCTTGTTCAGAGTGAAGGAGAAAAGGAAGAAAGGGGGAGCGGGAGAGAATAGAGAAAAGAAGGGTGGAAAATGGTAAGAAGCATAAACTAAACTCCTAGCTCTGTGAAGGCAAAGTTGTATTCTGTATTATCCAGTCTTAGTCTGTCTGTTCACCAGTGTCCCCAGCACCCAGAATAGCACCTGGCCATAGCAAAGGCTTAAGAAATATTTATGGGATGGCATGAGATGATATGGAATGGGATAGGATGGGGTGTGTAGGGTGGGATGAAATGGAATGGAATAGGATGGGGTGGGATGAGATGAGATGGAATAGGAAGAGATGGGATGGGGTGAGATGGAATGGGATGGGATAAAATGAAATGGGGTGGGATGGGATGGGATAAGATGGGATGAGATGGAATGGGATGGGATGGGGTAGAGTGGGATGGGGTGGGATGGTATGGGATGGGATAAGATGAAGTGAGATGAGATGGGATGGGATGGGATGGAGTGGATGGAGTGAGTGGGGTGGAGTGGATTGAGATGAGATGAGATAAGATGGGATGGGAGGGGATGGAATGGGGTGTTATGGGGTGCAATGGAATTGGGTGACATTAGATGGGATGGAATTAAATGGGATGGGGTGTGGTGGGGTGGGATGGAGTGGGATGAGATTGCAGTTAATTGAGGGAAAGCAGTAGATGATCCTTGGGCTGGGTGTCATGGTCTCTGGTGTTCCATCCTTCCTGACTCTGCCATTGACCAGCCTAGTGACCATGAACTTTGAGTAGCTTTTTTTCCCTTCATTTTCCTGTCTGTTTAAATGATGGAATTCCAACTTGTACACTTGTTTTCCACAGAATTTGAATAGTTTATATGTTCAAAATAAAGGGTGCATGATCAGCTAATTTTGGACCATGCTAGGTTAAAGAAACATACACAAGCCTCTTGACCATGGAATATCTCAGATATGAACACTCCTGTGTGAACCAGAAAGCTCCAAGAGAAGGGTAGAATATGCTGTAGTCCCCAAACTCATTTCATTACAGAACCCCAACTCTCTTTTTTTTTTTTTTAGACAGGGTCTTGCTCTGTCATCCAGGCGGGAGTACAGTGCTGCGATCTTAGCTCACTGCAACCTCCACCTCTCAGGCTCAAGCAATTCTCCTACCTCAGCCCCGCAGGTAGCTAGGACTATAGGCATGCACCACCATGCCTGTCTAATTTTTTAAATTTTTTGGTAGAGACAGGGTTTCACCATCTATTTTTTTCACTGTCTATCTTATAAACTAATTTCAGCTAGAAAAGGAACTCGCTAAACACTACCCTGGATGATCTCCAGGGCCTCTTCAACTCTAACAGTCTGTGACTTCATCCAAGTACACCAAAGCAAAGATGACCGTGTAGATTCAGATTAGCTAGTGGCCTATTTTAGCTAGTGTGGAGAGTGACGGGAAAAGAGGAGCTCCTTTTTTGTGAGATGGGACAAAGTGTAGTCACAAGGAGACTTGAAGGCCCAGTGAAGAAATCTGTGATTGTTATGCAGGATGAGACCTGGAATTATACTCAAGAAAAGCAAGCCATGCCCTGTGTGAGGCATTGATATTCTGGCATGGTTTTTAATTTCCCATCTTTGGGATTAGGTATGTCAGAGAGGAATCCTTTGGCCACGAAGTCTCAATACATCCCAGAGCTTTTATTTTGTTACCAATTTCCCTACATTGTGTGATTTCTTTGAGAATCATAACCATGTGAATATTTGACAATTGAATGGTATGAACATCTTGAAACATACAGTTTTCCCCAGAGCTGAATTTCATACTATAATCCGAGGTGATCTCAGTTGCCAGAAACACTCACGCCATTAATGGATTTGGAGGGAAGATGCTGGTAATGAGATTTTCAAATGCGAATTGTTTTGCTTTCAAATGCAGGGTGAAATCCAACGAAATATTACCTAGACACGCCAGTGTAGTAAGTCCAGCTGATCAAATGAATGTTTGGTGTGTGTTTTATGCAGGCCTTTTCTGTTTCAAATAAAAGCTGGAAGGGGTTCCATGTTATTATTTCTGATGGGATGGGTCTTAAGCCTTGGAGTGGAATAATCCTTCCATATCCTGGGGTACACTCTGGGCCTCTTCACACCTACAATCTTGAGAAATTGATTTATTTCATTCATTCATTCACCAGATATTTATTGAGAGCCTACTATGTGCCCAGAACTGCTTTGTGCACTTAGCGGTATAGCAAATCAACAAAATAACAAGGTATCTGTTGGCTTACTCCCTGGTGGGCCATATACACACATTAAACAAGTAAACACACACATTTAAATGTCAGAAGGTAATAACAGGCTCAGAGAAAAATAAAGCAAGGTAAGCATGAGAGTAGTGGGATGAGTTCTATTTTAGTTAAGGTGTCAGAGAGGCCCTCTCCATGGAGTTGACTTTTGAGCAGAGACCTGGAAAGCAGAGGAAACTGGAGGCCAGTGAATGCTCTGGCCCCAAAAGTGCTCTTGAGTGATACAGCCAAGCTTTGTCTGACTCCAGGTCGGATGCCCCTTCCACTGCATCAACCTGTTCTCACTGGGAACTAGAAAGAATTATCAGGGCAAGTCAGGAAGTCAGAGATGATGCCAGATCCAGAGGAGAGAGCTGCCAGGATCTGGAAGAGATGATTCCAAGATACCAAGAAAGAAAACTCAGGCAGGGCCCAGATGGAGAGAGCACAAGGAAGATGGGCAGTCGTACCTGGACCCATCAGCCTGGCCTCTCCCTCACCTCATTCTCAACAGGTCAAAGCTGGGCTCCCCCTCCTTGCCTCAGAGCCAGCCCCTCTACTGACTTTCTCAGCTGTGTGGACGGCACACAACACCTGTCCAGTCATCCAAGTTCAGCTCATCGTGTCAACCTCTGTTCCCCCTTCTTCACTTGTCCTACCCTCAAGATGTCCTGGGGAGCATATGTGAGGATGCACAGCCCAACCTGTCAGGAAGTCCTCCTTCACAGCTAACTCCCTTCCTTGATCAGCAGCCGGTCCATTCTGTATGGGGCTAGAGTAGAGGAACTGATTGCCAATGAGCAAATAATCTCACGAGAGTGGAAAAACCAGCCTCTTGTCCACACGTGTGCCATTCTTCCCTCAGCAAGATGGGACAACAGAGCCCCTTCCAGAAGGACCATCACTAGATCTATTTTGCAAGTGTGTATGGGGAGAATGAAGGGCCCTGTGGTCAGATCTCAGCTGGCCTGATTCCCCTCCCCCAGGAGAGAGCTGGAGATTCTAAGAATTTTGTGATTATATAATTTATTTGCCTTCCCCTCTAGCTATAAGCTTCCCAAGAGACAAGAGTATGAGAGCTCACCACTCTATGTCCAACTCTTAGTACAGTCCCTGGTGTATAGAAGATGCTCAAATTGGAATGAAATGGATGGGAACCATGAATGAAGCTTCATTCTTCAAACTAAAGGTCTGTGGCAGAGACTTGTGATGCACCACACCCCATCCCCTCGGCCTCCCTGATTTCAGCACACCTGTGATAGACAGTTCCCTGGATGACACCAGTGTCTTTCTTCAAGTGAAACCCATAGAAGGCCACTCAACTACCTTATAGGAAGTGGTAAGTACAGGACAGTCAATGTGCCCATGAATACATCTCAACCACTAAGGGATGGGGGTGAATAGAGAAACTCTTGCCTCCCCGTCTTCTGTGGGACAATTCTGAGTGTGTTCTACATCGTTCTTCATAAGGTCACAAGTAGGACTGAGACCCAACAACCTCATCAATAATTAGCTCATTAATGTACCTTTTTTGTTTTTGTTTTCTTTCCTTTCCTGTCTTGCTTTCTCTGCTCCTTCATTGTACTTTATTTATTTATTAATTTATTTATTTTTGAGACAGAGTTTCGCTCTTGTTGCCCAGGCTGTAGTGCAATAGCGGGATCTCAGCTCACCGCAACCTCCACCTCCCAGGTTCAAGCGATTCTCCTGCCTCAGCCTCCCGAGTAGCTGGGATTACAAGCATGCACCACAACACCTGGCTAATTTTGTATTTTTAGCAGAGATGGGGTTTCTCCGTGTTGGTCAGGCTAGTCTCGAACTCCTGACCTTAGGTGATCCACCCGCCTCAGCCTCCCAAAGTGCTGGTATTACAGGCGTGAGCCACTGCACCTGGCCAGTCCTTCATTGTACTTTCTAAGATCATCTCCCAAATAAACTATCTGCACCCAGATCCTCATCTCCACCTCTGATTTGGGGGAACCCCAAATTAACAGGCTAACGGCAACTTCATTTGTTGAGGCTGCTCAACTCTCCTGTGATCAACATTTGTTTTATTTGGTTTTTCCGGCATTTGACCCAAGCTCTGAAAACTCTCAACCACAAGCCTGTCTTCCCCCACCTCCAGGGGTTACCAAACAATGCCCCTGGAGGCTTGGTCTCGACGTTAGAAACTTGGCCATCATTTCTGACATGTTTTCTTCTCAGAGAGGAAAGTGGAATAAACTTCATACTTGATACAAATGTCATTCACCCAGCCTCCAAGTCTAGAATTTTGCAGGCCATATTGAACCACTTATTGAAGTATTCAGAGAGCACAATCCTCTTGAAATTATATCACAATCCCTTTTAAAGGGGCCAGTAAAATAGAACCCAGAAGGGCTCCACTTTCAAACATGGCTATTGAGCAATGACAGCTATTGCTCCAGAAATACTTCTTCACCCTGCTGCTGTGCTGCCTAGCTAACTCAGGATTCTCTAAAGCAACAGGATGCAGAGATCTGAAAACAGAAAAGAGACCTGCCAGAGGAATCCTTTCATTCTGGTTTCTGTGAGACTCTGCCTTTCATTTAGGTGAGGGGGAGTCCAGAGGAACAGAAGTGGCTCTATTGAAGTGCCACGTCTGAACCAGATGCTGAGTGTTAACAGAGCAAATGCCTCTTGGAAAGGAGTTGAAAACTCAGCCAGAGAGAGAGAGAGAGAGAGGGAAAGTGCTTTGCATTTGGGTGGGCTCAGTGCAGAACATGCTGGAGCCCATAGAAGGAGAGGTGCGGGGAGGAAGGGGCTTTATGTGGCTGCCACTATTGGTGCTACCCCAGAACCCCTCAGCCCACTCTGGGGGTCATTTGCCAGTATTCCAATGCATGCCAACATCTTTTTCCATCTCTCTGCCTGAGGGCTTTTGCTGGCTGCAGGAGTGGGCTTGGCCCACTTAAAAAGACAAGCTAAAGTACAGGAAAGTTTGGTGCCTCAAATGAGACCCTCAACCGATGTGAGGTGGGAGTTTGTGAATATATATCCTGGTTTCCATGACGCTCAGTAGAATAATCCTAGGTGTGTCCCATACACTCCCAGAGGGCTCCCAGTGAGAATGAGCCCAGTTGCCTGCACCAGTAAGTCATTCATTCACACCTCATCTATTAGCTTTGCTGTCTTCCCTGTCTCATCTTCCCACTCCCCTACAGAGTTTCTTGGGATTACTTCCAAAGTAAACCTTCCATACCCAGTATTTATCTTAGGATCTGCATTTAGGGAGACCCAAACTAAGACAGTGGGGAAACCGGTCTGTTGGTATGGAGGCCCTCAACAGCCTCAGGTGTTCAAATGACAAGTGTCAGCAGTCAAAGGACAGCAAATTCCAGCACTGTGAGGGGAAGGTGATACGTCTGTAAGGAAAGGAATTAGGTGGCCTCCAGAGAAGATGCCTTGACCATGCAACCTCGTCAGTATAGTTTGGGTGTATGAATGCTTCCCAAGAGAAATGGGCATTCGATGACCCTGTATTAGTCTGCTGGGGCAACCATAA
Organism: Homo sapiens; assembly: GCF_000001405.40. Classification (NCBI taxonomy): domain Eukaryota; kingdom Metazoa; phylum Chordata; class Mammalia; order Primates; family Hominidae; genus Homo; species Homo sapiens. The sequence continues at coordinate 66,092,815 of NC_000016.10, forward strand.
CAAAGCACCACAGACTGAGAGAAATTTATCTTCTTAGTCTCAGAGGCTAGAAGTATGAGAACAAGCTATCAGCAGGGTTGGTTTCTTCTGAGACCTCTCTCTGTGGCTTGTAGGTAGTCATCTTTTCTATTTCTTCACCCTGTTGTCCCTCTATACATGTCAGTTTCCAAATTTTTTCTTCTTATGAGGACAACAGTCATACTGGATTAAGACTCACCCATTTGAGCTCATTTTACCTTAGTTATCCCTGTACAGATCCTATCACCATATAAAGTCACATTCTGAGCTACTGAAGGTTATGTCTTCAACATATAAATTTGGCGGGGACTCAGTTCAGCCCACAGCCGACCCCAAGAGAGATGCCCACCTCCAAGCTGAACAAAGAATCTGATTTCATCATTTTCCAAATTCCTGGATGTGACAGCTTTTGGTTAGAGAGCAAAGCAATGATGAGGCCGAGAGGATGAAAGATAATGAGGCCTAAAATGAGCCTGTCAGATGTAAGGAAGTGGCAGGAGAAGTGGGTGTGAAGTCTAAGACACAGCAACTCTTTGACCTACCAGTGGGTCTGGTCCTATTTCTATGGAAATGAGCTCATTATGGTTAAATATTTTTTCCAGCTCCTGGTTGATTCATGAAGTGGTTTCGAATGTTGATAATCACTTCATGAATCACTGACAAACACAAGAGCCAAATATCTGGCACTTGCGATTGCTGTCTCTCCTGATGAGCATTCCCGCCATGATTTGGGGTGCCCCTCTCTCAGCAACCAGGTGTTCAGACTAGAAAAGCCCTCATTTATATTCCAAAGTCTCCTGCTTCAGTAGTTCCACACTGGCCATTTTGTCAGGCATTGAATCTCCCCCCAACATCTAATGAACATTAATGATTGAATTCTGAAAGATTATTTTGAAATGCTCACAACATTGGGCATGAAGCTATCAGCCATCAAGTTCTGCAACATTGTTTCCAGGGGAAGTAAAATGGTGTTGCACGGAGGATCCCACGGCGACCATGTTTCTGCCCAAGGGGGAATCTGCTTCAGCACAGACTATACACAAGACACGGCCATTCCCTCTAGGCAAAGAGAGACGGACTAGTCTCCAAAGAAAACAGAAACTAGAGGATGAGATTGGAGAAAGATACAGAAAGTTACTACATTGCATTTGGATATTAGGGAGGTGGATATTAGAGCAACAAAAAAGATGTAATGGCTTCCTGTACATTTTAAATGTAGAGGCCACTTAAAAGCAGAAGCAGGCCAGGCATGGTGTCTTAGGCCTAAGGTTCCAGCTACTCAGGAGACTGAAGCGGGAGGATCAGTTGAGCCCAGGAGGTCGAGGCTGCAGTGAGCTATGACTGCATCACTGCACTCCAGCCTGGGTGGCAGAGTGAGACCCTGTCTCAAAAGTAAAAAAAAAAAAAAAAGCAGAGACAGACAAATCTTTTTCCCAGATACCTGCCTGGCTCACTCTCTCCCTTCATTCACCTCACCTCACCTTCCTGGCCACCCCACAGATAGAGCACCTGCCGGCCTTCTGCTCCCCTTCCTTTATGTATTGTCCTCCCCGACACTTATCCCTACCTACCACGTGATAGATCTACCTATCGGCTTATTTTCTGCCTCCTCTCACAAGCAGGTAAGCTCCAAAAGGCGGGGATCTCTGTCTGTTTTGTTCTCTGCTACAGACTCATGCCTAAAACAGTGCTTGGCACACACAGTAAGTCCTTAATTAATATTAGCAGAATGAATGATATAAGCGTGATAGGTATTATATTGAACATAAAGAAGAAAATCTGCAGAACTTGAAAAAAGAGGAATGCTGTCTGGATGATCACTTCTCCCACTATCCCAGGCACACATTTATAGGTCTCTTGAGTCCTTGGTGAGAAGGAGCAAGGATCCCAGATTAGATTGTATGAAGAATCAACTGAGTTCTTCATACACAAGTTGGTATTCAGTTCTCATACCTGTGTAAACTGTGGCACCCCCAACATATCATGTCAAAGCCTTCACTAAATCTGAAGAAAAGATCTCCCTCCAGATGCTCTGACCAAGCCATGTTTGGGTAGACCCCAAATAACCTGTGAGGTTCAGACCCAGGAGCCCAGAGTTGGCACAATCAGGTAAGAGGCTCTCTTCTCCCAAGGCTGCCTTAGCAAGGCTTATTTATGTTCGGTTGTGTAGTGGAATTTCTACATGCCATTTAAGTAAAGTCAAATAATGGTTTCGCTGAAAGGGCCTTTCTGGATTATCTACTTCCTCTTCACTGGAAATGTAACTTGTAAGGCTCAGAGAGGTAAAATACCCAACCCAAGGTCACACAGCAAATCGTGGTAGAATCAAGACAGAAACATAGGCCTTCTAATTGTCACTGGGGTGTGTATGTTTCCACACTAAGCTATCCACCTATATTCTAAATTTGAAGAATCTTACTTGAAGGGAGGAAATAACTGATGATCTTACCTGGCTGTATGTAGACCAGAAGAAACCAAGTGGGTTAGGTCAGGATTCCTGGGGCCTCTGGTGTGTATATATATATAACTATATATATAACTGTGTGTGTGTGTGTGTGTGTGTGTGTGTGTGTGTGTGTGTGTGTGTATGGTACCTTGGAGGTTGTCTCACCTAAACACCCCACAATAAGATGGGCAAATGGAGTTTAGAAAGAGCAAGTAATTTACCTAAAGTCACACAGGGAATGAGTTGGAAGACTTAGAACTAGACCTCCAGCCCTGGTCCTCAGTTTAGGCCAATGTTTACCATATCCCACCAACTTGATCATCAGCTACAGTTCTTAGAAAGAACCTTAAGGGTCATTTTGCCCAAATGCCCATTTTCCAGATGAGGAGACTAAGGATGAAAAGTCAAAGTGAATGTTAGAGTTTGGGCCAGAGCCTAGGTCTAGGTTTCTTTTCCTCACAGCCCCTTTTCTGTGCCCCTCCTCTGTTTGCTCCTTTTAAATCTTAGGACTTCCTCAAGAGAAAAGAGCCCCTCCTTGACTTCAGCATCCTGGGAATGGGTTTTTCAGGAGCCTTCTCTTGATTCTGCCCCCCAGTGGCAGAGATTCAGCAGAACCACCCACTCTGTCCTTCTTTTATTCAACAAGAAGGCATTGAGCATCTAATATGTGCTCTTCACTGCAGTCCACAAAGATTTGTTGACTGTCATGTGCCAGGCACAAAGAAGGGGCTGAAGATACAGCAGTGAGCCAAAAAATTATGGCAACAATAGCACAGTTCCTCTCCTCATGACCCTCACAGTGCAACAAGGAAGGCAGCAATTAAGCAAACAACACTTCTAGTTTGCTTCCAAATGCAACTCCAATTGAGTGATACAAGTGCCATGGAGGAGACAATAGAGTGCATGAGGGGGATCTAAATTCAGGGAGGTTATCCCCAAGAAAGTGATGTGTAAACTGATGCTTGAAAAAGAGGTGAGAGCCATCCAGGATAAAAGGGGAGAGGAGGAATATAGTGTGAAGGCCTCCACAGAGGGGGCAAGCCATCTCATTCCTGAGCTGCAGGTGCATGAGCCCATCTTTACCCAGAGTACTCAGTGACCAGGTGGTTCAAATGTCAGAAGCTTCTGGCCACCTGGAATTTGACCAAGAAATGTGTCATCTTCCAACCCTAGAGGTAAAAATGTTTTGTTAAATTATCTCTGTCTCTTAACTACACTAACGGTGTCTTGCAATACTGAAGGGTGATTCAGGACAATTTTGGGCCTCGGATTCCTCATTTCCAGCTACAGACAACAAACAGGGCCATCCTCACTGGAAGAATGAGCTGTGTCTCCATGCTCTAATTTCAGGGCTGCTGAGGACACTGCCAGTTAATACTATGGGCACTGGAGTCCAGAAGACGTGGGTTCTAGTCCCAGATCTGCCTCATACTAGCTGGGAGACCTCAGGCAAGCCACTGTACCACCCTGGGCTCAGTTTTCCCTACTTCTTAGACTCCTTGAAATGTCCAAAGGTGATTAGGTCTGTTAATTCCCAGCACACTGTAGGTACTCTATGTCAGTTTCCTTCCTTTACTACACCTTCAACAAACTTCTCTTCACCTTGTGCCCCAGGGTGTGGTTAGATCTTCATTCCTTTAACACAACCACTTCTCTTGTTAAAATGGAAACAGGAGCCAGGTGTGTTGGCTCATACACGTAATCCCAACACTTTGGGAGGCTAAGATGAGAGGATCACTTGAGGGCAGAAGTTTGAGGCCAGCCTAGCAAACATAGCAAGAGCACATCACTAAGAAAGATAGTAATAAATAATAAATTTTTTAGAATCAAAAAAGAAAATAAAATATGAACAAGGAAATGTCCATAAAGTAGGGGGTACTTGAACTGGGCTTTGATGGATAAGGGGGAATTTTTTAAGGGGACAAGGGGGTGAAGGAAATTCCAGGAAGATAGAATCACTTATACGGAAGCATATAGATCTGAGAAAAAAAATCACCAAAGAAGCCAGAAAGGAAAGAAGCACAGAATGGGGTAATGTGGTTGGAGATGAGGAAAAGAAAGATCCCCATGAAGCAGCTTGTGAACAGCCTTGAATGCCACCCCAAAGAAACTTCCCAGAGGTGATGAGGATTGAAGCTTTTTCAGTGGAGGAATGATGAGATCATATTGATTGCTTTGAAAGGTAGCTCACTCTGGGCAGCAGCTGGAAGATGGAGTGTTGGAAAGAGACAAAGCAGTAAGGTAATCATTTAAGAGATTTTTGCAAAAGTCTGGATGGTACATGAACAGCTTAGGGCTGTGGGCTGCAGGACAGGTGAAGGTGAGGAGGGCTAGGGCAGGGAGTGGTCAGGAAATGGGTCCAGAGGCAGGTGGTTGGAACCAAGAGGCACTGCCCTGGACCCTCCAACAGGCTGCCTCTTCCCCTCTGCACCACCCTTGGTGTGAGCCCAGAGGTGATGTACCCCACTCCTGACCAAATAGGAGATGTCTCACAAGCACCTTCCTTCCCTGTCCCTTTCTCTTCTCCCACTTTCTTCCTGGTGCCTGGCAGCCAGTCTTCTCTAGCTGTATTTTTTTTCTTTCCCTGTAACTTGTCAAGCACTTCTTTGTGCTTTCCAAGCATCCTCCAACAGAGCCCTGACTGACATCACTCATCCTCCCACCAGCCTCCCCCTGCCCGTCGGCTTCAGGAGCGTCTCCATCGCCCCTCCTGAAACCACAGCAGATGCATGCTTTACACACAGCCTCCTCACCAACCGAGCCCTTATCTCAGTCTGCTTTTTAGCTTAAAATAAGTTTCTAAAAAACTTCTTTTGAAAATAGCCTCCCTCGCTGCAATAATATCCAGGTTGAATTTTCAACCATTGTCTCTTCAGACAGGGGACTTCGTCTGACTAAATCAGGTGATATGTGTGTTGCCAACACCTCCCAGCCTATGTCAGCATGCCTTTGATGAAAAATATCTTATCTATAATCAGTTTACTGGATTGTGCACCCAAATTTCCTCTACAAAATATGAGACTGAGAGGCTTCACCAGCGTTTTCTCACAGCAGCAGTGCAGCTGTGCTTTGATAAAACTCACAGACTCTTCCCTAGAACTCATCAGAGTCCACTAGAGCCTGGGTTCCAACCCAACATCCACCGTCTCTGGGCAAAACTAAATTTAAGTTGTATTTTAAAAATGTATAAGGTGACTGTTAGTGTTAAGCAAGAAAATAGAGATGATTTCAACAGATAATGAATTATTGTCAGCCTACTCTCCTCCAGCTGTGCAAGACGCCATAGACTCTGTCTTCATGCACCTCACAGCTAGGTGGGAGTGCTGGGAAATAAACGTAAAAATAAATTATTTGTCATTTGAGATAATAATGGCAATACTGTGAGTATGTGAAAGAGACTCAGCTGACTGGGTGATGGCCAAGCTGTGATTTGTCAAACGCAAGAGTTGGTATTTTTGTTAAAAAAAAAAAAAAAAAAAAAAAAAGGTCAAAACCCAATGCTGATGAACTTGTGGTGAAAATTGCCTGATGTTATAAGAAAATAATATGAAAATGCAAGTAAAAAATCAGAATGGTGCACATAATCTCCCCCCTCCCACCAATAATAAACCTAGGAATTTATTCTAAGTTACAATTCAAAAAGAACAAGAGTGCTTAATGATGTTCTGTGTATCATTTTCTAGTATAAGAGGTCCAGGTAATTGAGATACATCCACCCAAGGATATAATATGTAGTTATTCAAAGTAATCGTGGAGACTAGCCATTTGAACTAAGATCTTTGGGATCTTTGGGATCTAATTTCAAGTAAAAGAAAAAATACAGAATGTTACACTCAATAACTGCATTTGCTTTCTGCACTCAAATTCATCACTTCTAGTGGGTTATGCTTTTAAACATCAATAGTCTGAAAGATCTTTCTGGTCATGCTTCATTGGCTATCAGAACAATGCTGTGAGGTTGATAGTATGGTCTATGGTCCCCATTTTTATAAATAAGATAACTGAGGCTCAGAGAGATTAAATAACATGCATGCAACATGTAAATCCAAGAGCAGGAGCTCTGATTTCCGTCTCCTAACTCCAAATCCAGGGCTCTTTCCTTAATTCCATCAGCTAACCACGTGAGATGACCAGGAAGAACTGCTAATGCTGTGAGCAGATGGGAGGCTGTCTAGGCCATCTGTCTGCTACTAAAGGAGGCCATGAGGAAGGCTGCAATTCCTTCTAAGAAAGCCTGCATGTGTCTTTGTTCCGAGACACCTTAGCCAACCAGTGGGGATGGAGAGGGTGGCTATATTCCAGCTGGAATCATGGCACCTAAAGGTGAGCATATTGTCAGGGAAAATGTATAATCAACATGCGCTGATTTATGCAATGCTGTAATTGAGCTTAGCACTGGGGGATGGGGATGGGGGACAAAATACCACCTTTAGTACCCCATTGCAAGCATCTAAGAGTGTGCACTTCATTCATTCATCCGCCAGTGGACACTTAGGCTGTTTCCACATCTTGGCTATTGAGTAATGCTGCAATGACTCTGGGAGTGCAGATATCGCTTTGAGATCTTGATTTCAATTCTTTTGGAACATAGCCGGAAGGAAGATGGCTGGATCACATGGTAGTTTTCTTTTTAATTTGGGGGGGAGTCTCCATACTGTTTTCATTTGGGGGGGAATCTCCATACTGTTTTAATTTGGGGGGGAATCTCCATACTGCCTACACCATTTTACATTCCCACCAACAGTGCACAAGAGTTTCGATTTCTATAAATGTACAATGGAATATTTTTCAGCCTTTTAAAAGAGGGAAATCCTGCCATATGTGACAACATGGATAAACCTGAAGGACATTATGCAAAGTAAAATAAGCCAGACACAGAAGGACAAATCCTACATGATACCACTTATATGATCAACTGAAAATAGTCAAATTCATGGAACCAGAGAGTAACCACAGGCTAAGGGACCTCGGGTCAGGGAGAATGGGGAGTTTCTATTCAATAGGCAACAAGATTCAGTTATGTGAGATGAAAAAGTTCTAGAGATCTGCTATACAACTTTGTGCCTACAGTGAACAATAGTGTATTGTGCATTTAAAAATTTGTTAAGAGGGTAGATCTGACTGGGCATGGTGGCTCATGCCTGTAATCCCAGCACTTTGGGAGGCCAAGGCGGACAGATCACCTGAGGTCAGGAGTTTGAGACCAGCCTGACCAACAGGGAGAAACCCCGTCTCTACTAAAAATACAAAATTAGCTGGGCATGGTGGCGGGCGCCTGTAATCCCCGCTACTTGGGAGGCTGAGGCCGAAGAATCGCTTGAACCCGGTGGAGGTTGCAGTGAGCCGTGATTGAGCCATTGCACTCCAGCCCGGGCAACAAGAGCAAAACTCTGTCAAAAAAAAAAAAAAGTAAATCTAACATTCAGCGTTCTTACCACAATCAAATATAAGGAGGGTATACGTCTGAGTTAGACTGCCTGAGCTCACATCTGGTTTCCCTTCACTTGCTGTGGTGACCTTGGGCAAGTCACTGAAACTGTGTGTGTCCCTGTCTCCTCATCTATAAAATAAGGAGAATTTAGTACTCGCCTCATAGAAGTTCAATGTTTTTCCAATATTGCTAAGCATGGAACAGTTCATGGAATGTATTAGGCAGACATCACCCTAAGTGATTTATATACATTTGTGATTTTTACCCTCAAGGCAGTCCCATGAAGAAGGAATTATTATCTCCATTTTACAAATGAAGAAATGGAGGCTTCGGGGATTGAAGGTTTTTCACAGCGCAGAGGCAGAAGAGATTCCGCTGGCTGGTGTGTCCCTGGAAGCCTCCCTGAAAGAAATGGCCTTGCACCTGGGCTTTAAAGTACAGAGAAGGTATAGATCTGCCTTTTTAGAGTACTTATGGCAGGGGAAAAGGCAGAGAGTTGAGAAAGTAGATGGATGCTCAAGAATAAAAAGACCAATGTCTCACAGGCCTTATCTGCCCTCAGCCTTGCATGCTTGGCCAGGGTGCCTGAAGACCTGTTCTTGGCAGTGGTCAGTCGGTAAAGGCTGCAAGCAGGACAGAAGCAGTATGTGCAGACAATCGTCCATTAATTTGGTCAAACAAGGTGCACCAGGATCCCACCTCTACTGCCAGCTTACACCCTGAACATTCCCAGCATGCCCTCCTGGGAAAGGCCCTGAGCGAGGTAAGGAAGCAGGAACAAGTGGGACACACGCCCGGCAGTCACAGGTGCCACAGTCCAGCCCCGTGCCTCTCAGACTTGACGGAGCATTCAAATCCCCCAGGGAGCTCATTACAAACGGATGCTGACTCAGGAAGCCTGGGCTGGGGTCCTGAGAATCTGCATTCCATACACACTCCCAGGTGATGCTGATGTTGCTGGTCCATGCCCCACACTTAGAGGAGCAAGTTTATAAAATGTTTCTAGTCTCATCACTGCAATCCCACAAGCAGCATTAATGCCTGGCCCAGAGTGATTGCTTAAACATTTGTTGAATCAAAGAAGTTTAATCACCGTTACTCCTGTTATCATTGAGTTTGATTAAGTAGGTCCCCTCCCTGCCACATGCCAAGGGCCCATTTCTTCTTCCTTGCTACATCTTCCTCCAATCCAATTAGTAGAATCCAGCCTCCCTTTTCCACCCTCTCACATGGTCTTCATGGATGGCTTTAAACAACGAGATTTTTGTTTCTGTTTATTACACAAATAATGCATGTTCACTGAAAAAGAAACAGGGAAGAAAAGAAAAAGCAAAAAGAATTTTAAACCCTGCAATCTGATACACATCCTTTTAGATTCTAGGTGTGTGTTACAGCATGAGAACATACTTTACATTCTGTTGGTATTTAAGTTTTCTTAAATTATGAGGACTATTTTCCCATGTTAGAAATATTATTTTAATAGCTGCAAAATAGTCATTACTGAAGTTTCATATATCACTATTCATTTTATATAAGTTACAGTGACCTTAAAACAAATAAGGTTCATACTGAAGAAATGATGGACAAAAATATTTTAATGCCTGTGATTGGCTTTAAAATGATCCAGTGAATGGGGAAGTATGAGGGAATAGACAATATGACCAGCCACATCTTGGTAACTGTTAAACTATATGGTGGTCATATGAGGGGTGCATTATATGATTCTCTAGCTCATGAGTAAGTTGGTAAATTTCCAGAATAAAAGTCAAAAAATAAAAGCAATTGTCCAAATTAGATGGAAGAGGAGGATTCTGAGACAAGAATGGAGGTAGAAAGTGTTTAAAGCTAGTTTTTTGCACCCAAAGAAAGAATAATGTTTCATTTAGGACTATCGAGCCTGTCACTTCAACATATTCAAGTTCCTTGAGCTACTAAATTGAACTGGAATAATCTGCCTTTATTATTTCCTGTCCTCTTAGAATAGATTTGCATTTTAAGTGTATGCCTAACATCATGTCTAAATTGGAACTAATTGGGACATTCGGAAACATGGAGGCAGACACTGGCCTCATTGGAGAAAACATGGGGTTTGCCCATTTGGAGCCTTGCAGGCAGATGGGGATTAGGGGAATGGGGGCACAGCCATTCCCTGTCTGTGTCTTTCTATGAATCTTGGGCAGGTCATTTCCCACCTCTGAGCCCAGCTGCCTAATCCATAAGAGAACATGATTTGAACCAAATGAACTTCACAACTTCTCTCTGCTCAAAAATAAAGAGGTTCTACTCTGGGAACCCTTTTCACCACTCTGCTTTGCAATATGCAAATCAAGTGAATTGGGTAATTGGACAGAGCTGATGGGAACAATTTAATAAACTCTGATAACATTGCACAAAGTAACTGTTCAATTATTTCAAACGGTACAGGAAGTACAACAGGGGGGTCCTTAGAAATTACCTTCACATATTAATCGTCTCATCCAATAGAAGCCAAACAAGAATGAAGACTGTGTAGGGGGTGTTTTTGTTTTAATTCTGATTAACTGTACTTTCATCTGAACATTTTTCAGCTGTGCTTTGGTCTTCCTCATATGGATGTTGACTGAGTTCTGTTATCAGGATTTTAATTAACATCAGGTAGAGAAGGGGAAGCCAGGATGACACGCTATTACTTCTGTTTGATTTAAAGTCAACGCTGGGGACTCTTCTTCGATGAGCTGTTGAAATTGTCTTATCTCATGCATTCCAAGGATGGCTGTTTCATGTAAATGTCATTTCTGCTGTCCAAAATGTTACAACACACGCCAGCACAATAGAACTACTGTCTTGTTCTAAGAGACACAAGGGAGCTAGCAAGCTTTTGATCAAAGGCAAGATTCAAACATCAAAGTAATACCTCTTCTGTAAATTCAAGAATCAGGACTCTGAGTAAAGGAATGGAGACTCCAGCTTTAGCAATGGCCTAGCCTTCTATCCTGGGAAGTGCCTGAATTTTCAAAGCTTAATCTATCTGCAGAAAACTGTCTGGGAAGAGGCAGTGTAATGGGCTCGTGGTATGGGTATATTTATTGCATCCTATAGTCAATAAACTTGTATTTAATCTGTATATGTTCATCTGCTCCGTGCAGCCTTCTCTTCTAGGACTAAAGCTGGAGCTAACGTGACCCAAGAGCTTTTGGAGTATGATGAACCTCAGTTCAAATCCATGCTGTACCACGTGCCACTGGTGTGACATTATATAACTTACCTTGTCCCTCCAGGCCTCCATTTTTTTCATTTATAAAATAGAAATAATAATATTTGATGCCTGAATATACATGCATTGCAGTATGCTTATACAGTGGAGTATTTCACAGCAATAAAAAGATGAGCTATTGATAAACACAACAAAAACACTATGTTGAGCTAAAGAAGCTGGACACTAAAAAGTGTCTATTGCATTATTCCACTGTATGAAGTCCTAGAACATGAGGCCATAGGCTATGGTCTTAGAAGTCAGAATAATGACCCATGGGCTGGGGACAGTGTTGAGTAGGAAGTGGCATGGAAAACTCTTTGATGAGATGGCAATGTTCTGTATCTCGATCAGGGTGGTGGTTACATGAGTGTGCACATGTGAAAAAGGTCAGCAAAGTATATTCTATGAAATGGAAATGGATACCTCAATATAAAAGATGGCATCAAAAACATCATGACGTCTCATATGCAAAATTGTTACGAAGATGAAATGAAGATAGTTCATGGGATGCAGCTGTCCTGGTGGCTAAGATGAGTGGATAGCCAATGAATGATGGCTAGCATTATTGTTTATGTTGTCCTCATCATCCCTGTAATCATTTCAGTGGAGCTACATCTGACCCAGAGATTGGGGTCTGAAGTTCAACACATAAGGCAAAAAAAAAAAAAAAAAAAAAACTGTTCAAATTGCCTCCCGAGGATCCCTTAAATTATCCATAAATCACAGTTTTCTTCACTTGGTTTATACAGCCCCTGCTCAATAAAAGATGTAACTACATGTAATGGAAGCAGTCATGGGCCGAATATAATAAAGGAGGCTGTGGGTAAGAAGCACACCTCTGTGGGCACCAGGATCACAGCCAGGGTCTCAACCCGTAAGAGGCTCACAGGTCACAAGACCAATGGCAGAACAGCATCATCAGCATCTCTCACCTGTTCCTGGAAATGTGCTCATCGAGAATGGCAGGCATAACCACCAGACCACATAAGTTGCTCTCTCTCCTTTCCTACGCTCTTCCTCTTCCTCCCATTGGATTTGCATTCTTAATGAAGAATAATGCGCTACCTCACTGTCTTGTATTTCTAGGCCTCCATATCCCCTACTGAAATACTGGTAAGCTCTAGCCACTCTGGCTCAGCGGGTTTTCCCAGTTCCCAAAAGGGAAGAGATGGGAGCCTAACGTCATACCCTGGCTGTATATTATTTTGCTTGAAAGGATAGTAACCATTAAAGTAATTGTTTGGTCAATCCAATATGTTTTATATCATATTTCAAGTTATCTTTCTCAGTGAACGGTTTTGCAAGCTTTACAGAATCTTGGGTACTGTTGATCTGGGAGATCACAGTGACAATTGCATCTTGAATTCTAGTGCTCACAGTGGGCAGATTCAATAAACAGCTGTCCAGCACCATGCCCTAGAGGACTTCCCTACATAATGGAGCCCATAGAGAACCACAGAGAAGGTGTGTTATTACCAGGGAAGCCTGGCTTTGGAATGCAGACCAGCAGGGGCTGCCCATGTGAATAGGAACTGAGTAAGGGGCAGAGCCCGTTGCCTGAGGTTCTCATTCTCTCTAACACTGGTGGGCTCCAACTCTCCCCTTAACACTGTACCCAACATCTCATTAACCCACTTGCAGAGCCACAAGGGAGGCCTGGACACGTGTTAAATTACCTTTCATCACCCTACAGGTGTGCGAGATGTGCTACAAAAGGACACGCCGTGTCTCCCGAAGCAGGAGGCTCTGCCAGGGATTTTCTCTGAGCACAGGGATCTGGAGACAGTATCACTTTTGACTTAGAAATGACCTGGATCAAGGACCCGGCTTTCTAAGCATGACAGGATGATAAAAATATTCTCTGACAATGTGTCCATGTGAGATAGAAGACACTGAGGTGAGCTCTGGAGCTCAAAGAGTGAATGTCACCCATTCTCTCATCCAAAAGCCACTTATCACACTCAATAACATGACCTAGCTGGCACGAGTGGCTGTGGGGGAGTCAGAAAGCAATGAAGATTGTAAAAAGAACCTGTAATCAATCACCCCTACTCTCCAGGTGTTTAAGGCCTGGGTGAAAAGAAGGAACATGTGGACATAAGAAAGTAGAGTTCAAGGCCATTTGATTATTTTCCAGAAACCTACACTAGGTTTCCATCGTGGGCCAGGCCCTGTGCTACCCTGGAGAATCGGAATGAGTCTGACAGTCAGTCACTGCCTGCGGGGAACCACTTTCTGACAGAGGAGCTGGACAATTAAACAACATCACAATGCATAGTGTTGGGAGGATAAAGGTGTGTTGAGAGCCTGCAAAAGCACGGATGGAGAAGTGAGCTATAATTCATGCCCAGGTGTGTCAAGGAAACAGTTGGGTTCTGCCTCATTGATTACATAGGATTCAGCCAGGGAGACAAAGTGAGGAAAGATGTTCTAGACACAGCGAAGGACACGAGCAATGGCAGGGCGGCTGGACATCCGAGAAGTGGCATGGGGAAAAGGCCACTGTGGGAGGCTAGCGTGGGGCATGAAGGGCCTCAGGCTAGGTATAATGCTTAAATGTTGCCCAGTGGGTGAGAGGAATGGGGAGGTGAGAGGTAGCCTGGCCTCAGTGTGAGGTGTGGGCTGGGAGGGTGAGAGGCAGGAGGTGGAATAGCCTGGAAGAAGGCAGTGCAGCTGGAGAGGAAGAGAGAACTCACAGGAAACTTCCTGCAACATTTGGAGTGGAAGACATCTCCATCCTATTCCTTCATAGAATGCCGGTTCCCTGCAGAAGCTGTATCAGCACCTGCTTCCTTTCCCTGTGTTAAATCCTTTCCCTGTATCTCGGTCCACTTGGGCTGCTATAAAAAAACACCATTGACCGATTGGCTTATAAACAACACGAAAGTTTGTCTCACAGCTTGGGAGCCTGGGAGTCCAATATCAACACCTCAGCAATTTGATGTCTGGTGAAGACCGTCTTCTATAACCTCACATGCCTGATAAGAGGCAAACAAGCTCCTTCAGGCCTCTTTTATGAGGACACTAATCCCATTCATGAGGGCTCCACCCTCATGACTTAATCACCTCTTCAAGGCCCCACCTCCTAATACCATCACTTTAGGGGTCAGGATTTCAACCTATGAATTTTAGGGGGACATAGACATTCAGACCATCATACCCTGCACTCCAGGAAGCCCTCTGCCTGTTGGAGTCCCTGCCACATTGGGACTAAATGGCTGAGCCTTTTCGCCCTGCCTCCAGCAGTCGTCAGAGGCCCAAGCCTCCAAGAAGGAGAGCTCTGCCCTGAGGGATTCTCTAAAAGAGCTGATGGCTGGGACCGGGCTTGATGGTTCATGCCTATAATCCCAGCACTTTGGGAGGCCAAGACAGGCGGATAACCTGAGGTCAGGAGTTCAAGACCAGCCTGACCAACACGGTGAAACCTTGTCTCTACTAAATACAAAAAATTAGCTGGGCATGGTGGTGGGCACCTGTAATCCCAGCTACTTGGGAGGCTGAGGCAGGAGAATCACTTGAACCCGGGAGGCAGATGTTAAAGTAAGCCCAGATTGCGCCACTGTACTCCAGCCTGGGCAACAAGAGTGAAACTCTGTCTCAAAAAAATAAAAAAATAAAAGAGCTGATGGCTGGAGACAATCGCTGACAGCATTCCTACAGCTGGGTCATCTCATCTTTGAAGGGGGATCTAGGTGGTGCGTCTCTGTGTCCACTGCAAGGAGAATGTGTCCTTTACATCTTGCAAAAAGGTGAACTAAAATCTAGAGTAGTTAAATGACTCCATCAAGACCTTACCCAATACAATGGTTAAGATTCATGCTTTTTCACTGAAAAACTCAGTTGGATGGAATACTGTGAAATACATGTTTTTCTGAGTTCATTAACCCCATAGGAGGATTCTTTCTTTTTCACAGACACCCACACACATACTTTGTGTGACACACCAATGAATCACAAGTAGAAAAGCGATAAACTGCCTCTCTGTTGCAAGTTCCACAAACCTAAAACAAGACAAATATCACTGTAGCAAGCATTTCAATGTCTATGAGCAGAGGAGGAGGCCATTACTACAGTTCTTTAGAGTCCAGTCTGCCTGAGATGGCTCAAGAATCCATCCAAAAGTCAAGCGCATGACCCTCCTGGCTCTTCAAAGCCTCTTCCGCTAATTCGGGCACACCTACTATCTTGTGGGAAATTCAGGCGTTATGTTGCTTAGTCCTCACAAAAACCACGGAAAGAAGGTAATGCCAACTGCATTTTACAAACTATGGCTCCTCAGCGAATGGTGGAGTCATGATATGAACTCAGACCTGTATGAGTCCAAAGTCCATGCCCTTTTGACAGTATACCATACTCATTAAGAAGAAATGTTCTAAGGTTTTCTAATGTCTGCTTTGTGTATTCATCCATTCCAGAAATATTTATTGAGCATCTTTGTGCAGGTCTCTAAGAGGCATTGGGCATTTTCTTTAAGGAAGTCAGTGGTGGGACATCATGAATAAACTATACAATTCCCAGTGTTCCAAAGGGACCATGTATCAGTCAGAGTTTTCCAGAGAAACAGAACCAATACCATGTACACACACAGACACACATATACACACAAAATATATAGGAAGATATTTATTATAAGGAATTGGCTCGTGTGATTATGGAAGCAGAGAAGCCTCAAATCTGCAGTTGGCAAGCTGGAGACTCAGGAGAGTCAATGGGAGAGCTCCAGTTTGTGTTTGAGTCCTTAGACAGAAGAAGGCTGATGTCCCAGCTTGAATAAAGTCAGGCAGAGAGAGCAAATTCTTCTCCCTTACTCTGTCTTTTTTTTTCTCTTTGGGCCTTCATTGAGTTGGATATGCCCCATCCACTTTGGGGCAGGCAATCCACCTTACTCAGTCTACTGATTGAAATGTCAATATCCAGAAACACCCTCATATATACACCCAGAATAATGAAAAAAAAAAAATCTGGGTACCTTGTAACACAATCATGTAAACATATAAAATTAACTATTACAGACCGGAATTGTATTTAGGTCCAGATGGTCCTCAAGCATTAAATTAGCTACACAGAGCTTGCCTGAAAACTCACATTGAGTCAATGCAAAGCTGAAAAGAGAGCTCGGGCCTGCTGACTCCCAGCCCAGTACTCTCTCTGGGACCAGGGGATGGGCCACCTTGGGTAGTTCTTACCAGCTTGCTCATTGTGTCTGCTTCCAGACGTGCTGCTCTGACCCATCCCTCAGACCCACCTTCCCCATCTCTGTCTGCCACAGATGCCCTCTCTTCTCCAGGGTCCCCAGCCAGGCCCTCCCCAGCCTGCCCCTTGAATGGGCTCACAGGTGCATCTCATCTCATCCAGTGAAGATCAGAATAACTAATGTCCATCAGGCACACCCAGGGCCCAGGCCCTCTGAGCAGCCTGGCCAACAACCTCACTTTGGGGAGCAAATGAGTCCCAGACCCATGAGAGATTAATGAGGGACAGTGCATTCACAAGAAGACACTCAGAAAACATTCCATTTTCTAGAATTTTGCCAGGACACCTTAGGGATACATTTGGACTTCCCTGCCTGGTTATTTAAACATGGGACAGTCTGTCATAGGCAGGCTCCCCTGGCCCTCTGAATAAGAACCCTCTTCCTCCTGCAAGATCAGTAGAGATTCTCTTAAAACAAGAACAAACTTCCAACACCCAGCTGATAAGGGGAGTTAATGAGGAAGGGAAGAAGGAAGGGGAGGGGAGGGGAAAGGGGAGAACAGAGAAAGAAAGGAAGGGGGAAGGGGGAAGGAAGGGAAGAGGGAAGGTGGAAGGAAAGGAAGGGAAGGGAAGGGGGGAAGGAGGGGAGAAGAAGGCAGAAGGGGAAGGGAGGGAAGGGGGAAGGAAGGGAGGAGGGAAGAGGGAAGGAAGGGAGGAGGGAAGGGCCGAACTAAGCAAAACAGGGCAAAGCAGGGTGAGAAAACTCTGTCCATGTGAGGAGAGAGTTTCCATCCCCTCCATGTACCCTTTTCTCCCAATAAAGGGGCCCAGGGCACCAATGGGAGAACACTTCAGGGGATGCAGTCATCTTGGAAGCAGAGACCAGGCCCTCACCAGATACCAAACCTGCTGGTGCCTTGGCTCTGTACTTCCCAGCCTCCAGAACCATGAGAAATAAATTTATGTTCTTCATAAATGACCCAGTCTCAGGAATTTTGTTATAACAGTACAAATGGACAAAAACAGAAATTGGTACTGAGAGGTGGAGTGTTGTCATAACAAACACCCGAAAAACATGGAAGTGGCTTTCGAACTGAATAATGAGGAGAGGATTCAAAAGTTCAGAGACACATACTAGAAAAAGCCTACAATGCCATGAACAGAGCATTAAAAACGATTCTGATGAGGGCTCAGAAAAAGAGGAGAGCGTAGGCAGAGCCTAAATCTTCCTGGAGATTACTTAAGTGGTTGTGATCAGAATGTTGGTAGAAATACAGGCAGTAAAAGTGATTCTGATGAGGTCTGAGATGAACATGAGGAATATCTTATTGGAAACTGGAGGAAAGGCTATCCTTGTCACAAAGTGGCAAAGCACTTGGCAGAATTGTGTCCATGTCCTAGGGCTTTATAGAAACACAATTTAAGAGCAAGGAACCAGGATATCTGGAAGAAGAAATATCTAAGCAAAGTGTTGAGGGTGCTGCATGCATTCTCTTGATGGCTTATGGCAAAATGTGAGGAGAGAGAATGAATTTAAAATGAAATTTATAATTAAAAGGGAAGTAGAGCTTAAGGATTTGGAAAATTCTCAGCCTGGCCAGATTATTAAAAATTCAAAAACGTGTCTGGGAGAAAACACCATGGGTATGGCCAAGGGAACCCTTGATAAGGAGATCAGTGTGGCTAGAAGGAAGCCAGATGCTACTCATCAGGACAGTGGAAGAATGACCACAAAGGTGCCACCGCCATCACAGGAGGGCCTTGAGGGCAGAACAGTTTCAAAGGAAGGACCCAGAGCACCCATGGGACCTCAGGGCTCACTGCTCAGGGCCACTTCAAGTTGCTGCTCCCCACTTTTAGGCACCGTGCTCCCCTGCGCCCCCCCATCCATGGCTCCAGGGGCCACAGGTCTGCTTCAGGCCACTGCTGTGGGAAGCACAAGTGGTAAACGTCGGCAGCATCCAGGTGGTGAATAATCTGCAGGCTCACAGAGTACATGAGCTGTGGGAAGGATGGCTACCTCCACCTAGGTTAGAAAGGATGCCTCAGAGAGCCTCAGGGCCCAGACAGAGAACTGCCACAGCAGAAAGTCCCCACCTGGGCAATGCCTAGTGGAGCCGTGGAGGTGGAGCCATCCCTGAGACCCCAGAACCATAGAGCCACCAGTATGTAGTACTAGCCTAGGAGAGCTGCAGTCACTCAACTCCAACTCATGAGGGGACCACACTCAGCAAAGCCATGGAGGTTGGGGTCCCACAGAATCTTGGGGGCCCAACCACTGCACCAGTGTGTCTAGAAAGTGGTACATGGAGTCAAAAAAGATAATTCTCAAGATTTAATGTTGTTTGGCCTGTTGGGTTTTGGGCTTAGATGGGAGCACTTACCCCTTTCTGCTTTCTGTTTCCTTCTTTTGGAATGGGAATGTCCATTTTATGCCTGTCCTACCACTGTATTTTGGAAGTACATAATTTGTTTGATTTCACAGAATCACAGCTGGAGGGAACATTTGTCTCAGGATGAATTATACCTTGAATCTCACCCATATCTAATTTAAATTATATTTCGATAAGAATTGAGGCTTTAGATTTTTGAGTTGATGCTGGAATGAGTTAAGACTTTTGAGGATATTGGGATAGCATGAATATATTTTGTATGTGAGAAGGACATGAATTTGGTGGGTGGAGAGGGCAGGGATGGAAGGCTATTGTTTGGTTGTTTGTGTCCCCTCAAAAATTCATGCGGAAACTTAATCTCCAATGCAATAGTATTAAGAGGCAGGGCTTTAGGAGGTGATTAGGCCATGAGGGCTCTGCCCTTGTGGATGGATTGCCCTTATAAAAGGGCTTGAGGGGGTAAATTTGCCCCTTCCATCCATTCTGCCGTGTGAGAACACAGTGTTCATCCCCTCCAAAGGATGCAACAATAAGGCACCATCTTTTGTTTTTTATTTTTGAGATGGAGTTTCGCTCTTGTCACCCAGGCTGGAGTGCAATGGCGTGATCTCCGTTCACTGCAACCTCCGCCTCCCGGATTCAAGCAATTCTTCTGCCTCAGCCTCCTGAGTAGCTGGGATTACAGTTGCCCACCACCACGTCCTGCTAATTTTTGTATTTTTAGTAGAGACAAGGTTTCTCCATGTCAGCCAGGCTGGTCTTGAACTCCTGACCCCAGGTGATCCACCTGCCTCGACCTCCTAAAATGCTGGGATTATAGGCGTGAGCCACCGCTTCCGGCCAATAAGGCACTATCTTAAAAGCAGAGAGCAGCCCTTACCAGACACCAAATTTGCCAGCCCCTTGATCTTGAACTTTCCCAAAACTGTGAGAAATAAATTTCTGTTCTTTATAAATGACCCAGTCTCCGGTATTTTGTTACAGCAACATAAATGGGCTAAGACAGGGAGGTGCTAGAAGATGAGTTGTGCATATGGTCGGTGAGAGGATGGACCAGCATGGGGATTCCAGGACTGTCTATTCATGGACTGTTGGTCTTCTCAAGGAAAACAAAGGACCAGACAGGGACACAATTAAGGACAGGGCAATGTTTCCAACCTTGCTGCCTAGCAGAGGAGACAGCTATGTAAATACCCACTACAGAATGTGATGGGGCCATTAACAATGGTTCAGACAAAGCACTGGGAGTGTGGCACGGAATGAGAACTCTTACTGGGAGAGAGGGACTAGCCAGGAAGAGATGATGATAGGGGTCTGTCGGCCAGGACAAGGAATTTGAACTTAAACTTGTAAGCAAAGTGAGGAGACCACTGATGGTCTAAGCAAGCAAAGGCCATGAGCAAACTTGTGTTTGGGAAAGATTGCAATGTGCTCTGTGCTATGGGGACAAGAGCATAGCCAGTGGCTTGAGGGTCAAACCCAGCAAGTGTTCCAACTCCAGCTCTTCCTCTTATCAGTAGTGTCACTCGGGGTACATTATTTAACCTCTCTGGACCTGTGTTTCTCGTAAGTAAAATGAGGACATCCATACTGCGCCTATATCAGTGGCTTGAAATCAGTAGAACAATCTATTTAAAGACATGTCACATACGTAAGTCTTTAATAAATGATCTCTATAGTTTTCTGTATTTTCTTCTAAGTCATAAATGTACAGACACAAATTGGAGTGGCTGCCTCTCAAAGACTGTCCCCAAGACCAATCCTGTGTCCGCAACTCTTTAAAAGCTGCTTCTCTCCCTGCAACCCTGCCTTGCACTGAAAACAGGAACTGTTATTTCCCTGTCAAATGCCTTCTCTCTAGCCATAATGATAGGTCCAGTGCTTGGACATGTGACTCAAGTCTAACCAATCAGAGTTGTTTCTCCAGAGACATTTAACTGATACTGGAGAGATGATTCCCTTTTCCTCCCATTGGTGAAGCTGTGGAGATGTGAGTTTTGAAGCTGCAGATGACCTTGCAATTATAGAGGGAATTCACAAGGAGAGAATGAGGCTAAAGACAGAGACGGGAAGTGGAGGGACAGTCCTTGGGGTGTCTGAAGATCTATTACCCGTTCCTGGGCTCCATGGACTTGCCCTGGTTCCTGGCTTTTTGTGGCCTGATTTCTCTTGTCCTTTAATTCTAGAAGCTTTCCAATAAATCTTATTTTTGGCTTAAACCAGTTCAAGTTTGGTGCCTGTGATTTGTTAGTCCCCTGACTAATGTGACCAGTAACTGATCTTAGCTTCAGCACATCCCATTAGAGCTCTGTAATTACCCATATTTCCTCCACCCACATCTAACAAAGAGTTTGTTTCTTTATGATTTAGGGAACATTAATCTCTAAAGACTAAAACAGATATAAAGATACAACCAAGGTTCATTGTACACGTAATGAACCACCTTTATTAAAAACACTAAAATGACATAAAATTAGCTCTGTCCCAGATAATCCATGATAAGTTGTCAGAACCTACATCCTCTCTGTCTGGTCAGACCACTTGGGTGCAGTAAATCTGCAAAAGTTGATAAACATTGAATATTCTTCACTTATATTTATTGTCCATTCTAAAATTGATGTTTCCCCTTGGACATTTAATCATGGTTTGCTTTGTTTAGCATTCTCCCTGTTCAGAGGAGCACATCAGAAATTGATTCCCTGATAGCAGGAGGTAGAGGATGAAACACAAATTCAACTACAAGTATTTGGACTTCTCCCCCCTTTCGCCTTTGTGGTTTAGACACTTCATTCCCTAAAGTGAAAGGTAAGGGCTTTAAGACAGAAAACCAATTGGATTGACGGCATCTAATCAACGAGCATGTCCCAGGGCAAAGGGCCAGACTGGAGTGGACCAACATCCATCTCTCAGTACCTCCCAAACACTACAGCCCACCCAGGTCAGATTCAAGGAGGCTGGTTCTTTGTTCCCAACGAGCGTGAGGCTGACAGGTGAAAAAGTTTCACTTGGGCAGAGGAAACGAAATTGAATTCCAGTTGGAGGTTATTTGTCTTCCCCGTGACCTGTAGTGGTCTCAAGTGATAGCATCACAAGTAGCAAGGCTGAAACTCACATCTGTGAGTCAATTACTGGGTACCTGCCTTTAGAAACAGTTCTGATGTGTTAGGTTTAAAATGGTTCAAACGTATTGAACAGAAAGGAAAAAGAAGAGGGAATCAAGCCCCTTAGGGACTTTGTTTGAATCTGTAGAAAGGCTGGATTGAAACCTGCAGAGTATTTATAAAGAAGCTATAGAATCTTTTATTCATTTGAAAGGAGTTGGAAGAGAGACCAGGAAATGAGGCAGGGGAGACCAGACTGCAGTGAGAGAGGAACGAGGGGCAATGAGAGACAGCTTTGTAATGTCGGCCAAAAGGCGCTGTTTCTGAAATTGAGAGGACATTAACCATTGCCATCACTGGTGTCAGACAGAAGATATGGGTAGGAGTCCCACCTCTACCACTCACTAGTTCTAGAAAAGCTCACTTCCACTCTATGAACTTGTTTCCTTACCTATAAAATGGGACTAAACTTGACACACAAGACTTTGCAAGGATCCAAATGGTACAGTAGATGTGAAGTCCTTTATAAGCTGTTGAGAGCCACACGGATGCTGGTTATGCTTATGATTAGTTTCATTTAAGCCACAGTGTATACCACATATAAAATGGAAGACGTGACAAAGAGCCCAGTGGCCAAATTCAGATGACACCAGCCAAGATTAGAAAAGATAAGGCCCAGGTAAAAAGCCATTTCTATTAAAGAATTACTTATAAAAGATCTAAAGCAGGTAGTTTTGTACAAAGTTCTGAGGCCCACAGATTCACAGGCTTGCCTTAGCTCAATAGGATAAGTGGTTTACATTAGCTGATCACCCATGAGTGATTACATGGTTTTAATGCAAGTTCTCATAATGCTGGGAGACCTTGATAGCTAGAGTCGACTTACCCAGATATCCATGCCTAAGGAACGCTGTTTTGCCACTTGTGCGTTTGCTAACTAGCACCACTGCCTCTTAGTGACCTGTTCCTGAATTGCAGTCATAATATGAATCAGAACCATGGCAGCCTCTCCAACAATGCATCTTAGTGTTGGCTGCATATTAGAATCACCTGGGGATCCAAAAAAGTACTGATGCCTGGAGCCCACCTCCAGATATTAGGATTTAAGTGGTCTGAATGCATTCTGTGCATTGGGATTTTTAAAAGCTTCCCCAGTGATTCTAAAATACAGCCATGTTCAAGAATCTAGAGCAGAAGTCAGCAAACTTTTTCTGCAAAGGGCCAGATAGTAAATATTTTGGGCTCTACAAGCCATATGGTATCTGTCACAGCTACAATGGCATATGGTATCTGCCATTGTAGGGTGAAACCAGCTGTAGATAATATATAAATTAATGGACTGTGTTTCAATAAAACTTTATTTACAAAAACAAGTAGTGGGTCAAGGGCCTTGGTTTGCCAACCCCTACTCTAGAGCTTCAGTACTGAAAGCACAGTCCCAGAAACAGCAGTATCAGCAACACTTGAGAGCTTGTTAGAAAGGAAGACCCTCAGGTTTCAATAAGATCCGGCCCACCAACACCCACCCCGCACCGCCCCATCGTACTCCTCCTCCGTGTGAAAAGCATGTACATTCAAGTTTCCAAGGCACTGCTGCAGAGGACACACTTTGTGAATCCAACCATCATTACAGTCCCAAAGTGAAGGGTTCCCATCACTGTCAGCATCTCCTCTGCCTGTCACCTCTATCAGCCTGGCTATCTCCTGGCTGCCACATTTCTGTAGCATCTCCTCCTTGGTGACTCAGACAATCTGGGCAGCTGTCTACATTTGATTACAGTGATTCCAAAAGGTCAATGGAGCCACAC
This sequence comes from Homo sapiens, assembly GCF_000001405.40. NCBI lineage: Eukaryota > Metazoa > Chordata > Mammalia > Primates > Hominidae > Homo > Homo sapiens. The sequence goes on from NC_000016.10 coordinate 66,116,440, forward strand.
ACTCCAATCTCTATTTTTCATAATAATATAGGAGAAGGATGAGGCTACACAGCCTTATCAGGAGATACACCCCTGCTCTCAGGAACTATCCATTTAAACCTGCCAAATGTCATGTAGTTTTCCAAACACCCCATGCTGCTTCAAGCCTTTGTGCCTTACACATAGTGCTTGACATACTCACAAGGAAAGTCCTGTGAGTCATCTTGCCACCAGGGAAACATATCCAGCCTTAAAAAATTGACACTTATGAGACCTTTTCTCCCGCCCTCATCCAGAGTTACTCCTTCCTCCACATTAGCCCCATAACCCACATACACATTTGCTCTTGCCCTTGTATATTTATGGTGTTATGGTAATGATGGGATTATCAGTTTGTCTCCCCATCTAGTTGCTAAGCTCTTTCCATTCCAGGGCACATCAATCACTCCTTTCTGCAGTCACATGCCTAGCACAGGGCTTAACACAATAAATGTTTAGTAGATTGACATTGGTTTTAATTTAATTGACCTAAATGTGAGTTAATATTTCTTTTGTAACTGGCATGCTAACCTAATCACCACAGAACACTTTTAATAATGAATACCTAATAACAGCCCACAAAAATGTGTTTTCTAGAACAAACTTGGGAAATGTTGCTGCGTAGACAACAGCACTGGCCCAGAAAAGACCCAAGCTTGTCATACCCCCCAGAATTTGGATCCTGGCTCTGGCCCCCACCCAGCAATAAGGAGGAGGTAGGAGAGGGGCTGACAGGTTAAATTGGGTTCCTATCAGCTTGAGGCATCCTTCCTGCAAGATGGTTGCAGAATGGTGTCAGGGGCACATTAGAATTTTCACCCAAACAGGAAAAAACTGGCTTCAGGTAGGGAATCTGCCACCAAGTTCATGGCACAGACAGGACCAGAATCACCCTGTATTTGCCCAGGATGCTGTCCAATAGAGCAAGCCAGACCCCTTTAAAAGGAGTTGCATAGGAGGTCGCCTCTGTCACCACGTCCCCTTCCCCACCTGGCCCACCTACGCCAGGGCTGGGTGGCAGAGCAGAGAGAGAATAGATCCTCAGAAAGGCCTCACACTTAGATCCAAAGCCCCAGAGTGGTCAGCAACAAAACAGCTTTCCATTACAACCTTGCATTCAGATTTCTGATGGATCAGAGGTCGATCCAAAATGTTCATCTGTCTCATCCCTCCGTCTGTTTTGAGCTGACATTTTGACCAGGCTTCCACCCAAGAATCCTGCCATTTGGATGATGGCAGCCCAGCTGGGTAGAGTCTTGGCAGCAAATATGGCACCAGGACCCTTACTCCTGACTCCCTGCCCAGTGCTCTCTCTGGTCACTGCTCAAAGAAGCCCCACCATCCTATGTGCCAATACCCCCACTGGATGTCAATATTTGTGCACAAGCACGTGTAAACACTCGGGTGCACTGCTGCATGTATATACAGAGGGAGTGGCAGCTAGTTACCCCATCACAACCTAACATGCAGCTGTTCTAGGAGGATGAGGAAGAAGCCCGCCAGTGCTCTGCCTTTTGGCACCACCTTCCTGTGCTTGGCCAGAAATGAGAAGCCCAAGCTAACCCACGAGTAGCACTGAGAAGGCCCTCTCCCCTCTCTGGGCTTCAGTTATCACGTCTCTAAAAGGAATGTGTTGTATTTGATAACAGTCGCAGTTGATACTGATTTGTACTCACTGTGTGCTCAGAGCTTTATATGCATTTCCTCTTTTGATCTTGACAATGAGGCCATTCTCCAAATGGGAAAGTGAATGGCTTAGGTTGGGGTTCCCCCAAAAGCAAATTCTAAGACAAAAATCAATGTGCATATAGTTGGCTTGGGAGATGATCCTAGGAAATATCAGCAGGGAAGTGGAGAAGTGACACAGGGAAGGAATTGCAGGCCATAGAAGGTGGCTGGTAAACTGGCTACACAGTGGCGACTGGATCAATCCAATGGGACAACTCTGGGAAGTGGGCAGACCATCCACCATCAAATAAGCCCACCTACAGGACAAAGGAGCCACAGTGTTTACATGAGATTCAACCACATGAAATTGCCACTCATCTTTCACCAATAGAAGTGGAAATTTCATGAAATTCCACAATATTAATTAGAAGGATGGTTGGTTGGGGGATGCTGGGAGGATGAAGAGGGAAGGTATTGATTCCAAGGACCTTCCATTCCACCTTATATGGCAAAGCAGCCTTGCAAAGTCCTGGGGTGGGGAACCCCTTGAGCATGCAGATGCAGATTCTGGCAGTGGAGAGGACACACTGAACAGCCAGAGGGTCCTGAGTGGAGTCCTCACAGCATCTGCCGTACTAACCAGGAAGAAGCGAGATTCAAACAGGATTCAAATCCAGGGCATCTGTCTGTCACTCATACACTTAACACACACACTGCCTCCACTTGATTTCTAAGACTTTATCCTTAGAATTTCCCTGAGTACATAGTCCTTTGCTTCTAAGATTCTAGACGTCTTCAACTCCAAAATCTAACACTCGAAGAAACAAAGTCTTAAACAGTGGGGCAAGACAATTAGCCAAGGCTAGCTATTCCTTTACCTGTTTCACAGACATCTGCCACGTATATATGGTGTTCCAGATTCTGCACTGGGCTCAAAGGATACACAACGGGAATGCTGCCCTGAGAAGAGGGATTAATACCAACTGAATAGTCGACCCTTGAACAACATGGGTTTGAATTGCACAGGTCCACTGACAAGGAAGATTTTCTTCAGTAAAAGTTACACAGAGTGTGCCCATTTCTCCTGCCTCCCCTTCCTCCTCCTATACCTCCTTCACTTCTGCCACCCCTGAGAGAGCAAGACCAACCCCTTCTCTTCCTCCTCTTCCTCAGCCTGCTCAACATGAAGACGACAAGGATGAAAACCTTTAGGATGATCTACTTTCTCTTAATGATAGTAAATATATTTTCTCTTCCTTATGATTTTCTTAAGAACATTTTCTTTTCTCTAGCTTACTTTATTCTAAGAATACAGTATATAATATACATGACACACAAAATACAGGTTAATAAACTGTTTGTGCTATTGATAAGCCTTCTGGTCCACAGTAGGCTATTAGTAGCTAAGTTTTGGGGGAGTCAAAAGTTACACATAGATTTTTGACTGCACAGGGGGTCAGCATCTCTAACCTCCCAACCCCATTGTTGTTCAAGGGTCAACTACATAATGAAATGGTGGAAGAGCAGTGTTAGGGTGAGTGTTCCCATCCAGAGGAGGGCCCCGTGGCCCTTGGAAGGGGGAAAGCGAGAGACCTCCTGCAGGAGGATGTACAGCCTGAGCTGGAAGCAGAGCAAGGTGAGGCTACCACCCACATCTCTTCCCCAGCAGTCATCTCAAGGGTACGACTAATGTGCTTTGTGGAACAGGTAATTTACAGAGTTGCTCAAGACCCCAATTCTTTAGATGTTGTCCATGAACTTCTGTTTCAAACTTTTAGGAATGAGTTATGACACACCACCCTGAAAATTCAATTACCTCCGCAAGACATTCAGCATAAATCAAAGATATTTAGAGCTGGAAGAGGCATTTGAGATCATCCACAGAGTGCAAGTGACTTGCCCAAGGTCACACTGCAGACGGTAGGGTCGGGGGGGATAGATGAGCAACCCATAACTTTTGCCTCTATTGGCACGTGCTGGGAAGGGCAGTTGCCTTCACAGTTAGCCCCTTTGTCTCTATCATCAGATTAGAGTAGAGAAAAGGCCTGGGAAGAGAATCAGAGAATCAAACGTAGACTCTGAGTTCCCCCAACATGGTTCTTGATATCTGATCAGTAACGGGGGGATAATTGCGACTGCCCTGCTGAGAATTAAATGAGGTAATGTCTGAAGACATTAGGTTAGTAAATGGTACATAGTCCTGCAAATGCAAAGGGGTTATTAATAATCTTTATTATTCATTATTAGGAGTTATTATTGTTCGTTGTGCCTGGAATAATGATCACTATGTTGTTTCTCATTTTTAACATATTTTGTTTGCTTAATAAAGTATATTTTAAAATTCAAACACTACAGAGAATATAAAATGAAAAGTCACAGTCTTTCTTCCAGCCTCCCAAAACCCCACTCCTTTCCCCAAAGGCAGCCTCTGTTAATATAACAGTTTCTTATAGATCCTTCCAGAAAATGCTTTCTGCATAAAATAGCATGTGCATGTGCATGTGTATGTGTGTCTTTTCCATTGTTCTACACTTTGCAATTTTATTATCCTCATGTAACAGTATACCTCAGACAGGGTTACACAGCAGTGATATAGATTCACTTCATTCTTCTTTAATGAGGAAAAAGTGTTCCATTAATGGATAAACCAGAAAGTTTTTAACCACACTCCGGTTGATGGTCATTTGTGGTCTTGTTGGGATTTTTTCCATTCCAACAGAAATGCTATGTGCACCTCATACATTCATTTCAAAGCGTGGAGAATCACCATAGCATATGTTCTTAAGACTGGAAGTTACTGGGTCAAACACCATGTGCATTTCAAGTCTTGAAAGATGTGGCTAAGCTGTCGTCCAGACAGACATTACACTAGCAGTCCCCCCAACACACACACATACATTTCTCCCATTAAATGTGTATGGGAGTGTCTCTTTTTCCCAAACTCTTGTCAATCCAGTATGATAGAAAACTTTTTAATATTTGTCAACCCGAAAAGTGAAAAATGGAATTTTATTACTATTTTGATTTGTATCTCTTGTATTATGACTACCAGTGAACTTCTTTTCATATGTTGATTGGCATTGTGCAGTGTTGTTTTGTTTTGTTTAGAGGAAGGTGTGTGTGTCTGTGTGTGTATGTGTGAGAGAGAGAGAGAGAGAGAGAAGGAGAGAGAGGGAGATGAAGTAGAAGCTCCCTTATTAAATGCTTGTTTATAGCCTTGGCCCATTTTTTCTACTTTTTCTCCCACGTCACTTTGTATAACCCTCTTATACATTCAGGAAAGCAGCCTTTGGTTAAATGGTACACACTTTTGTCCCCCCCCCACCCCTCGGTTTATTATTAATTTATTTCTTTATCATATTTTTTGCCATGGATTTTTTTAATGTATAAAATAACCTTCTAACAGATCCTTTCATTTTCACCCTTACCACAACTGTAATCTTTTAAAAACGAAAGCCAGATCATGTTGCTCCCTTGCGTAAAACCTTCCTACTGTTTTCCATCATTCTTAGAATAAATTCTGCAAATTTACCATGACCTTAAAGGCCCTTCCTGGTCCAGAAGCTGCCTGTCTCTCCAGCTCATGCCTCCCCTTCACTCACTGGGCACCACACATGCCTGAGCTCCTGCTCGTGTCAGTTCTTGGTACCTTGTTTAACTTCCATCTAGAATGTTTTTTCCTCTTGTCGACAGATAGCGGACAGAAGACGGCACTTCCATTCTTCGAGCCATGGTTTCAGAGTCACCTTCTCAGAGAGGCTTCTGGTATCCCCCATTTAAAGGAGGCCTGCCTTGGTTATCCTCTGTCTCCATTCCATGTCTGTCTTCTTACACTTACCACAGTGTACAGGTACTTATGGTTTGCTTCCCTCTGTCATTTCCACTCCAGAATACAAGCTCCCTGAGGACAGGACCCTGTCTGTCTTGTTCACCATTGCAGCCCAGCATCTCTACCAGTGCCTGAAACATGTAGTCTCTCCCCAGTTCTTATTTAATGCATGAATTCATGTCTAGTTAGAATTCCCATCCCCTTCCTTCACAGCTTTGCATTTTTCTGGGACGTTTAGAAAGGTATTGATCTCTTGTTTCATTTTCAGGTTCGAGGTCATTCATTGAGATTCCTTTTCATTCAGTGCCCTCTCTGTTCCAGGCACTGTTTGTAGGCACTGGGATTACTGTGTGAACAAGACAGTGGCCCTCCAAAAACTCTAATCCCAGTGTGGACATCATGAGCCCATCACAAAAGGTAAATGGAGAAAAGAAATAAATGATTTTCAAAGATGACAAGAGCTATGGAGAATATAAAGCAGGATTATGTGAATGTGAAAATAAATTTAAATAAAATAAACTTGAAGTAAAGCAGGATTATGAATGTCATTATGTGAAAATAAAGCAGGATGGGGGTGCCCAGGGGGGTCTCTCAGGAGGGGACACATAAGCAAGATGAGAAAGAGGCAGTGTGGGACAAGTGTGCCAGGCAGGAGAACACCAGGTGCCAAGTTGCTGAGCAGGAAGGAGCTTGGTGAGTCCCAGGCACAGAGATACTGGGGCAGCCTCAGAGGAGTTCCTCAGTCATGAGAGGAGGGATCACCCCACAGAGGTGGGCAGGGACTTCCGGGGACATGTATGGCACCATTCTAACTGCAAGGAGCAGCCACTGCCGCTCTCTAAACCAGGGAGGGCACCACACTGTGATCCATTTAGAAGTCAGTTTAGTGAAAGAAAAAAAGAGAGACCTAGCCTCATAATTTGTCTTTACTCAAAACTGCTGGTCAGTTGTCTCATGTATTAAATAATTCATCCTGGCCGGGCATAGTGGCTCACGCCTATAATCCCAGCACTTTGGGAGGCTGAGGCAGGCGGATCACTTGAGGTCAGGAGTTCGCAACCAGCCTGGCCTCGGCCTTTTCACATGGTGAAACCCTGTCTTTACTAAAAATACAAAAATTAGCCGGGTGTGGAGGTGGGCACCTGTCATCCCAGTTACTCCGGAGGCTGAGGCAGGAGAATCACTTGAACCCTGAACCCAGGAGGTGGAGATTGCAGTGAGCTGAGATCGCACCACTGCACTCCAGCCTGGGTGACAGAGAGACACTCTGTCTCAAAATAAATAAGTAAAATGAAATAAATCTATTTTTCCCTCCCCAAGATTTGATGTGACGTGCTTCTTTTAACATGCTTTGGTGGCCCTTGAACAACTTGGCGGTTGGGAATACCAACCTCCCACGCTGTCAAAAATCCACATGTAACTTTCAACTCCCCCAAAATTTAGCTACTATTACTGTTGACTGGAAGCCTTACTGATAACATAGTCAATTAACATATATTTTGTATGTCATATGCATTATATACAGTATCTTACGATAAAGTAAGCTAGAGAAAAGAAAATGTCAAGAAAATCATAAGGAAAAGAAAATATATTTACTATTCATTAAGTGGAAGTGGATCATCATAAAGATCTTCATCCTCATTGTATTCAGTTGAGGAGGTTGAGAGGGAGGAAGGGGAGGGGTTGGTCTTGTTCTCTCAGGGGTGGCAGAGGCGGAAGAAAACTCACAAGTAAGTTAATTCCTGCAGTTCAAATCCCTGTTGTTCAAGGGTCAACTAACTGTCCTAAATTTCCCTTGGATATTTAGTATATTTAGGGGCTCCATTCTGTTCATTTGTTACCTGAAACCAAACGTTTTGATTATTGTATCTTCATGATATATTTTAACATCTCCAACCACCACCCTTCCTTTATTATTATTTTTTACAGAATTATCCTAATTTTACACATTTGTTTTTTCCCAGGTTATTTCCTAATCCTTCTGCCAAATTTCAAAAGTGAAATCCTCTTCATGTTTTAACTAAAATGTGTTAATAAATTAAAGAGATATTGTGTTTTTAACAATATTATAATATTCTAGTAATAATATACACCACCTATTTTTACTTGTTCCCATAGTGGATTTTTGCTTTTTATACATTAATTCAACAGCTATTGGTTTATTAAAATAACTCATATAACTTGCTTGTAAAAACTTGTGGAAATTTGGAAAACAGAAACGCAAAAGGAAAAAGAAAATACAGAAGCAACTAAGAATCCTATATAATTGTATCATGCAGAGAGAACAATTGGTTAATGGGTTCAAGGAGTCTCTTTTATTCTTGTACATGCAGGCACTTGTATGGGTTATTATATAGCATATTTCATTTCACACTGTTTAAAAATGAATTTTTTTTTTTTTTTTTTTTTTTTTTTGAGACAAAGTCTCACTCTTGTCGCCCAGGCTGTAGTGCAGTGCCACAATCTCGGCTCACTGCAACCTCTGCCTCCTGGGTTCAAGCAATTCTCCTGCCTCAGCCTCCCAAGTAGCTGGGATTACAGGCACCCACCACCACATCCAGCTAATTTTTGTATTTTTAGTAGAGATGGGGTTTCCCCATGTTGGCCAGGCTGGTCTCAAACTCCTGACCTCAGTTAACCCAACCACCTTGGTCTCCCAAAGTGTTGGGATTACAGGTGTGAGCCACCGCACCTGGCCGAAATTTCATATTTGATCCTGTGATAGTAAGTATTTTCTAAAGCAAAATTATAATAGTTACCCAATATTATACCACACAAATTTTTGATAATTTATTTAACCACTATTTAATTATTATACATGTCAAGGATTTGGGGTAATGTTTGGTTCTTGTAAGTGTTATTACAATGAACGCCTTTGAATTTTTCTTCTAAAAGAAAAATGTAAAGCTATCTTGTAAAGATAGTTCCTTTTGACTTCACCTGTAGTTGACATCTTTTACTAGTTTTTCTCCTGGAGTGGAAGGCCCTTTTGTATAGCAAAGGTTTTAACCCTTTTTCTGCCAAATGCGTATGATGTTCACCTAGTTTGCTGTTTGCCTTTTAATTGTATAGAGTATATTGAATGAGGGAAGGTTAAATTTTTTAATATTTTGGGGATTTTTTTAAAAGGTGAGGATCTATCTAGATTGATTTTTCTTCCAAATAATCAATTTTCACGATATGATTTGTTGAACTATATGCCCTTATTGTTCTCATTCTGAAGGTGTTTTAGTCTATACCAACTTCTAGTTCACACAGAACTATCTATTCTATTCTATTCTATTCTATTCTATTCTATTCTATTCTATTCTATTCTATTCTATTCACCTGTCGGTTGAGTCTTACTCCTGTGCTAAACCATTGTAATTACTAGTGTCATGTTGTATTTCAATTTCCTGAAGGTAAGAGTTCCGTTTTTCAATATGTTCTAATTCACACAGCGGCCGGTTAGCTCAATTGGTTAGAGTGTGGTGCTAATCAAAATGTTCTAATTCTGAATCCAGAATAGAAAGAGGTCTCAAATAAACAGCAAGAATCTCATACATGTTGGCTGGTGTGTTCATATGAGAATTAATTCCACACCAAGCGCACTAACTATGCTGAAATGGAAGAGCTGGGAAAGAGATCTTATGCCTTGACTGCCTGCTTCCTTGAAACAAAGGCGCTCATTGGAAACTACAGTTCCCAAAATCCACTGCTCCAGGGCTTGACTGGTGCCTCTGCTGCCCACTGCACTGAGCTCATGAACCACTCTGGCCAGAATGGTCCTTTCATCGGGCTCCAGACAGCAGCCAGAGGATGTCCTGAGATGGTGGCTAGGAGAGGGAAGATATAAAATGTGCTCTGAGGGCCTCAAAGGCAGGACCACTGTCTATTGGGATGGATGTTCAGTTCTTAGGTTAGACAGGACACTAGCCCTCTGGCCCAAGAAGCCCGGAGAGAGGGAGAACCCCTCGACCTGTCTTCTTCCCTTTTGGCTAATACATTCATTCAGACTGGAGTGGCAGAACACGCTTTGGCATTTAACAGCAATCTCCATTCTGCTTCGTGTAGAAACTGCCCTAGATACCTGGATCATGAGCTACCAGTCTTGTTTTCCGGCAATGATATCCTGTTCTGCTCCTTTCTGTTACTTTAAAAGTATATCTGGGCCAGGAACGGTGGCCCACACCTGTAATCCCAGCACTTTGGGAGGCCAAAGTAGGCAGATCACTAGGGCAGGAGTTCAAGACCAGCCTGGCCAATATGGTGAGACCCTGTCTCTACTAAAATACAAAAATTAGCCGGGCGTGATGGCACTTGCCTGTAGTCCCAGCTACTTGGGAGGCTGAGGCAGGAGAATCGCTTGAACCCAGGAGGCGGAGGTTGCAGTGAGCCAAGATCTTGCCACTGCACTCCAGCTTGGGCAACGGAGCAAGACTCCATCTCAAAAAAAAAAAAAAAAAAAAAATTATATCTGAAGGGCCTTGGAAGGTATTAAGAATTGCTTGCCAGGTGCCACCTGGAATTAGAAGTCACCAATTACTTGTTTTAGTAAATAAATAAAGTAAATATAAAATGCTAATGTCTTTCAGTATTAAGTTTTGCAAGAAGTGGCTGCAATTTTTCTCTGTGGGTGCTGTTGACAGCTCCTGCTTGGTCTTAGGAAGCTGGGGAAGACAGAAAGAAGGAATAATGGCTACTAAGCAGCTTGGGAGAGGGAGAGTTTCCTTAGCCCATGAGCTCAAACTATGTCACTTCTCTGTATTACCTCTAAGACCCTGCTGAGAATAAGAAGCTGATAGCTTTGTTCCCATTTGCCATGGTTCCCTGGGTGCCCTCTCCCTCCCTAAGGGACTTCACAGAGATGGCAGAGATGGTTCAAGGCTATCTGGGGTCCTCTGGCCATAACCAGGGCACAGTCTTAGGCCACACATGATGGGCAGAATCTCCCCCCACTCCCAACATTCTGGTCCCCTAGTTACTCCAATGCTAATCGAGGTACTGCGGTAAAGGGATTTTGTAGATGTAAAGTCCCAAATCAACAGACCTTAAAAAGCAGCGGTTATCTGGGTGGGCCTGACCCAATCAGATGAGCCATTTAAAAGCAGAATTTTCTCCAGCTGGTGGCAGAAGAGGAATCAGAAAGATTTGAGGCACAAGGGGATTTGCTATGTCTTTGTTGGTTTGAAGATGCGGGCGACCCCAGGAAAAGGAATGTGAGTGGCCTTACGTTGCTCACAGAGGCTCCTGATTGACCTCCAGCAAGGAAACAGACTCCAGTCCTTCACCCATAAGAAGCCAATTCTGTCAATACTTTGAGTGAGCTTGGAAATAGATGTCTCCCCAGAGCTCCCAGTAGAGGACTCAATCCAGCCTGTACCTTAATATCAGTCTTATGATACCCTGAGCAGAGAATTCAGCCATACCATGCTGGACTTCTGACCTACAAAACTGTATACGAATAAATGGGCGTTGCTTTAAGCCATTAAATTTGTGGTGATTAGTTATACAGCAATAGAAAACTAATACAGCATCCAGTGGCAACAAAACACGCCTCCCAGACCTGATTCCTCACTGTGCTGAGCAGATCGGCCTGGACTACAGCCCTGCTCTCTCTGCATCTTTGCAGGAAATTCCCTGTCAAAGATCAAAAGTTAGCCCAGTGTGGTTCATGACAGGAAAACAATTGCTCCCTGCCTGGCTCCTTGCCACCTGCACTGATGGGGAAGGGCGAACTCTGCCCATATCACAGTGTCCCTGGCGGCTGGGACGGCAGTGCAGCAAGCACGACCCATTAACACATCAAGAGAGTGCCACGGGACTGCATTGCTAAACCCCGATTTTGATTTTTCCAGGCATCTGGGGGAGGAAGAAGGAGGCAGAGGCTGTGTTCTGAATGTAAAGCCATCTATTTCCGTGCCTTCAAAAGGCAAAATCGTCTAAGCCCTCACAAGCGGAAGAAAAGGGAAGATGGGAGGGGACGCAAGGCAGTTGCCTGGAGGAAGGGTGGGGACCAGGGAGCTGGGACAGGTGGTACCGCGGATGCACCGCCAGCATGTTAAAACGCTCTCCCCACAGACCCGACAATCACCAGCGCTACACACCCGACAATTTGAGATTTAGACATATTCAAGTTTTCTAAGCCTCAAATTAGCCCTTGTAAGAGCTTATCTTCTTTCCCCCCAATTGACTTTAATCAAGTGCCTCAGAAGCTGGGAAATATTTTAAGTTAATCAGGCCCTTAATGCGGTGCCTGGGGAATGCCGCCGAGCTGCCTGCTCCTGCTCCTCCCTTCACTATCCTTTTCCCATCTCTTCCTCTCTTCCCTTTTCCCCCCACTGCATTTGTGAAATGCTTGGCAAACGTGTCTCACCAGTGAAAGGGAGACCGAAAGAGAGAATGCGACAGTGAACACGACACATTACAGCAACATCATAAAATGGTTTTCCTGACATTCGTAGGCAAATGCTGGCTACAGTAATGAGCAGCCTTTGTGAAAATGTTTCTATCCGAAATGTTTTAATAAGTGCTTAAAGTGCACGGAACACATGGCAGATTCCTGCCCAACAAGAACTCACAGCACAGTGACCTCATTTCTGACTCCCAACTACAAGCCAAGGTCTGACGAGATGGCAAATACTTGAATACTGATAATCATAATCATGAAGATTTATCGACCACTTACTATGTGCTCGCTGCTGTGTTCTACATATGCAGACTCATTGGCTTTCCACAAAGTAAAAGTCCTTTAAGAGCAATACAATTACTATTTCTGTCTTATAGGTGATGAAACTGCAGCCTAAAGAGGCTAAGTAATTCATTCCAAGAGCGTTCTACTGAGAACTTGCGAGCACCCAGAAATTCCAAGCTGGATGTATTCCGTACCCCGAGTCTACGTAGCGAGATCTGATAACCCCACAAAACAAGGGGCGAGGCTGCAGGACTCCAGAAAGGGCAGGCTGAGGTCAAACACACATCTGTATCTCACATCAGGCTGCCCAGAGGCACACCTTGAGATGAGAATTTGTGTGCAGGAGATTTATTTAAGGAAGAAGGAACAGAAATGAGAGAGTGAGAGAAGAAGGAAAAACAGGGAAAGGGAAGAAACCAAGCAAGGGTGGGATTTTAGGCAAAGTCCCAACCTCAGCCTGATCCCCTGGGGGACCCTGGAGCATAGATTACACCTCAGTGTTTGTCCTACCTCCAGCAAGGGAGCAGCCTTCTGTTTTCCAGCACCAGTTACTCATTGGCTGCAGGCTGCCCGGGAGGCAACAGGATTCCAGGCCCTTTCAGCTCTCTGTGCTCTTAGGTGAAGTGGATCCACAGGTTCAAGCAGTCAACGGTGAAGCAGATGTTACTGCATGCACAGATGGGCCAGAGGGATCTGAGGGGATCTGAGCAGAGCCTTGTTGGTGTCCCCTGCAATCTATTTAAATCCTGAGGTGTTTATCTAGCTGTGTGGCGTTGGGCGAGTTTCTTAACCTCTCTGAGTCTCAGGATCTGCACCTGTGAAATAGGAATAATGATTCCTATTCCTTTCAGAGTTAGCATGAGAATTCAATTAGATAAAATGAGGATGTGTGATTTAAAATTGGCATCAATACTCCATGATGCAGCATTGCCCAAATGGCCATAAAATTCCCCAAAAAGATAGAGGAAAAGACCAAAAAAATGATTATAATTTTTTATAATCAGCCCCCATCCTTCCCCATCAATGAGGAGGCCATTTTGAACTATCCCTTTGAGCTACGACCATACACGCAGAATTAGGTCTTCCCCTTAAAACCCAACCACTTTGGGCCCGAGAAAAAGCTCCCCGATAACAGTTGGGAGCCGCCCCATGCAAAGTCAGCTCCCCACACTGCACATCAAGTGCCTGGGCCTGCATCTCTATTTTGCTACTACCCAGAGGATGGAGCTTATAAAATTTCAAAGAAAGGGCCCATGTGAAAGGGGGAGAGAAGAGACGTAGGTCCAGGGTTGGTGTCTGCCAGAGTTCTCTCTAATCTAGCCCCACTGTTTTAGTTCTTTAATTAAGTGCCTCTGCTCACATTCCCCACTCACCTTCCCTAGAAACCCAACTATATTGAGCAGATATGTAAAAGCCGACAATTAAATTGTCTTATCAAATTTTCGCAGCTTATTAAGTTGTTCAATTGCATGGGAAATGATTAGTGTCTGTAAATAGAGAAAGAAAGCATCAGCCCAGGAGGCTGCAGACTGGGGCTGGAGGATCTAAAGGTAATCTCCTAGAAGGGGTGGGGGTGTGGGCTGGCCTCACTGAATTCTCGGCAGTGTCCCCCTTCTAGTCCTCAGAAAGCCCAACAGGCTTTTCATTGAACATCCAGGTAGGAAGGAGTGGCAGAGATTAACTGACTTCTCTGACGTCCCAGAGAGATCCCTGGACCTGGAGACAGGAGGCAGAATTTTCAAGTCTAAACTCCATCATTTACCAGGTGCGGGAACTCAGGAAAGCCACTGACACACCCTCAGTCTGTTTGCTTATTCCATTTGGCCAGGACTGGGGCAGAGACCTCATTCCTGGTGATGCCTGGTGCTCACTCAGTGCCTTACTGAGGGTGGCCTGGTACTCAGGAAGAAGCCTCTTGTGTAGCTGCATGTAAACAGCTTCCACCAGTGTGCTTTACAGATCAGACCCCAAGCAAGCCTCCTTCCTTCCTGTCCAGGAGGGCCTCTCATTAACAAATTCTAGAGTCTAAGCTTAAAGTCAGTGCCTGACCATCAGGAAGGCTGAAGCCCTCGTGCCCCAGCAGCATTCCTGTGGTCGCTGGTGGAATTGTTTATTCCATTTTGGATATGAAAAGAGAAAGCTTTATGTGCCTCATTTTCCAGGAATGTCTCATTTAGATTAGCTGTTTGTTGTTGGTCCAGCCACCTCCACCCCACCCCCCAAAAAACTACAAATTACATAGATATGTGAATAAAACAGCCAAAATTTGACCGTTGGCATGGATGCTGAGCACCATCACTCACTTTGCTTAAGGATAGGGTATCTTTTAAAATCTCGTATTGGCTTCAGCTCAGTTCCCTGAAAATATAGAGGAGCTACAGAACCCCCTAGGGCTCTAGGAGTGGGACTAAGCAGGAAACTGGGGAAAGGACTTTGAAGGGATCCCTTTTTTTCTCTTGGATCAAGACATCCATGTTGGATAAAATCTGAAATAAAAAAAAATAAAAATAAAATAAAATAAAAAAAACAGAGAGTTTAGAAGTAGCCTGGGCCCAGCCAGGCAGAGAGGCTGTGGCCAGGGCTGGACTACTGAACACGTGGTCTGATGGCTTAAGACAGGAGCAAAGCAGAAACTCCCAGAACAAATTTGCCATGCACAGTGCAAATGAGTAGAGAGTTGGGGTCGGCCTCTGTCCAACCTACATCCACATCCCTTGAAGCAGCACCTATCCCATGACTCATCAACAATTATCCCATGATTCATCAACTGTTGAAGGGGTCACGGTGCATCAGCCCCAAGAAGAACTATAACAACATACAGTTTTGCACAGATTTCTTCATAACTTTAGGGCACTGTCACATTCACCTGCCTGGTGACCCTCTTAATGTCCCTGAAAGGGGCAGGGCAGCTCTCACCACCCCTATTTGTTCTCATTGGAAACTTCCAAGCTTAGAACTTCAACCATTGCATAATCCATTGCGTAGAGTTGAAGTCAGGTTTACTTGACTTGTTCAAGTTTGCAAAACAACCTCTAAGTAGCCTGGGAGTAGAACTCAAGGTTTCTAACTGAATACACTCTTTCATACCATTTCAAAACACTTTGGGAAAAGACCCATAATAAAGTCACAGGCCACCAAAAATCCATTATGCCCCAGTCGGAAACTCAAGACCCTGGGCACAGGCATCCCAGAGAAAAGTGAAGAGAGGATGTTTTCCTTTCTTCTTGAGGTCAGCTGCTGAGTTCTTCCTGTACATAAAGACTCCTTTTCTCAGTTTTTCACGACATGAAGCACTGTTGCTTATATTCTGGCAACGCTTTAAATGCTTTGCTCACAACTCCTTCCCTCCTTCTCCACTCATTTCCCTTTTATGAACATGCTATCCTTATCCAGAATGACAGGTGCTGTGGGGAGAAAAGCACAAGAAAATCTAACTTTCTTATAAACATACAAAAATTTGCAATGTGAGAATTCTCTTTTTTGATGGATTAGTCATGCATATTCTACACAATGAGTCAGCTAAGTTAGAAACATTAATGGATTCAATGGAACCTGGGACATCTTTTATTATTAATACCAGGACCCACCCTGGTGTGGATGGGTCACCAAAGAAGCATCGTCTTATTCACTAAATGGGACACAGAGTTGAATTTTGGACCTGGGGAGGTTTGCTTAGCTGTGGAACAGTAGGGCACAGAGGGAAGAGAACCCATCAGATACAGATAGGGTGCAAATGTCAAGTTCAGTGCTAACAGGGACCCTCGAATTTTATGAAGCAGACCTCTTTGTCCTCGGTCATTCCAAGATAATAAGCCAGGAGCCTCCAGGAGGTCATGGATGAAGCAGAAAGAAAACTGAGCAGAGAACGGATGAAAATGGGAGGTGAAGTTGAAGGAGGAGGAATGGAGTGGAAGGCAGGATAGAGAAGAGCCAGAGCAGGGAAATTAACAAAGAGATGCAGTGCCTTCCCCAAATTAACAGAGATTCAGTGCCTCTTTGTCAACTAAAGAAAAAGCCACACCAGGCTTGAGGTCAGGTGAGAGGCTGCTCAGTAGCATATGTCCCGGGAACTGAGAATTTTCCAGACTTGAATCTCAATTCCCCACACTTACTACCCATGGGACCCTAAATAAGTTACCCACCCTAGCTGAGCTCTAGCTACTGCATCCAGATGGCAGGAGGCGCCCACCCCACCTCCCACAGTTTCTATGGGTGTCACTGGGCTCACTTAGAGGAGCACTCATCTCAGATCCTGGGACATCGGCATCCTGATCCTCCACACAACCATATACAGTGGAGCTGCTGGGCAAGAACCTGAACAGGCTGATGCAGATCCCATGTTCCTTCTACTTTGCTGTCAGTTGTGGATAGGCTTTAGAGCAGCACATGAAATCTGACAGGGAGCCCCAACCCAGAAAACCTGTGTGAGTGGAGCTGGCCTGGCTGAAATCAGAAGACAGAGCTCAGACTCACGCTGATGCCCTCATTTTACGCCCCCAACCTTGGCCTTGGCAGTCACTCCAAGAGTCCAGAGCTCCACACGCTCAGTTTTGAAATTGTGAATTTATGATAGAACTTTTCACAAAGCAATGCCTCAATCAAAAATGACAGAATGACTGAAATTAAGCTTAATGTTTGTGCACTTACTATTCAGGGATACCCTTATCAGGTAGATTGTGCCATCATGTCCATCTTACAGAGGGTAAGACTGAGGCTCAGCTGGTCCAAGGACATTCAACCTCAGGTGCTCACACTGTGACTCTATTGTAGGAAACCTCATTGCTCTCTCTGATGGCAAAATTTCTAATTAGCCCTTCTCAGCCTCCTAAAGGGGAAATGGGGCTGAGATGACGGTGGGTTGTTCTCCCACCTCCCCCAAGCCCTCACCTTTAACCGACACCCACATCTGGCTACCTTCATCACCAGCGACTGGAGTCCACAGGTGGGCCTGGCATGTTCTTCACTCAGAATGTCCCTGCAGGCCCTCAGCCTCAACAAGACAGGAGCACACAGGCTAGAGCTGTTTGTCTCCTTCTCATTCATCACCGTCTCTCTGGGCTCCCATTCCTCTACTGCTGAAACCCCTACTCACCCCCAACTACAGCAGACAGAGCCAAGATGAAGAGGAATGCTCTCACCAGGTCAGCTATTCCCAAGCTGCTGCTCCTTCAAGAAAAATCTCCCCAACTGGTCTGCATCATAAACACGTCTTTCCCAATCCAGGGCTTAGTCCAGACCTCAAGAATCCTGAGAAGTACCATGGAATTCAGTTCTTGGTGGGTTCCAGTAGTAATGGATGTTGGGGAAGAGGCGGATGCATTTGGTACATGGTTAAGCAGATCTACCGTATGCAGTGCCCCGTGCTGGGTTCTGAGGATACAGCAATTATAGGATTTATTACCTTAGAACAATGGGATTGGGTGAATCTTTAGAGATCTCTCACTTCCACCAGCCACTTAAGTCTGAGGCAAACTGAGACGCAAGCTGTGCATGTGACTCAAGCCAACAGGGTCCTTCCCTGAGATGTTTCCAGCTGGAGCTGGAGGACTAGGGGTGTGTGGCTGGGGCTTTCTGCCAGGGCTGGGACAAGATGAAGTGAGTGAGATGCCCAGTGCATGGTGTGTTAGGAGGCATCACTTCCAGGGCCCTTCCAGACAAGTGCTTCTAGGGGATGAGAGAAGGGGGCCCAGGAGCAATGAGGGATATATGGAAAGCAACTCTTTCCTCCCATCTGTGGCTACCCCAGTGCTTTCCAACAAATCCCCTCTATCTCTTAACCCAGATGAAGGCGGGTTTCTGCCACTTGCTGCCGGAGAGTTCTGACCAACAGTGAGGCTTTCCATGTGCATCCCTCCGATACCTGCTTCCGCTGTGCAGCTCCAGTCATTGACCCTGTTCCTGCCCTCTGGCCACTGGCACTAGGCTCTCTGCCATCTGGTGATGCTGCTGACTCTCCGCAGGTACCCATACCCACCAGGATCTCCAGACTGCTGGGTACAGCTCCCAAAAGCCTGGGATCCAGCCCCCCCGCCATTAAAGAGCTTGATGACCCATGGTGAGTTGAGCTGGAGAAAGGGAGTGCACAGGAAATATGCCTAAGTCTTCACTATGGAGACAGGATGGACTGTGCTGGGATGGCTGGAATAAGCCACATGTCATCTGAGAAGAGGGATGGGGAAATTCACTTTGAGTGAGCAAGGAAAGGGTTAAGAGGTAAAAGCCACTGGAATCAGGAGACATTCTAAGGTCATTCTAGGGACATTAAAGATTCTAGGGTCCATTCTGTCATGACAAATGAAACGAAGTGCTGGTTGGAAACCTCTGACTGCCTCCCACATCCTATATTCTAAAAATTCATGTTCTCTTCTCCTGCCTGCCCAGGTCCACAGGGCTGCCTGGTTCCTGTCATGTGACCTCCCTGCCTAAGCTACAGACGCTACCAGTATGCTCGCTGCCCCCAGGCTCATCTCCAGACCTGGTCTTGCTAGAGCCCCAGTGCGCCACCCCTGAGCCTGCTGCTGAACCTAAGCTTGGGTCCAGCCCTGCCCTGTGCTGTGTCGGAACTGGAGGTAAAGGAAGGGATGTGGGAGCAGGTTTCCTGCTGTCAGGGCCTCCCCTTTTCCATCTGACCAGGCTACATTTAGATGGAGATGGGAGGCCTATGATAGCAGCCATGGGGTACAGTGGAAGAGGGGAAACATTGGGATGCAGTGGGCGGAAGCAACCTTGGGGCACAATGGGAAGAAGGAATTTGGTGGACCAACAGGATTTTGGAAGCATCAGGACCTGGGCAAACTATTTGCCTGCATGGCTTCCACCTCAGGCTGACATTGGCAGAAGCCCAGTGTCTGGGACTGCAGGAAGCTGGAGAGGAACATCCGCCAGCTGGACTCCCCTTAAAAGGAGAGTTCCTCCTAAAATAGGCACGCATGACCCAGCCATGAGGGCAGAGACGGATCCAGCAGCTCCCAGAGGTAGGACATAGCTCTGAGCCCAGAAGGAGTTTGGTGTTTCAAATCACACATCACAAATCGCTTTCTCTGCACATTCCTTGGAAGCTCTGGTGTGTAAACTTTCCACCTTATCTTTCCCAGAGTGCATGCCAGGACCTGGCCCTGGTGATGTTTCCATTTAAGCAAAAGAGACAGTGGGTGTCAGCAGCCCCTGGGGCTCCTAGTAAGATGAAGAAATTGATCAGGCTGTCTCCAAGCAAGGGAGAAGGAGAGAAGGGAAGAACAGAGATGAACCGCAAGGGAAGGAAGCGGAAAGGGGAAAGAGGACTTGCTATTGCTGCACCCAGTTAGGGTTTGCGGAGCTCCAGGTGGTGGTGCTTACCAGTGTGGCTCTAAAGTTCTCCACCAGGGTACAGATCGCAGGGTGCCCCTTACTTGCTGTGTGATCTTGTGTGAGTTAGTCAACCTCTCTGAACCTCAGTTTGCTTATCAGTAAAATGTCCATAGTAAAATAATTCCTCCTTTCTAGGACTGTTGTAAGCACTGCATAAGATGGCAAATGCAGCTGTGTCTGGCACCCAGCAAGCACTCGATCCAACTTGGGCATCATTATTACTTGACCAGGAACTTCTGTGAAACTTGGTTATGTCAAAAAGAGGAAGATGAGGATGACTGGGTCATGGTCTCTTGTGATCCCAGCAGGTAGGCTTTGAATAGAGTGCTTATCTGAGTCACAGGTAACCACTCTACCTTGACCTATGAAATCAAGAGATCAGGGCGGGTGTGGTGGCTCAAGCCTGTAATCCCAGCACTTTGGGAGGCCGAGGCAGGTGGATAACGAGGTCAACAGATCGAGACCATCCTGGCCAACATGGTGAAACCCCGTCTCTACTAAAAATACAAAAATCATCGGGCCTGGTGGCGCATGCCTGTTATCCCAGCTACTCAGGAGGCTGAAGCAGGAGAATCGCTTGAACCAGGAAGTCGGAGGTTGCAGTGAGCCAAGATCGCACCACTGCACTCAGGCCTGGTGACAGAGCAAGATTCCATCTCAAAAAAAAAACAAAAAAAGAGAGAGATCAATCAAGGCAGAGAAGCACAACATCAACATTTCACCTTCCACAGTGAAAGTAATAAAGAATCGGAATATTATTTAAAGATATGCAAATATCTAGGTCAGCTAAACTTCACTTGTTGGAAATCATTGTTTACTCTGCCCCAGCTGTAAATAGGGTCTGTGTTTGCATAATATATCATTTAAGGTTCTGCTGCTTTAAAAAAAAAAAGAAAAAAAGAAAAAGAAAAACATAAAGTTTAAAAACCACCATCGTGGATACATAGCACCTCTGGGTACAGATTTATGCCTTCAAGACCCAGAAGTCACATCTTTCCAGTGGGAAAGCTGCCTCTTTGAGAATACTGAGCTTCCGGCAGGTGGGAGACTGAATATGGGGGATTATGGTAAAGACATGTGAGTTCCACTTTTGACACATGTTGGTAATAATCACGAACGCATGATGTAATTATTCATTTTGTTTCAAGAGACATTTTTTTTCCCACATAGGAGCCATTGCTTTCAATTTTACAAAGTCAAAATTGAGCTCTCAGAGAGCTAAGTCTTCTGTTTCATGTACTATAACCTTTGGAAATGCATTTAAAAGGAAGAGAACAAGGTTTTTAGATATGAATAGCCGGAGGTGGTAGGAAAGGTGACCTTGCCGGAGGGTTGCCTGGCAATCAGGCCCACGGAGGTCAGCAGTCTCATCTTGTCTCTCCCAGACTAGAAGGTAAGAGTTACCCTTGGAACTTCACCCTGGCTCCTACACTCCTGGGCTGTAAGGAAGGAGATCTCACCTGCAGGAATAGGTAACATCCCAAGGTCCCAGAGTTAGGAACGGCAAAAGATGCTGGAAAACAAAGATAAAACTTCAGGAAGGAAATTAAAATGTACACTTAGGGCTGATGCCTGTTCTCCAGCCCCAGGGCCTTGTTTAAGAATCAGGAAGTACCGAAGAATATCATTAAGACTCTTTGATAAGGAAGGCAGAAAAATTCACTTACACCTAGATGGCAGCTGACCCATGAGAAAATCCTCCACTCTTTCAGCATGTTTTCCTTGAAAATATTGTTTATTTTTAGTAGAAATCCTGGGGAGGAGAGCTCTTTTAACTCTTTAATCTTTTGTTTGTTTAAAGAACTTTTCAATACTTTAGAATCCTTTTCCCTCAACACATTTATATCAAGACTCTTTTTGTCAAACAATAAAAACAAGCACTGGCTAACTCTTTAAAAAAAAAGAGTTTATTGCAAGGACACAGGGTCACTCACAGAATCAAAGGTAAAATCAAAAATGTATTATACCTTCAGAAGGACCGGAACTCCTGGGACTGTCAACACATGGCTTATCTTTCTAGAATGTTGGGAGATAGATGGATGTGGCTTCACCCATCTCCCCCATCAGGCATCTTTGGGCAGAATGATTGACAGGTCGTCCCAGCCACATCAAAGGAAGAGGAGGGAATTCAGTTCCCCCAAAGGGGATAATCACACTTCTGTTTTGACAATTTATCATTTGTGCGTCCTTTCTATGTAAGAAAAGTACTCAAACATACCTTTTAGTCAAACTCCCAAACTGCATAGGAAAGTTGGGCATTCTATTGAAATAACAGCAGAGAGGGCTGGGAAGGAGGAATGTTTTTTTAAAATCTTATTCCATCTTAATACATCCTCTGGATTAGATGCTGATTAATTTGGCACTAAAGGCTGCTGTTAATCAGTTGCATGTCAGCCATCATTTGTAGTGACATTTAAATTATAAAGCATGATGGGATTAACTGCACTTTTGCAAATAACCTCTTTATAAAAGTATAAGTAAACCTGATGTGCACACCGGAGGTATCAGCACCCCCTGTTTCAGTCATTGTGATTCTGGAGATTATGACAAGGCTTGGCTTGAGCTGATGAATTCAGAGCAACTGTGTTTAACAAGGCATTTTGAGTTTGGAAGTCATTCTCAGAGACCTGGGATTTCCTGAGCCAGTTTCCAGAGTGACAGACAAGCACTTCCTTAGGTTCACACCTGGTGGGATCCTGGCTCAACCTGGGGAAGGTGCTTGTTTGTTTGCGTCAAAAGAAGAATGATCAGTGGTCAGGTGGTCTGCACCCCTAGCGGCTTCTTGGCCCCAGGACCCCTAGAGGGCATGAGACCCTCTGAGAGCACTGACTTCCCATTGTCTAGAATGACCTGCATGATCTGCTCATTTGGTAGGGGTAAGCAGATGGGGAGAAAGCAGGCAGAGAGGGAACTAATCATCACTGAGTCCCTAAGGCATTCCAACAACTGCTTTCGGATCTTCTGGGGGCTCCCACTTTGTTATAGAGACATTTTTTTTAAACTTGTAAAATACTGGAAAAAAAAAATAAAGTAAAAAACTGAAAATACCCACAATCCTACAACCCAG
Organism: Homo sapiens; assembly: GCF_000001405.40. Classification (NCBI taxonomy): domain Eukaryota; kingdom Metazoa; phylum Chordata; class Mammalia; order Primates; family Hominidae; genus Homo; species Homo sapiens. The sequence goes on from NC_000016.10 coordinate 66,139,042, forward strand.
GAATAACCATTCACATTTTCAAAGACTTGTTTAGGCATACGGGGTGCGTATGCAGGTGTGTTCATCCATGTTGTCTTCAATACTTCTTATGAGACAAATAGGGAATAAATAAATGTATGTGCATAATTAGGGTCATGATGTATGCATACTTTTGCATCCTGCATTTTCCTTTTTTTTTTTTTTTTTTTTTTTTGAGACAGAGTTTTGCTCTCTTGCCCAGGCTGGAGTGCAGTGACGCTATCTCATTCACTGCAACCTCCGCCTCCCCGGTTCAAGCGACCCTCCCCCCTCAGCCTCCCTAGTAGCTGGGATTATGAGTATGTGCCACCACGACCTGGCTAATTTGTATTTGGCTAATTTGTATTTTTAGTAGAGAAAGGGTTTCACCACGTTGGCCAGGCTGATCTCAAACTCCTGACCTCAAGTGATCCGTCCTCCTCAGCCTCCCAAAGTCCTGGGATTAATTAAAACCTTGGCTCAGTTTTATGTTACACTTAAAAGGCTGTCATTGCTCCCAACCCCAGTGCACTTAGTGAGTACTCAAATTTTCATTAAGTAAGGCAGGTGGTTTCAGTTTTGATAGGATGCTCCAGTGACAGGAAACTCACTACCAGTTGAGTCGGGTAGTTCCACATTTGGGTATCACAAACACTTGAAGGTCCTTCCTTATATCAAAACAGAATTTGCTGCTATGTAATGGCTCCATACTTGGGACATGCATAACTAGCTAATTCCTTTTCCACGGATTCTTTAAACCAGTTCAGATATTTCTCTACTCTCCCTCCTCCAGGCTAGTGAACTCAAGTCATTTGAGAGTTTCCTTCCAGGGCCTGATGTTGGGGCTCCTCCCCATTGGAGATTCTTTCCTCTGGTAGCCCCCCTCCCCAACTAGCTGCCTGCACCCCTTTTCAAGAGAGCCCCAGCCTTTGCAGGGTGACCCCCTCACTCTTTCTGCAGCTCACGAGTATTTCAGAAAATGAGTCCTAATTCTTCAGTAACTAACATGGTGTAGACATGCCACAGTCACTCCCCGAGAACAGTAGTCACACCAAGGTTAAGCTCACCCACTGCCTCTGCGGGCAACTTTCCTGTTTCTTGATCCTGATCCATCCCTCATTGGCTGTGTGACTGCAAGCACATGTCTGAACCTTTCTGGGCCACCAAGGGTGTAGGAAAGATGAAGTGATTTGACACTGCACACGCAGAGTTTATTTAAAGTGTAGGGCAGGCTTTACATTGGATGCTGTGCAGCCTATCCTACCTGGGAATTAATTCTTCACCTGGGCAAGTTCAAGGCAACATGGAGAAAACAGACCACTCGTGGCACCTTGAGATCCCATGGTGTCAAACTCTCTGGTCCCAGGGAGTGTGTGAGGCCAGATTTCTGGGTGAAGTACTCCCATGGTTTCCAATGTGCCAATAGTTTGCTGTACAGTGGGGAAGGGTGTGATGGAGAGATGACTAGGCAGGACTGGGACACTCAGACCTGCATATCTAAAGCATCCCTGTTGGGGACATGGGCAGAAAGTCAGATTTGCCAGTGTGCAAGCTTCAGCCATGACTGGTTCCAAGTTACCAACTCAGCTCTGCTACTGAGGAGCGGAGAGTCTGTGCAGAGTTCCACACACACACACCCTTTTCAGAAGGGAGCTCCTAGGCCTGGAATCTCAACACCTGGGATCAGCTCCGGAATTGGGACAAATGAAAGTTTAAAAACAAGAACAAAGCAGGACAAAGAAAAGAGGCTTTGGTTTAGCACTCCAAAATAAATGGCATTTCTGTATACTGCTGCAGTTTGGCCAGAAATTAACATGTTTGTAAATTTTGATTAAAATGTAATTTGGAAGGAGGAACAAATGAATAGTTGGAAACCCTCTGGGGCCTCTGATAATGGGTCTTACTGCTCCCACCAACTCCAGTTCCAATCCAGCATCAGATGATAACAGCCATAACAGAGGCAGCTCCGAAGGAGAGCTAGGGGACTGCTCTCTGGACAGCAATCAGGACCACAGCTTAGGTGACATCAGGGACAAACCATGTCAAGGAAGAGGACAGCTGCTTAAACTTCATTAACTCAGAGGCTCTGGATGGAGCTCATGAGATGTCAGCAAACAAAGGTATTGAAATGTCTTTCGAACACTATTTCAAGCATTGATTTTCATTTTCTCTCCCTGGTGTTTTTGTAGCTGTTATTGCTTCTAAGATGCCTGTTTCATGATTGTCTGTGCTCCACTGGGGAAACCAAAGTCCAAGAGATGATGTGCGTAGCGTGTCTCAACACATCCGGCTCTACAGGTGCCCACAGGCCACTCTGTCCAGGCACAGAGCCTCTCCCCACCCTGCCCATTGGATAAACTCCTATTCATCCTTTGAGACTCATTTCATGGGAGTTGAAACGAAGAAACTTGGGAGTCATTCAGCCCTGGCAGTTCTCCCTCCCACAGCCCAGGTCCCATTGCTTTTCTCTCTTGAATCCTTCCCCATCCCTCTGATGGTCCTGCCTGCATTCTCTCTCCCCAGGATGTAGTCGCCTCTGTGTAACGAGTACTGAGCTAAGGATGTCATGGGACAACTGCATTTCATCCACCCAGCAGCCCTATGTGCCTCACTTTAGAGATGAGTAAACTGAGGCTGATATGTAGGGGTGCTGATCTACAACTAACTTGCTCCCCAACCTTGGACAGTCTGCTCCCCTCTACGGGCCTCAGTTGTCTCATGTATAAAATGGGGAGTTTGGATAAAATTGTCTTTAAGATTCCATGTAGTTCAAACATTTCATGCCTTGCAGTTTCTTGCTTTTAAAAAAATGCCACTAGTGGGATTGTGTGTTTAGTTTTATATTTGGAACTAGTAAGGTTTTAAGAGAAATATTGATCAGATGGACTACAGCATAAGATTGTGAAGGGCCCAGCAGGAAATTTTTGAAGGAAGCAATGTTATCTAACTGACAGAGGAGAGAACACGAGAGCGGAGGGGAATGATCCGCTTCCCTCCGAAGAGGTGTCATGCAGAAGAGGCAGTGTGTCTCTCCTCTCTCTCCAGAACAAAATCTGAGCCAATCTCAGGAAGTTCTCAAGAGGCAGCTGTCAACTAAATTTACAAAACAACTTTCTACATCTGTACTCCTGAGGGACAAAAGGTCGCAGGCCTTAGAAATGAAAAGACTCAGGCTGCAAATGGCTCTGTGACTTACTGAGACCATCTACTTGAATATCCTAAGCTAAGCCTCAGTTTTTTCATCTGTTAAATGGGGATAAAACTAAACCCGCCTCAGAGGATTGTGGTGAGAGTTAAAATAAATAATAGTTGCAAAGTGTTTAGCACAGTGCTAGACTTACAACTAGTTGCAGTTATTATTATCATCATCATTAGAGTTAATATTGTTACCATCAGGTTTTTTTATCGTCTTCACACTGAGGCAGGCACCCCTCCTTCAAGGGGGAGGCTGGAAGTTACCCCTTCCCAGGCAAAGCCTCTTTGGTGACATCAAACCTGACCTCTGAACAGACCACAGAACACTATCCAACAGCATGGGCAGACCTCGTTGGCAAAAGCTGGATCCACTTTGAGCCTTGACTCATGCCACGCACCCAAACAATTCACCGGTTTCTTGAAATTCATGACTTGAAGGAATCTCAGCATCTCACACCTGATCCTGGAGGCAGCCTTATGGCCTCCCCTCCTGGAAGTGTCAATAAGGTGACAACACAACCTCCTCTGAAAAGCACAGAAAGGTCTATTCACATGGTGCCCAAACATGTCCTGAGTTCATGGGGACAGAGAAGCCAGGAGAGCAGGCTTAGGGAAGGAAAGAAGTTTATTAACTTGCACGATGTGCAGGTCCTAAAGAGGGCTGGGGCAGCAACGCACGGAGACAGACTCCTTGATTAACTTGGAAAAGCAACTACCCCAAAAAACAGAAGAAAGGAGCCAGGTGAACCTACACATCCCAAATCATCCTCAGGACTGATCTCCTTAATTCTGAAGATTCAAAAATCAAAGCTTCTTTTCTGTTTTATCCAAGAGCCCTCAGATAGTAGTTCTTTTCTCGAAGGGGAGAAATGAAGCTGAAAACTTGTTTTGTTCTCTCGTACTAGCCTATACTTTCTAGTTTTCAGAAGCCCCACAATTCATATTCTTTTAAATATCTTTAGAAAATAAAATTTGTTGTGCAGGCAGGTGATGACACAAACTTGACAGATGGGTAAAAGCTTCTTTTGCCCTGGGCACTCCTGTTAATGTACCAGGATATCTAAATTACTGAAAAAAATCTCTCCTTCTGCCTTTATTTAAAACAAACAAACAAAACAATACTAGTATAGCAGTGTGATTCAGACTTTATTTTGTTTGAAGCCAGTCTGTTTCCTGAACAAAGATTTAGGTTTGGGAATCCATGGACCCCATGACTAGAGAAGTGCTTGGATTTTTTCCTTTTTAAAGTCTTGGTCAAGAGCTGAGCTTTGCCACCAGGCCAGTGGTTCTCAGTCCCAGCTGCACATCAGAATCACCCAGGCAGCTTTAAAAATACCAGTGCCAGACTCCACCCAAAGCAATTAAACTGTAATCTCTGGGCAAGCAATGCAGTGCAAGTCAATGAACCAGACCGTAGCCTCCCAGGTCCAAGCTGTCTGGTGAGAACAGGTACTCATCCTCCCTGGACTTTACCTTCCCCATCCATATAATGGGAGAGGCAATATGCCACTCTCCTGGGGCAGCTGCAAAGATTTTGGAGTTATTTCATGTGAAATGCTCACTTAGCCCATGCTTGGCTCTTCCTAAGATGGCATGGGTGCTGAGTGATGGCATTTGGCTGTGGGCAACTCCCTGACATCCTTGCATAGGTGGAAAGCTCTATGACCATGGGCAGTATGAATCAGGGATCCCTGTTCCCAGTCCTAGTGTCCTTATCTGTGAAATGCAATAATAGTAGCATCTACCACAGAAAGTCATTTTGAAGAGTCAATGATGTAAGTCATGTAAAGTTTAGCACAATGCACGATATATACACAACAATACATATTAGCTCTCACTAGTGAAAAAAAGTGATACATAACTTAGAGGAGCTATCCTATAAAATACAGATTTGTGCCCCCATTATAGAGATAATAGGTTAAGTGACTTGCCAAAAGTCACCAGCTGAAAAGCAGAATACCCAAGATTTGAACCTCAGACTGTCTTTCTCCAAAGTCTATATTTTTCCCTCTTTGTCAATTGCCTTTATGATAGTACCTTGGTTGCTTCTTCAGTGAGGGCTAAAGTCATTGCCCTGGCATTTAAGACCCTTAAAGTTGGACTTCCATCAGCCATTTCCAATCTTAGCTCCACTTGCACCCACTGTTCCTCGAATGTCCACTGTGCATTCTCGCCTTTGGGCCTCAAGTCATACACCTACTTGGGCCTAAATCTTTCCTCTTTTCCGTGGCTGGTTCGGATGCCTCTCCCCCCTCCTCACAATCTGCCTGCCAGCAGTGCTTCGTGCTCTGCTGAGGCCCAGGAGCACTTTGTGAATTTTCTTAGTCTGTCTGATATTATCAAATCTTGCTTGCAAGGCATCTCTGTCCTGCCAGACTGGGCTCTTAGGAGCAAGAATTTGTCCTAATCATCTCTATCCTGGCTGCAACTCTTAGTAACTCAATCCCATGCCTTCCGTTTTTAAATAGGGTAGGGTGGAGGAGACAGGTTTGTCATAAATCAATCCATTTGACTAATATGGGATGTCATAGACACCCTTAACATTATTAATTGTCAACAAGGTTTGGCTGTGAAGTGTTTGGCAAGCTGCCCATGATGAGTTTTTGACAGTCAGTCATGTTGGAAATTTGGGGTGGCAGATGGGTGTGGTTAGCAGCATATGGCTTGAAGTGTAGTTTCGGTGTTTATGTATTTTTACAAACTATGACTTTATATTTATGCATCAAGAAGAGAAAGAATTCAAAATTAAGTTGTGCATTTCAGGGAATTGTGTTAACGTTCTTCAACAAAAAGCAAATTTCAGGTTGTAGAGAGCACCCTGGAGAGGGAGCTGGGATCCCTGGGTGTTAGTCCCACCGCTGGCAACACCTGTGATGACCACCAGCCAGTGAATTCCTCCCTCTGGGGAGGTATTTGATGTTTGTTCTATGTCCAATACTCTAGGATCATTGAATGCCAATTGAGTGGCATTTGTGGACTCTGGTATTTATTCTTCAGGACCATGGGAGGGTGAAAAAGTTTTGAATGTTCTTGCCCCTGGAATGGCCTTGGGTGGTGGCCAGAGGCCTGGACCTGAAGGACTGCATCTCCGTTTTCTGGATTCATTTGACAGATGCACAGATTCTAAACTGTCTGCGATAAGGAAAGCACTGCTCCCATGAGATCTGGGTTTTAGGGAAATAGATCGAGTTCTATTTGCTTTGTAGAAACACATCCAGGCCCTCACAATCTTGTTTGTTTGTTTTTGAGACGGAGTCTCGCTCTGTCGCCCTGGCTGGAGTGCAGTGGCGAGATCTCTGCTCACTGCGAGCCCTGCCTCTGGGGTTGATGCCATTCTCCTGCCTCAGCCTCCCGAGTAGCTGGGACTACAGGCACCCGCCACCATGCCCGGCTAATTTTTTTGTACTTTTAGTAGAGATGAGATTTCACCGTGTTAGCCAGGATGGTCTCGATCTCCTGACCTCATGATCCACCCGCCTCAGCCTCCTGAAGTGCTGGGATTACAGGTGTGAACCACCACGCCCGGCCGGCCCTCACAATCTTTTAAACTCCCAGGGTGATTCCTAAATCTGAGTTCTTGGAGATTGATCTGTCCAACTTTCTCTTTTCATGGATGAGGAGAGTGAGGCCCAGACAAGGGGAAATGACTTGCCCAAGGTTGTAAAGGATAGTGGGGTAGAGCTGGGACCAGGGGTTGTTCTCCTGGATCAGGGATTACCTTACCACACACACTGTGCTGTGGAACTTAGTGGAGGCAACTACAGAAGTGTGGCTGGGGTTGGGGATAAATCCTGCCCCTCTTGGAAGGGGATGGCTGGATACCTGGAGCCACCTGCACCTTTGCAAGCCCCCTAAAGTCAGAGGTCTGAGCTGGAGGAACAATGGAGAATGTCTCATCCTGCCTTCCCCATCCTGGGAGGAATACACATGAGCCGGGGCAGGAAAAGATGCTGGGAGCAAGGCAGGTTTTACAAAGGTCAGTGGATTCAATGTGGGTAACTTACAGTCAACTTTTCTGTTTTAAGCAAACACATATCAGGGAAAATTGTGCAGAATCTACTTGAATGATGAATGAAGTTGTCTACTGCCTCCTTCTCCTGGTGCTCTGAGAACCCAGTGCTACCCTCCTCTATCCCGAGAGGACATTAATTGTTATGGACTGAAAGTTTGTGTCTCCCCCAAATTCATATGTTGAAATCCTAACCCTCAATATGAGAGTATTTGGAGATGGAGTCTTTGGGAAGCAATCAGAGTTAGATGAGGTCATGAGGGTAGAGGAGGTGACATGGGATCTTTCTCTCTGCTCTCCTCCATAGGAGGACACAAGGAGAAAGCAGCCATCTGCAGACTAGGAGGCAGACCCTGACCAGACACCAGATCTGTTGGCACCTTGATCTTGAACTTCCCAGCCTCCAGAACTACAGGAAATAAATGTTTATTGTCTAAACTACCCAATTCTGTATTTTTGTTATAGCAGCCTGAGCTCTGACGTTAATCTTGCACAACCTCTCCATTTTACAAATAAGTAGACTGAAATCCAGAGAGGGCAAGTAACCTTTTCAAGACACACAAGAACCAAGACTTTCTGCTGAATCATGATCGGCTCCTGTCCCACACCTGTTGCAAAGGCTCGGGAAATTCTCCACCCTTATGCAGCTAGGCTAGAGCCACTCCACACATCTTCCAAGGCGCTGGAATGCTCACAGTCAGGAGGATTTGAAAGATTTCCTGTTTTTAAAAAGCTGAAATCGAAAAGTGCTGTCATTTTCTTTAAATACATTCTTTTGAATAAAACATCTATTCTTGATGCCAGCAGCAAGCTTCGAAACATGTTCAAGATGACATGATTGATAACAAGAAGGCTTTTTCAAGATGTTTCTAATTTCATCTTCCTGGTTAAAGAATGCGAACTTTCTAACATGATGTATGGCCTAATAAGAGGTGCGCGTGAACCGAAGTTATTTATTTATGCTTCCATTTTTGACAGATGAATATTAACTACTGGGAAAATTGTAAAGCCAATTAGTAAAAGCCGAATAATGTCCATATGAGAATGTATGACTAGAAACACACATTACTTCTCATCCAAACAACAGAGCTTCCTCTGGGAAGCTGTGGCCAGGCCAGGCCATGGTGGCTTCTTTCCCTCGCAGGTGCCCCCAGGTTGGCCTTGATGAAGTCCAATTCCAGAACAGATTCTGGAATCCCCAAGGGAGAGTGGTTCTTGCCACTCCATATGTGGGACATACATAAAACGTGCATTTCTGCCAATCCTGTCGGCTTTCTCCAGCTACCCAGCTGGCAGACCTCCAGGACTGAGGGAAGCTAAGGAAGAAATGGGAGACGCAGAACTCTAAAGACGGCCTGCACTGGCTCCATTCTCTTCTGCGTCTTAGGGGCAGTCTGTTGTAGGGGAATCAGGGGTAACAAACCTCCCAATCCCTCACCCCCTCATCTCCTAGAGCTTGTCTTGCTCTTAATGCTGATACAGCTCCCAGGAGCTGGATAAAGCCACAAACAAAAGCCAATTTGGAAGCAAGTCACACATTCAAAAATATTTCTTGAACGCCTACTGTGTGCCAGGCAACCAGAAATGCAAAACAGACACACTCCCTGCTCTCATGGGGCTTCCATGCCAGAGGGCAATGTAGCAGGGCCCCTGTGGGGACCCAGGAGAAGGCTGACACCCTGAGACACTGCTGGATGCCCCTGTACCCGTTGGCCTCATCACTGAAGCCGAGAAAGGGAAGCGAAGGGGCTGACAGCAGCTTCCAAAATTAACAAGAGGTTAATTTACCCAACACATGCTGCAAATGTTGTATTATGCTTCTAGAAATGAAACAAACAACCTGAGATTTCACTTGGAGGCTGTGAATTATTCTTTCCCCCAGCACCCTGGGCACCAATCTGTCACCTTGGATTTTTTAGCCCATTGCTAATTTTTAATAACTTCTTGACAACTGCTTGCTTCATATTACAACAATGCTACCACTGTGCAATTTAAGAAAGTAATAAATGTTCTTTAAAGTATAGAAGGCACTCCTCCCAATACCCTACACCCACTCCCCACCCTGCATATTTAGCCAATGATCAGATCTGCCTAAAAACCAAACTGTAAGTTTTTCCCATTACAAATAATTTGCTTTTAAAAGAAAAGGCCCCTTTCCAACTGAAACTCCCAAGTACAATAAAAAACCTAGAAGGGCTCCTATTTTCTTCTGCCCCTTGACTCCCCTTGCCTCATCTGTGAGCCTCGCTAAAGTGTGTGATTGGATTTTTCATTAAAAGCCCCCCTCCCACTTTCTGAAGAATCCAAGAAGCAGCAGAAATCAGATCTAGCGTTGTAAAATCCTAGCATATCTGAGTCGGGAGGAACCTTGGGGATATGCACTTTCTAACCCTCTGATTTCCCATTTTTTCAAAGGAGGAAACTGCCTAAGTCCACGCAGGCATTATGTCAGGGCCGGGACAGGAAGCCCATTCTCTTGGCTGCTAGATCGTTTCCACCTGACCAATGCCACCTCACATCTGGGTTTTCCCACCTCCTGGCCCCCAGTTATCATCCTGGGATTTCACATCCTAAATAAACTGTGCAGAATCTCCAAGAGCTCTTTGGGAATCCAGGTGCATGTGTGCAATGAATAACCTCATCAATTACAGAGGAGATGGTCATGTGTGTGATTGTGTATGGAATGCTCTTCCTATCTCTGGAATAAAATCTTTGATGCCATTGGTACTCTATTCTTCCAAAATAAAGTATAGAAAATTTCCATTTCTTCCAGTGGTTAAGTACAGAGTTCGAAAGGTCATAAACTGTTTTACATGACCAAATTGATTAGCTTCTCTATCCCTACCTAACAAAATGCAAGAGATCCAAGTGTTTCATTTCAGCCCAAGAAATCCATCGTTAAGTTTAATGCAAACATTGTTCTTCATTACTCAGCTGGATCTTCTTTGAAAGGGAATTCATTGTAATACGATTTGGACAAACCTGCAGAATCATATTAAAACCATAAACTATGTAGAAGTACACGTGCTGGCAGGCATGGGAGATAAGTTGGGCACTTGGAAAAGTTATTATCATGCTCCAAATTTAGTGTTCCAGTGTCTAACTGCAACTCATAATGTTAACTATCAGGCTGTTTAGGCATCTTTATTTCTTGTCAGGAAAATGAAATTGTCTCCTGTCATGTTGGACAGTCTGGGTATATAACTTATGTCACAGACAACAAAAATGTGTAATTTTATATGTTCCTGTACTCAATATTTTAGTACAAAAGGACTTCAAACTCGAATTAATACACTTGTTCAGCATGCCATTTTTGAAAACCATAGCGGAGCAGCAAATGAAGAACATTACGTGATACAAGCAACTTGTCTTGCTATTTTTTTTTTTTTAGTTAAGACGTAAGGAGAGAAAAGGAGTAGATATTTATCACTCTAAGTTACTTCCTGAAGTCTGAAGAATTCTCTCTTTCATCATTGTAATTTGGTAATTAGATCCATAAACATGCAATTAGCTAGAAAGGGGACGTTTTTATTTGTCCCAGAATTTGCAAAGAAATTTGCCACCCCAACCCAAGTTTTTGGTACCATGTGGGTCTTCTGGGTCTGGGTTTTCATGATTCACCAGTGACCACAGAAATGGGGCCATGATGGCAATGGCCCTCCTACCCTGTTTCTTCACTCCTTCATCTTGATGTCAACTGTATGCCCCTAAAAATGTCTACCATCGACTGGTCCCACCTTTCCCTTCTTCCCTGTCTTGACCATAAACCAGCCACTCCACGTATGTTTGCACCATACTTGCCCCCATCCCACCCCATGCTCCATAGACTTCTCCTCTGTCTTTGAGGCTTCATGGCTTCCTGTCCTTCCTCCTCCAAAACTCCCTCACCCCCAATTGTGCCTGCTCCTGAGTCCCCCATCTTAAACTGAGGACACTCTCTCTTGACCCCACGCTCCCCTCCTCTCCCTGCTCCTGTCTTCTCGTCACTGTGGAGTCATTCTCACTCCAGTTCTGATCCTTCTCTTCCCCATTCTAACAACCTGCTATGCAGCTGTTAATATGCTTCTGCACCATCTGAACCACCTGCACCACAAGCAAAACTGTCCCTTCTAATTTGCCCATGTCAAAGGGTTCAGCCCTCAGACCTTCTAGCCATTGCCAGCATCACACCCATGCCCATATTCCCTCAGTCCTTACCACTCCTGAGCATGCAGACCCTACAGCTTCCACTATAGCACGTGCAACTCTGCCTGAGGGCCTTTTCTGGTCACTGGACCATGCTCAGCTCACATGGGCAGACCAGAAGTGCCAGGGAGTTGGTACCTCCCAGAAGCAGCTCTCTACCAATAATGGACAAGACTTGGTGGATAAACACCCCAGTTCCCTCATCCCTTGTTGGGGATAATCTTGAAGCATATTCTACAATGTCTACTAGAGTTCCCATGCTGGTTTTAACCCCACTGTGGTTATTTAATGCTCTCATGGTCAGGGATTTTATGGTTGGAAGAAACAGACCAATCCCAACTGGTTCAAGGGACAAGATCCAGGCTGGAGACATAAACCTGGGAGGCCTTGGCATACTGACACATGAGTGAAGCAGCAATTACAAGTAACACACTTCCTGTCTCACAAGGTGGCTGTGAGAGGGGAAATGGATACTTCACCCCACCCTGCTCAGCACTGTGCTAGGCCACAAACTGAAAGCTTGGTAAACAGGAATGTTCTCACTTGCATAAGGTTATGCAAGAATACATTTGTATAATCACAGAATTTTGGATAGATCGTCTAGCTCAAAAGCCTTAATTTGCAGGTGGAAAAACTAAGGCTAAGACAAAGGAATTGACTTGCCCGGCATTTTCCCACCATTAAAGATTGTTTCCTTAAGATTTACATGCCCAGCAGTAAAGGAGAAAGGTGAAGTTTAACTGTTCCTTGATATTCAATTAGACTGTTAGGAGTTACCAATAAACTTTCTAAAGGCCAAAGCCAATAAACACGCTTTCGTTTTGATTTTGTTTCTGCCTTCTGCATCTAGTGCTGCTGGCCACTCCCCTGATTTAAACTCTCCTGATTCAGCTGATTTTCTGGCAAGAAAGAAAATGAGGAAGAAAAAGGAAAAAGGGCAGAAGGGAAAGTGACCTAGGGCAGATTCCCTGGAAGCAGAGCGCAGGGCAGGATTTGGATGCACTGAGGCAGTGAGGAAACGCTCTTGGGAGGGAGCGGTGAGAGAAGGACAGGGCAGGGAAGGGAAGGGGCCCGGCAAGGGTGGGACCGCAAGCAGAGGCTAGCTGGACCCCACAGGAAGCTCCAGAGCAAGGGAAAGGGGACCCTCCCTGTGTGCCCTGTTGGTTAGTAGGTGGCCCAGGCAGCCAAGGCCGGGAGAAGCAAAGCCACCAGAGTTGGAATGAATTCTTATTTTATGTTGCTGTAGCATTATAAAGGCTTAACTTTCTCAGACCAGAAGCAGGGTTCATTCACCCAGGACACAGTTTCCAGTTCTCTGCCTCCTCCCAGTTCCTCAAAGGGGTGGATCCAGATACCTGCCCTATACATCCACCTCCTGGTGACCACCTCCCTATAAGATAGCTAAACACAACCTCCTTGCCTCGCCACACTGACCCCCACACCCTGCGTGAACTTTGCAGATGGCATGGCACAGGGATGACCCCACGGAAATCATGCTTGCTTGCCCCAAACCCACCAATTAGAACACCCCACGGGGTCCAGCATGGTGGCTCATGCGTGCAATCCCAATACTTTGGGAAGTCTAGGCAGGAGGATCGCTTGAGGCCAGGAGTTTGAGGCCAGCCTGGGCAACATAGCAAGACTCCATCAGTAAAAAATATTTAAAAATTATTTGGGTGTGGTGGTGTGTACCTGTAGTCCCAGTTACTTAGGAAGCCGGGATAAGCAGGAGGATTGCTTGAGCCCAGGAGTTTGAGGTTTCAGTGAACTATGATCACTCCAGCTTGGGCAACAGAGTGAGACCATGTCTCTAAAACATCAAAATTTTTAAAAGTGTTTTAAAGAGCACACCCCACAAGAAACTTGTTTGGGGATCACCCTAGACACCAGTAAAAGCTTTGGCCCACGGGCCCCTTTATCCTTCTCTTGCTCCCTCCTCTGTCCCAGACATGCATGTTCTGCCAAGAGGAGAGAGGGAGCAGCTGGAATTCACCACCTTCCTTGCAGGGTTCCTGAGCATTACCATAGCACAACGCTCCCCTCAGCCAGAACCCAGGCAGAAGGACTGGAGTTCAGAAAACAATGGTCTGTTTGACTGGCTTTGAGTTTCTGGGTATTTGCAGGTCAGGCAGCCTGGGTATTAATAAGTGATGGGGTTGTGGACCTACAGAAAGATGTGCAGGCCTGAGGGTGAGTGCAGTGGGAGGAACAGTACCTGTACCCCCAGCGCCCTGCATGGTGCCAGCAGAGGGGTGTGTCACCCACTCTGCTTCCCATTTGCCCTGTGACTTTAGACAAGCCCCACCCCCACCCCGGTCCCTGGGCCATCATCTCTCCATCTATGACAGGAGGGGTGTGAACTGGGTGATCCTTAAGGAGTCTCCTTTCTCTAACATTGGGTGGCTCTAGATTCCCAATCAGGCCTGTGGCCAGCAAGGCTGACCCTGGGAGGCATTCAGGGCTGAGACAACCAGAGTCAACAGCTCAGGGAGAGCAAATCCCAGGGCCCCCCAAACACAGGCAAGAGAGGCAAGACAGGAATGCACTATCCAAATATTTGAATTGTCTAAAAACAGACCAAAGCAGCCTTCAAAATACATATTTCGCATGCATACCAAACCCACAAAATGCATAGCTCAAAATCCTGAACCACCAGAAACTGAATCAAAAGTGCAGGCCTTAAATGAATACGCTGACAGAAACAGGAGCAAGACTTTCGCAAGCAGCCTGTTTTCATCAGAAAACACATAAACAGGTTTGAGGGGAGTAAGAGGATTGAAAAGAGGTCAGGGGCTCTGGAATCTTCTCAATGACAGCACTGCCCAAGAATCTTCCAAAACTCCCTCTCAACTGCCTGGGAAGAGAGAGACCCCTTAACCAGAGCAGAGTGATTTGTATGTGTTATTTGTGTTATTGGCTTTCACAGTAACCCCCTGTGGCAGGCTGAGGAAGCTGGACTCTAAGAAAGTCACTTGTTCAGTGCCAGGAAGCTACAAAATAGCTGAGATAGGATTCAAAATCAGGACTGTCGAACACCAAACCCCAAGCTCTTTGCCCCTAGGCAAACTGTGAAGATGAATTTGGATGATGTTGCCTATAGTAGGCCAACCTAGGTCATTGATAGAAAGTTCCAGAAGTTCTGTGCACATGCCTAACTATTACAATGGTCACTGTAAAAAGAAATTATAGTGCTGATCTAAAAAAAACAAACGCTCAGAATTCTGTTAAGTCTAAAACAGGGATGGAAGGGCCAAGTATGGCATAGGTTTATCCTGCAGGCATCTCCAAGGCCAAGAATAGGCACTGGCTTGCTCACAGGAAGAACTTTGTGTTGGTCACAGATGAAGGTAGAACGGGCTGTCCCAGAGGTACTGAGCTTCCCCTCACAAGAGGTGTTCAAACAGTAGGTCTTTCCAAAATGCAGGCTTGACAGCATCAGCTTCCTCCTTGGTGTTTCAGGCCCTCCCAGTCTGGCCTCTACCCCTTCCCCAGCCTCACACACAAACTCCTTTACCACTGGCCTCTTCGGTACACACCAGAACTTCTCACCAAGATCAGGCCTCTCTTCATCCACTCTGCACCCCCTGCTGAAATGTCCGTGTGCCCTTTCCACACCTACAGCCTCCAACCCGTTTTAAGGATCTGCTCCAATGCCTCTCCTCCAGCCACACACCAAGCAGGCTTGGGGACATTTCTTTGGCATTCTTATGTCATCAACCATGTATTTACCTCTTTCCCCATCACTCTTTGGTCATCATCTACTAGCAATGACTTTGTTCCCCCCATTAACAAGCACCATGCTTGCTCTAGGTAGACCCTCATTAATACCTTTGCATGAAAGTAACTGGCTCATGTGGTTTGCACTCTTTTTTTTTTTTTTCTTGAGATAGAGTCTGACTCTGTTGCCCAGGCTGGAGTGCAGTAGCACCATTTCAGCTCATTGCAATCTCCATCTCCTGGGTTCAAGCAATTCCCCTGCCTCAGCCTCCCAAGTAGCTGGGATTATAGGCGTGTGCCACCACACCCAGATAATTTTTTATTTTTAGTAGAGACAGAGTTTTACCATGTTGGCCAGACTGGTCTCGAACTCCTGACCTCAGGTAATCCACCCCGCTCAGCCTCCCAAAGTGCTGGGATTACAGCCGTGAGCCAGCACACCTGGCCGGTTTGCACTCTTAAGCCAAGCTTGAGGCCTTCCCATCTTCCCAGAGAGGAAAGTCACATATAGGTATGTGTGTATATATGCACATGGATGTATGGCACATAGAATGCCCTGCCCCAGCCACCTTGAAAGCTCCAGGCTAGAAGGGGGAAAGCTCCCCACTCTGCCAGGAAGCTTGTGGTTGGCAGCTAATCAGGTCATCTTTGAAGTTAAGACCATAATGATAAAAAAAAAAAAAAAAACCCCTCAAGGAAGAAATAATCAGGAAGCTCAACAGGGGCATCTGGGCTCAGAAATCGCAAAAGTCAGTGATATTTTTAAAATAAGAATACTTTCCAGATTCTCAAGGGACGCACTGAGGTCTTCTGGTATCTAACCATTTGCACCGCCTCCCTCGTCGAGATTAAAATGCTTCCTCCCAGCCTCTGAATCTCTGCTGTTCGCACACTGAAGATAATCCTCTGGCATGTGGCTGCGTGGGCCAGATGGTTAGCAATTCTTCAGGCAGGATACAGTTCCGCAGAATGGGAATGTAGAGGGCTGGCTCTAGGTGGAGAATCCATTGATGGACAATAGCAACAGGCCCCTCTCTTCC
This sequence comes from Homo sapiens, assembly GCF_000001405.40. Taxonomy (NCBI): domain Eukaryota; kingdom Metazoa; phylum Chordata; class Mammalia; order Primates; family Hominidae; genus Homo; species Homo sapiens. The sequence continues at coordinate 66,155,185 of NC_000016.10, forward strand.
AAGGAATTGTGCTGGAGAGCTGCTCAGTCCCCCAAGACAAGCCAAGTTTGGTCAAACGTCTCCCATCAAGTCATCCTGTGGAAACCCCAGTGAGCTTTGACGGGGACAGGGAACACTATCAAAGATGACCTTCAGTGGACACCAATGGTTCAATCATAATTAAAGCCTCATTGTTTGCAGATGGCCTTTACACACGCCCTTTCACCCCTGCCCTTTTGGTTAGTCCCCCAGTATGCGATGAAGGAGATGATATTGGTTTCTCCCTATTACATATGGATCTGAATCCCAAGGAGGGGAAATGACCTTCCCAGACTGCATGCCCTGTGTTTTCTAACCCAGAGCTCTCCCTGCAGTCTCTGAAGAGTTCCACCAATGGCACCCTTTTCTTCCCTACGTACAATACCTAGTACAGAGCCCTAGCATAGGAAGAACTCAGTAAATGTTTAACTGGGCTCTACTCGATGATACCCCTGCAGGAAAACAAAGAAAACATAACTCCTGGTATTGATGCTAATGAGTTTTAGGGGTCACAGGAGAAGGCATTCGGATGGGGGGAGACAGCCCCACTTCTGGTCCTGCACAGGTATTTGAATATCTCACGAACAGAGCCAACTGCACTCTCTTGGCCTCAGAACGATCCAACTTTTACCCTGAAGATCACACAGCTGCCAAATGGCAGCAGCAGGTTTTGAATCCAGGCAGTCTGACTTCAAAGCACCCACATCACCTCCCAAAGGAAGTTTGACTTAGTGCCCATCCTACCCCTCCCTACACCAATGTTCTTCTTCAGTGTCCCTTTTTACCCCTTTCAGTTCTCTCTCTCGGCTTTTAGGCATTTTCATCTTGCTGTTCATCTCCACCAAAGCAGTGGGTTTTTCAGTGCAGGGTTGAATAACTTTACATCTGTCACTTATACCTTAATATAAGTGAGTGTGAGTCAAAACATTAGCTCGTTCAACGGTGCCTGGGTTTCCAGTCTTCTTTCTCTCTAGTAAAGGGATCCAGAGATTACTGAGGGGGTGGTTATTCAGTGCACGGTCCCTTCTCTATGATTTCACCCAGGTGGCCCTGCACAGGGAGGCTGCTAGTGGATTTGGCTGAGAGCAAGCAGAGGGGAATTTTCACCAGGGCTGCCTCCAGGAAGGGCAGTTTTCAAATCCTCCTGGGCAGAGATCATTGGAAGTCACTTGGAAGGTCACACAGCAAGAAGCACAGACAGCCTACTCTTTGCAGAGAAATAGATGGGGGGACGTTCAGGCATAGGACCAGCCGATTCCAAAGAGGAAATGCACAGCTGCAGTCTGGTCTCCGATCTGTGCAACCACCCACCCACATCCCAACTCTTCCATTCTGGGGGAGGAGGGTGCCTGCAAGTTTCAATCACGCCATTCGACAAAAACTTCCTGGATAAAGAACTGAATAAGCTCCTCTGTTTCTGCTCTTCTCCTTCTTCACATTACAAACAAGATGGCCATTTATCACCCATTGTCTTGCCATGTCAGGGTCACCCACATGTATCTGTCAGGATAGGCCAAGTGGTGCTGCTGTAACAGCTGACCCCTGATCTCAGTGGCTCAACCCAACCGAAGGATTTATCTATCACTTGTGCAGTGTGCTCAGAGCTGGAATTCTCCCATCACAGTCACTGTGGCAGGAGAAAGGAAGGTAACAAATCACATGCTAGGCCCTAGAGTCTCTAGGCAGAGGGACACACATCCTCCTTACGTTTCATTGACCCCAAGCAAGTCAGAGGCCAAAACTAACTTCAATAGGGCAGAGAGATGCAATCCTTCCATTTGCCCAGAAGCAAACAAGAAATAGTTCGTGAATAGCACAAATGACCACCACACCATAATAGTAAAAGCAGTAACAATGATCAAATATTAAAAGAAGCTAACATTTAATTGGCATTTATCATATACCAGGCATTGGGCTAAGTGCCTTATATCCAGTTTTACAGATGAGGAAAGACAGGCCCTGAATTCAAGGGACTTGCCCAAGGTCTTGTCAATGGTACACAATGGATCTGGGACTCATACTCAGGACTCTAAGGCTCCAAGGACCATGACTTTCAACACCTATCACCCGCTTCTATATAGTCAGAAGCATTGCTTTCTTGTCCTATCCCCAAGCCATAGAGCTCCATTGTATTCAGCAGGTGGCCTCCAGGTCAAACAGATTCAAATTTGTCTATCATCCTACCAGCAAGCCCATGGCACCCAGTAGTGTAATTGTTATCTTACCTAATTCTCAAAATGCACCTGACAAGTAGATCTCACTCTCTCCCTTTTGCAGTTGAGTAACTTGAGACACACAACTAAATAGAGCAGCATTTTCCATCCAGATCTGGCTGACTCTGAGGATTTTAATGATCGAGGAAGACTTTTTCATGGGGAAGTCAGCCTCAGTGTGTGTACAACTGGAGAGGGATGGCCAGGGAGGGAGACTGTGACGGGTTCCTGAACTCAGATAAATATGAACACACTTCTTGAGATTGGCCCCTTCCTTTCCTTTCCCAGAGTCAGATGGAGTGGATCCTACACCTGGTGGCCTCTGACAGATTAAGAAAAGCTCCCACTAAAGACTCTTCTTCATGGGAAGACCTCTAGGAGACCTCTTGGGGAGACAAAACATTAATTCATTAAGTTGCTGCCAAACAGGGCAATGCAATGAAAGCACATGGCTTTAGGGCTCAGTGCAGATATCATCATCTCAAGCACTTGGATGCTGTGTGACTCGAGCGAGTCACTTAACCCCTCTGAGCTCTGATTTCCACAAAATGACAGAGTTGGGCTGGATCTTCCTGAGGGTTTCTTCCCTGGCCACGTTTCAGAAATGAATGATTTTCTGCCGAATTCAAGCAAAGGCTTTGGGGCAAAAAAAAAAAAAAAAAAAAAAATGGTGAGTGGAAGAGTTAGTAAATGAGACCCCACAGGAAGGTGGATGGCACTTAAAAGCGATGCATGATCTCTATGTGCTGGGAGCAGTGCTGAGCCCTTGCTGCATACGATTCCCCCTACCATCCCTGGAGAAGAGCTCTTGTCACCACTGTTCATGAGGGAGGAAGTGATAGAGGCAGGACTGGTCTCCAGGCCTGCAAAAGCCCAAGTATGTGTGTTGGGACATTCACAGTGGATACCCTAGCATGGATACAGAGGAACAACAGTGTAAGGATTTTTTTTCCCACTTCTGTTTGATTTTTATTACAAATACAAAAATAGCACAAACTCATACCAAATTCAAACAATACAGAAATGAACAAAATATAAGTGAACTTCCCATCCCCTCCCTGCCAATTCTCCTCCAAACAATAGTAAACTCTATTAACGTTTTCGTGGGCTTCTTCCAAATTTTTTCTGTTTCCACATAGAATTTTACAAAGTAGGATTCATTCACCAAACATTTATTTATTGCCAGGAGTGGTAGTTCATGCCTGTAATCCCAGCACTTTGGAAGGCCAAGGTGGGAGGATCACTTGGATTCAGGAGTTCAACACCAGCCTGGGCAACACTGAGACCCTGTCTCTACAAAAAATAAAAACTTTAGTTGGGCATAGTGGCATGCACCTGTGGTTCCAGGTACTCAGGAGGCTGGGTTGGGAGGATTACTTGATCCTAGGAAGCGGAGGCTGTAATGAGTTGTGATCACACTATTGCACTCCAGCCTGGGCAACAGGGGAAGATCCTATCTTTATATATATATATACACACACACACACACACACACACACACACATATATATACACACACACACACACACACATATATACACATATGTGTATGTATATATATGTATATATATGTATACGTGTGTGTGTATATAAATACACACACACATTGGCTGGGCATGGTGGCTCACGCCTATAATCCCAGCACTTTGGAAGGCCAAGGCAGGTGGATCCCTTGAGATCAGGAGTGCAAGATCAGCCTGGCCGACATGGTGAAACCCCATTTCTACTTAAAAAAAAATAAAAAAATTAGCTGGCTGTGGTGGCGTGGGCCTGTAATCCCAGCTACTCGGGAGGCTGAGGCAGGAGAACTGCTTGAACCCAGGAGGCAGAGGTTGCAGTGAGCCAAGATCGCACCACTGCTCTCCAGCCTGGGTGACAGAGTGAAACTCCATCTCAAAAACAAAAACAAAAAACACCATTAATTTATGATCTGCTGACAATAGTAATAGAAGCCACAATTATAGAGCACCTCCTGGGGTCAGGCAGCTTCTGTACCAAGTGCAGAGAATATTGGTGTGGACAGGATACATGGACCCTGCTCCGGGGATATCAGGAAGGCCCTGCAACTTACTTTATCCCCACACAGCAATACACCACACACCATCCTCCAAAACACCACCTACAGATGAATCATACTTTTTAAAATGAAAAACTGTGTGGCATTTTTAAGTATATTGTTCTTGATTCAACCAATGTCCTATGGATGAATGTTTAGATTATTTCCAATTTTTTGCTGGTACAAAAAAATCTATTCCTATCCATATCTTTAATGCACTCACACTAGCATCTGAATGAATTTTACAGATTCCTCATATGTAAAAATTGTTTCTGGGAAATGGCAAAGTACTATCCAAAAAGATAGGGCCAATTTATTCTCCCATTGATAGCATACAAAAATGCCATTTTTCAACACCCTTGACAGCACTGGGTATTATTGATCTTTTTGATTTTGCCAATCGGTTGGGAAAAATTCAGTTTTGTTTTAATGTTAAGAGTTCTTTAATACCAGGCTCAGTCTTCTCATGGTGAGAAGCAGGAGGAGGTGAAGTTTTAGAGTGGGGTTGACAGGTTTCAAGCAGGATCTGGGGGCACACCCTACCCCCTTGGGGACTAGGCAGGAAAACTGGCCGTAGGTTCTCCCTTTCCTTCTCTACAGAGCTGAACTCTCAATAGAAAGGCCACGTCCTGACCTTGAAAATTCCCCTTGAGTCATCCTTTTTGATTTCCCATTAATGGGCACATTATCTGCTAATCAGGATAAATGGCTCCACCCAGAGTGGTAGAGAGGAAAGCACAGCTGGAAGGGGAAACAGGTCCAGACAGAGATGCTCATCGCGACCAAGAGCTGGCACTGCTGACTTGTGGCTTCCTTCTCCTGATGCCCGTAAACCCCAAAACCAGCTCCCTGGTTCCCCAAAGGACCCACACACCAAGTGTGCAGCTGGCACTTCTGTTTCCCCAAAACACCAGCAGCTTTACGAACACTGCCTACATTGTTGGTGCTCGATCAATAGTTACTAGAATGGCCTGATTACTGACAAGTGTTAATAATACCTGGAATTCACAAATGGTGGCTTGGCCTTTGAAAAGAATCACCCTCCCCAAGGGATAACCTGACGTCCTGCTCAGAAGGGAAGAAAAATCGGTGTTGACAGGAGTATTTCCAATAACTACAGCAATAGGGGTCAGGGTGAGGAGGCAGCCTGGAGCAAGTGAGACTGTAAGTGGGACCAGGAAATGGGGAAGATTTAGACAAAAGGAGCAGGCATGCTGGGCAGGGGAAGACCATGGGCAAAGATAAAATTCTTACAATAGTGCCAGGCCGTGCGCAGTGCAACATTGCAGTATGCTAGAGCCATCTCCCACCACTCAAGGAGAACTATTTTTAAATATTCGAAAATGTTACCTGTAGATAAGTGTGCATTCGTTATAGGAAGCTACGAAATGGTTTCAGCTGGAGGATGTGGTCAGATTTGCACTTGCAAAGGGGTCTCTCCTGGGCCAGTGTGGTGGGGAATGGACAGTTTGGGACAGGAGGGGACAAAGGAACACAGCAAGGAGACTCCTACTGTTGCCCGGGCAAGGGTTGATGGGGGCCAGGACTAAGGAGTGACGTGAAAAGGAGTGAAGGGAACAGATTCTATTGCAAATTCGAACTGAGGACCTGGTGGCTGCTGGGATGTGGGACATGGGGATGGAGGCAGCTGAGGCCAATTGAGCTGAAAATGAGGAAAAGCCTTTCTCAATCTGGGCCAATGTCCAGCCTTCTCCACCTGCACCCCCACCTCTCCAAAGGAGAAAGAAGATATTTGGAGTTGTTTCTAGAAGAATCCTAGGGGCTGGTCTGGTGCAGGCTGGCCAGAAAAGGGAGAGATCCTTACACCTAGCCTCAAGGGAAGCACTTTCTCCTGGTCACCCTCCTCTACCATCTTGTCTTCCTACTCCTCCTCCCTTCCTGCTTTCCTGCTTCTCACCCTGCTAACAAAACCCTTGTAAATTTGAGGCATAAATATTCACATGGCCCCAGCCTGGAGCAAATAGATGCCTCTCACAGCTAATCCAGCCCAGCCTCTGCATCTCTGCTTGGAGTCCTCAGCCCCACCAACGCAAATGCTCGAGGTTTATGATCAGCACCTGCCTTTAAATCTTCGCCAGATATATCCCTGAAATACTCCTCTCCCTGTGCTGTCTGCCTTAGGGCATAAAATATGGGAAAGTTTAGAGAAAAGGAATGGGCTGGTTGTAGAGAAAGAGCACTGGACTCCAGCCAGACTGACCTGGAGGCAAAGCTTGGCTCTGTCCCTGCAGCCCCTCAGAGCTTCAGTGTCCTTATCTGGAAGGCAGAGCTGCATGCTCCAGCTCAGAGGGTCTTTGTGGCAATGGAATGAGGAGTGGAGGGATGAGCCTGCACTCAGACTCCCCGACAACAGTGGGCTCTCACTCTGGGTAGTTGGTAAGGGGAAAAGAAGGTGGATTCTGGAGACACATGGGCCTGGGGTCTGATGAGCTCTTTCCTGCTGGCTCTGTGCTGCCATAATCATGCAAGACCAATCCACCTCAACTTTTATGTAACAAGGTTGTGAGTTGTTTTTCAGTTGCCATGGACCCCTCGAGTTGAAGGTCACGTAACCTTCAACTTCTGAGCATGCCCAGAAGAACCAAGTGTGCAGCCACAGGTGGAACCTAAGTGCTCAGATCAAGGAGCGGGGACTAAATTAAGAAGCGGACGTGACATGGCAGGATCTGGGATCCAATCAGATCGAGCCCTGGTGCCACCCCATGGCGGGATCCAGTCAGACCATGCCTCCTGGCATCACCTCATTGCACGATCCAATCAGATTACACCTCATTGCCCTGTGCCTGTAAAACCTGCCACAGTCTCCAGCTTGAGGAGACAAATTTGAGCTTTTCCTCCTGTCTCCTTGCCAGTCAACTTACAATAAAGCTTTTGTTTTCTCAAAAGCTGGTACCACAGTATTGGCTTCTTTGCACATTGAGCATAGATTACTAGGTAATACTGTGTGCCTCTGGGCCATTTACCTAACCTCTCTGGACTTCAATCTCCACCTCTGGGTTATTATCTTAGACTGGCCAACTAGCCTCTATGCCTCAATGGCCTTATCTGTAAAATAGGGCAATGCTGTCTGCTCACTGCAGAGTTTAGGTGAGACCCAGCCTCACATAAAAGTACCTTGGGAAGACCTCACACTGCACAAATGCAAGGTATGAAAAAAAAAACTTCTAAATATTTTGGCTGAAGGAGGAAGTGTCTGTGAAACATAGAAAATGTTATTTGCTACTGTTTCCAACCCCAGAGAGCTAACACTTGCAAGGCTCATCATGTCGGATCCTGAACACATATCTGTTAAATCACTACCGTGCACCAGGCATTTTGCCAGCCAAGAGCTATATTAGACATGAATGCAAGGTCCCTGGGGTGAAGAGGACCCCACGCCCTCATGGGCCACACAGACAAGTCGACAGGTTATGCCAACAAGCAAGTTGGCCAGAAGACAGAGCCAGCTGCCTTAGGAGCACAGAGAAGGGCAACTACCCAGGAATGATTGAGCTAGTAATTTGCACACTGGGAGAAGCTGGCATTCCAGGCAGAAGGAACAGCATATGTGCCCTGGTTTGGGACTCTGAGATAGGAAGTTGGGTGTGAGTGAATATTTGGGAAGCGATTCCAGGAAGCTGACAAGGGACTGGGGAAACAAGACGAGGAAGAGAGGAAAGGAATGAATGCATGAATGAGTGGGTCACTATAGGGGGTCGTGGATTGTGTCCTGGACACAATCCCCATTGGGGCTCTCTGAAAAACTGTACAGAACATACATCAGAATTCTCCTGTTGAGGCTGTCAGAAGCCAGATATTTGTTCTCCAATTTCTCTTCCTCGTTGGTTAAGGGTGGCTCCTGAGGCATCTCCCACCTCCACCTGGGCACAGCATCCTCCTGAGACCAGAGAAAGTCCTCAGGCAGAGAGGTGCTGGTTCTTTGAGGCCTGAAACCATTTGAGATACAGGAATTATCTATCAAAGATGTAGGTGCCTGGGATAAACTATGAGAATCAGGTGGGGTGTTGACAGTGGCTATGACAATAGGTAGATATGCAGAGCAGTGAGTGATCCCCTCAGGGAACTCCAAGCTAGACCCGAGGATGGAGGAGGTGAGAAAAGAGAAAGCATTTTAGAGATTCCAGAAGGCTTTGCTTAATGCATTAAGGAGTCTGGACTCTCTCCTAGAAGTATTTGGGAGCCATGGGAGGAATTGGAGGGAGAGGGAGTGGTAGGGTCAGATCAGTGATTTACACAGACCACTCTGCTGCCTTCTGGGAAACAGATTGTAGCCGGAAAGACTGTAGCCACAGGACCAGCGTGGGAGGGAGAAGGAGAATGTTTGAAGAATTAAATCCAGAGAGGATGAAACGCTTCCCCAATCATCCACTCCCTGTACCTGAATGAAGACGTTTCTAGCCCCTCCCTCCTGGTTCCCATACCCCCAACTTGGCCCCACCCTTCTGTGGTCACAGCCCACCTCAGCAGCCCTAAGCTGACTCTGGGTCCACCAAGCAGCAGCCTTCCTTGCGCCAGCCCACTTGTGATGCCGTTTTTACACCTGGGGCCCTGCCTCAGTTTCCCTGACCAGACTCCAGATCCTAAGTAGTACAAGAGCCCATCACTGACCCCTATCTCCAAGCCTGGTCCTAATGCCTGGTCAAGCTCTTACCACACTTGCTGTCCAAGGAGCTGGGTCCTTCCAGAAATAGGAATCAGGTCCTTCCTCATTTGCATCCATACCCCTGGGTTTGCTGTGCCCCTCGCCTTCAGCTGAGGGGGCATTTTGATGTCTGCATTTCAGGCTAAGGTGCAGGCCCTTGGCTTGTGTTGTCTCCCCTCACAGCTCCTCAAATGGGGCAGGGGGAAGGAGGGCATTACCCAAATGAGGACTCAAGGTGCCAAGAGGAGAGGTGAGCTGGTCACAAGTGTAGGTGAGGTTCCAACTCAGTTGTAGGTACTTCTACTGCCCCAAATCAGGAGTGTAGTAAGCTCCCACTTACTAGAATGCCTCTAGGCAAGGAACTCCACTGCAAAGAGCATGGACTCTTTCTTGGGGTCACCAGCATTAATGATCTGAGCCCCTCCCAAGTGCCAGATGCTGTGACTCCTTAGAAAGCTGAAGCTCCCACTTTTGTCCCTTTTCACACGCAGTCACAAAGCACCATGTGCTTTGTGTGTGGCCAGCAAATGTTGTAAGAGGGAGAACTGGCCTGGCAAAGGCAGATTTAGGGGGCTGACCTGACCAATGATGCCACACTAGCTGGGAGCCCCCCTCCTGCCTCGATCCAACCCCAGCCTTGATAGTCAGATCAGGTTCCCCGCACCTGCCCAGGGCCCCACCACCCTCCTCCCCTCCCTGACGGCTCTTGCAGACAGACATGATCCCAGCACCTCCCTGTGTGTCCCGAGAACCCCTCTCTTGGCTGGGGAAAGCAGCCTTGTCATGCCTTTTCTTTCTTACCATAAAAGTCCTGCCTTTATTTTTATTCTTTAATAAGGTTACAGCAGGACTGGGGGAGGCAGATTTTGGCCTCAGGCTACATCTGCCCTTCATTTAAAACACCCCAACTCCCACAAGGCTGGAAAACAAGTCTCTGAGCTTCTCTTTTATAGTCTTCGTTAGATCCAAATCCAGAGTTATTTTTGCCAACAGATTGTATCAGCCTGGAGCCCAATCGCCTCCAGAAACAGACCCTCTTGCTTAAAAAGCAACACTTACCCACTGCACCCAAACCACCCCATCTCCTGCCCATCCCAGGCCACCCAGGAGCAGCCCCAACTTGCACACACCACTTAAGAAACCTTTTCTCTCATCCTGGAAGTTTCGGGATTCCTGCACTGCTCCGAAACCCTGCATTGTCCACATTTTCTTAATTCTCACAAAGGCATGCAGTTTCAGATTAGAAAAGTTTTTATTTTCTACTACAACTATATGGAAAGGGAGTTCACTGGTTTTGATTACACTGGGTCATTTGACAAAGAGTGTTTGGACAAAGGCAATGCATGTTTGTGGGGAAAACCCTGTCATTTATAGCAGAATGAGAGAGAATGTAAGATAGGACCTTGACTCAACCATGCAGAGGGAGCGCGTCCTCCCCTCTCACCATGCCACTGCACCTTGATGATCTTCTGCTAGATTAATTTTACTGGGCTGGGCCCAGACTCCAGGGCCAGATTTGCCTGCCTGAGAGGCAAAGCTAAAAACAGCTCCAGCCTCCAAGAGGGGCCAGCTGATGTCTAATTGCTCAGCTCTCTCCTGTCCTCCCCGCAAGGAAATTAAAGGCTCACTTTGATTTGGAGAGGAGGAAAAAAGAAGGCTGTTTGCAGGTGTTGAGACAAAGTCGTCCAGGCAACCGCGAGGAATATGCCTCTCCACATATCACTAACACAGGTGCACCTCCCTTTTCCATGGGGCACACACAGCCAGCACAGAAGGAGTTTGTGGGCACAGTGAGGAGTGTTGCTTGTTTCTGGAGCCCAGAAGCAGACTGGGGTGTTATTAATCCATCCGCATGCCCGGGTCACATAGGAGCCCTGGTCATGGCTGTGAGATTTCTTGTTATGAAAGCAAGTTAGGTTGGCTAATGGAGTTCCCTAAACCCTTTGTATATTTTATTTGGGCCAGGATGGGAGGAGTAAGCATTAATCATGCACATTCATTCATCTCTGTGTTCCTTCAGCCTATATTTATTATTAATAATAATAGCTACCATTTAGTGGGCTTCCACTGTGTACCAGGTGCTGTGCTAAGCACTTTACAGTATCTGATTCAAGCCTCACAGCTTCCCAGTAAAACAGATATTATTATCCTCATTTTACTGATAATGAAGAGGCTCAGGAAGGTACAGTGACCTGCTCCAAAGCTCATGGCCTTTAAGAGCAGGGATTCAAAACCAGACCTGTCTTGACCCCAAAGTCTAAGGTGTTAAACTCGAGGGTCTCCTGCCTCCCTTTGTGGGTCTCTATGCCTGCCCTTGGGCTGGGTGCTAGCATTAATGTTTAATGAAGGAAGTGTTTCTGGAATTACACATTACAGGGCCTACTAGGTCTCTGGACGTAATAGGGTTCATCCCAAAACATGCACAGTAAGAACAGGCTACAGCCTGGCCTGCAGCCCAGCTGGTGATTCTCTGCCCAGCCACTCACTGGGTCATCATGTCTGCACAGGCTGGATGAGGGGACGTTAGCGCTGCCTTCCTGGAGCCCAAGGTCCAGCAGTTGAACAGATAAGAACCCTTCGTGATTGTGAAATGGGAGAGTTCCCTGGCTCCCCCCTCGCAGGATGTGCAACAAGGGTGTGGCTCTCTGTTCAGCCACTGCGAGCTCAAACCCCTTACGAGATGGGGAGCGTGCAGACCAGCAGGTGCGGGAGCTGGGATGAGCGCTTTGGGCTCCGGCCCCACAGTAGTGTCTAGGGGTGGGTGTCTGTGACTCCTGAAGCCCAAGTGGGCATATCGCAGTGCACTCTTTTAGCTTTGCTCTCCACAGATGGTTTAATGTTAACCCACTCAGTGCCCCCTTGGTCCCTGGGTCCTTGTCTGGCATCCAGGAAGAATCAGGTCACACATGGACTTGAAGGATGAATGCCGGGGTTTTATTGAGTGGTGGAGGTAGCTCTCAGTGGATGAATGGGGAGCTGGAAGGGGGATGGAGTAGGAAGATGATCTTCCCCTCGAGTTTGGCCTTCCGGTGGCCAATCTCCTCTCTGATCATCCCCAGCCAAACTCCTCTCGGTGTTCAGACTCTCATATTCTTCTCTCTTTCTCTGCCATGCCATTCTGCCATTTGTTTGCTCATCTCCTTCTGGAGTCTGGGGCTTGGGGTTTATATGGTACAGGATGGGAGGCATGGCCAGCCAAAAGGCAACTTTTTGAGCACAGTAACAGGAATGCCTGTTCTCACTTAGGGCCACAGATTTCCAGGCTTGAGGGTGGGGTCCTTGCCTGGGAACCACCTCTTCTTCTTAGTATTTTCCTGTCTCCTGTCTCTATCAAAAGGGTTGATGAAGGGGAGCCAAGGAGAGGGGAAAGCTTTCTCATGGAAACAACATCCGAGCTGGAGCATGTGGGTCCCTGAAATCACATAGCAGACCACAAGAGGGAAGGACACCCTTAGTAGAAGGAGGAGCTTATACACAGGATGGCACAGGGCACCCCAGAAGGGCAGGTTCCTACAGCAGAGGGTGTGAGAGCTCATGGGGCGGAAGCAGGAGGCAACAATGGGAAGGAAGTTTGGTGCAAGCATCAGCCTAGACGGGGCGTCCTATCATATGGGCAGTCAGAGGGATAGTAGCCAGGCCCCAGGCCCTGTTCAGCCCCACCCCTGCCAGGGCTCCACATCCAGGGAAGATGTGGATTCAGAAAAGGGCAATTGCACTAAGCGGCATGGCCCACACCTCGGGAGTCAGGTCCTGATTCAAACCTCACCCCAGGAAAGACATTTTCAGAAACATTAGGAGCACCAACTTTAAAACTTCCCCAGTCCCTTCCCACAAAGTCCGTCTGCCTCCCAACCCAACCCTGTGACTGCCCTCTTCTGGAGAGAAGGCTGAGAGGAGGGGAGGGAAATTGTCGGAAATCTTATCAAGGGAGAAAACCTTGCCCTTGATTCTGCCAGTTCTTATCGCATCCTCTGACGTTCCAAGCAGGCCACAGCCAGACTCTTTGGTGCCTGCAACAAACCTCAAGAATCCTGAATTCTGGATGCAACTCACATGTAAAGTCAAACAGGCCTGCCTTGCCGGTTAGCCTCAGCCTTAACCTTAACGTCATCTAAATCTCAGCTCCTGGGCTCATGACTCCAAGGCCTGAGACCGGCTGTCTTAGGGAGCCTCTAAGCCTGTAATCTCAGCATTTTGGGAGGCCAAGGCAGGCAGATTGCTTGAGATCGGGAGTTTGAGACTAGCCTGGCCAACATGGTGAAACCTCATCTCCACTGAAAATACAAAAATTACCCATGCGTGGTGGCACACACCTGTAATCCCAGCTACTCAGGAAGCTGAGACAGGAGAATCGCTTGAACCTGGGAGGCAGAGGTTGCAGTGAGCCAAGATCGTGCCACTGCTCTCCAGCCTGGGCAGCAGAGTGAGACTCTGTCTCAAAAAATAATAATAATAATAAATTTAAAAGATTAGCCGGGAAGGAAGATCCCACCCACCCTAAGATGATATCAGCTCCTGCAGAGGTAAAATAAGTTAGAGAAGAATCTGGAAGTTTTCTGCCTCCTCCAAGTTCTTTTTAACATTCTACCTGCTTGGGAATGCTGTATTCCAGCCACGGATCTCTGTTTGAGAAAGTTTACCTCACTGGCATCGTGCCCTTACAAGCTCCAGGACCCACTTTCACTCTAGACCCTGAAGACAAGCCCTATACATGAGATGAGGGAGATGGACGATTCATCAGGCCTGAAAGGCAAGGGACCCGCTGCAGAGGGCAGGTTACAGAGGCTCCATTACAGGGAAATCCTCAGAGGAGGAAAAGGAGGCTGGCAGGGAGGCTCCAAGTCTGTCATCACAGTCAGCCCTGGTGACTACGGCAGAAAAGCAGTCAGGACTCATCCAGTCTGTCCTCTGTGCACATGCTAAGCCCTCTGCCAGGCATCCTCTCCCCTACCCCACATCTCTACTTGGAAATCTCTTCCTTTAAGGTGCCGCTTCAGGGTCAGCTCCTCCCAGAGGCCCTCCTAACTCCCCCAGGGCCAGTTATCTGTCCCTTCCTCTCCACTCACATGCCACATGTGGCATGTGAATTCCTCTGCAGAATTCAAAGTGGGTTATCATCATGGGATTAGAGTCCTCCAGTCTAGACCGTAGACTCCTTCCAAACAGAGTCCAAAACTTACTCATCACTGCATCCTGGGGACTTGAGATAAAGCCTTACCCTTAGTAGGTCCTCAACAAATATTTTTTGGAGGGGAAAGAAAAGTAGGAAGGAAGGGAGGGAAAGAGAGAGGTGGGGAAAGAAGGAAGAAAGAAAGAGAAAAAGAAAGAAAGAGAGGGAAAGAAAGAAAGAAGGAAGGAAGGGAGGAAGGAAGGAAGGAAGGAAGGAAAGAAAGAAAGAAAAGAAAGAAAGAAAGAAAAGGAAAGAAGGGGAGGAAGAGGAAGAAGGAGAAGAAGAAGAAGAAGAAGAGGAGGAGGAGAGGGAGGAAGGGAGAGAAGGAAGGAAGGGGGGGAAGGAGAGAGGGAGGAAGGAAGATGTATAGATACATTCAAATAATGAATGCCTATAATTTAAAGAAGCATATGAGCTTGTGGATAAGAAGGGAGATGACTCCTGCATCTTTCACCTCCTGATCAGTATTCCAGTGGGAATGAGTATCCTCATCACTGCTGACATGACTCTTCAGCATCTAGGAGATGTCCAAGGCTCCCCCAGTGCCTGCCTCCCAAGAGGAGGGGCACCGGTAAAGGCAGAGGTCTACATGGTGTGGGTAAAGGCCTGAAGCCTGGCTCTAAGGAGGAAATTGGAACAATGGTTGCATGATGTCAAAAGTCTCTGTCTCTACTGTAACTTTCACCCAGGCTAGTTCCCCTCCCATCACCATAGCAACCCACATCCTCAACAAGGTTCAGGGTTCAGCAAGAGCCATGGGAGGAGAGAGAGCGCGTCCTTGTGGCCTTCACACCATGCTGGTGTTCCCAGCTGGTGGCCTGGTTTTCTTCTGTTGGTTCTTAGCACCTTGGGTCACATAGTGCCCATTCATAAACTAAAAGTCCCCACTGCTTGATATCCCCAGATATCTGTGAAGGGTGCCTTTTACTGGGCAGGGTAAGCTGCTCAGAGCTCTCTGAATGAATAACTACTAGGAATCTGGAGTAAAGTCGTTCTAATGAACTCTTCTCCATCCTCCCTCTCCCAAAAGGAAAGGCCTCACCTCTCTGTGAAAATGCACTTCCTGTTGTATTAAGAAGCAAGGCCTGACCGCACTCCTATGCTCTGTTAGTTGGCATGTTCCCTAAGTTGGCATGTAGGGTCTACATAATTTGAGTATATTTCTGGTTTGTTGAATCTGGATATGGAGAAATTCCATCCCCCACAAAAAAAAAAAAAACTTCCCTAAGATTTTGGGTAAAGCCTAGATGCTTTCGAGGGGTCCCTGAAATGTCAACTTTCTACCATAAGGAAATAGGAGGAGGCCTGGATCAGAAAACTGTGGGTCTGTCATGGTGACAAACAGTTTCCATCCTGCAAACAATCTGGATTGCCCTGGTGATGGGCAGGGCCAAAACAGGGCCAGGACTATGAAATATTGCAATGAGTGGAGGGTTTCCTTGGATAAACTTTATCGAGACATCCACAATAGATCTCTCACACTGATGCAAACATCCTGAGGCCAACCTTTCTCCTAACATTATGCCCCATCACAAACCTCTTTCTTCTGTGTCTAACTCAAGGGCTCCAGAAAGACATTGTCTACCTATAAAAGGCTCGGGCACAAGTGGAAGATACACAATGGTTCTATTTGATCAGCATCAGAAAATAAGGCAAATACCAAAATTCCAGAAGTCCTCATAAATCTGGCTGCAAAGTTTCTAAGACAATTTGGGATTCAGGCAATGACTACAGGAAATGATGGCTTCTCCCTATCAAGGAAGCAGGTCAGTGCCTGCCCTGGGAACAAAGGGAGGGGAGGTAGGGCACTGGGTCCTGCAATGGCTCTGGTGTCAGAACCCCACCCTTGAGCAGAGGCTGGGCGGGGGTCTCCGTATTTCTGTCTGGGTGAGCATCAGCAGGCCAGTGCTCCCTCAGCATCTGTGGTCCACTCAGGGATTTGGGTCCAGGTCTCCCCTTTCATCAGAAACAGAGCTAAATGTTACTTCTTCATCGGCTTCTGTGATACTGAAGTCACATGGCTCAGGATTCAGGACCTTGGGGTGGACCCCTAGGGAAAGTGGGCTGGCTTCATTCTCTTAGGTCAATGGTTTTCCAACTGTGCTCCAGAGATTCCCTAAAGTACCCCCCAACCCTGCCAGACAAGCTGAAGGAAGGCAGAGCTGACAACCCTCATCTCAGCCTTGGACCCATTCCCTTCACTTTTCTGCATTTTACACATTGAACGTGTCCACAGGAGATTTTGTTTCAAAACTGGTTTCCATTACCTTAAAAATAGTTGGAAATCATTTCAGATTTTCAAAGTAAAACAGTAAGCCATTCTGGCTCTTCTGGCTCTTGGGCATTAGGGCTTTATAAGTGAATTTCCACTTTTACTTTTTTTTTTTTTTTTTAAGTGTTGAAGGCTGGGCCATTAGGCCATCTCTGCAGACTGTTGCAAACCCAGTACTGGGCTCTGCAGGCTGTTTTATGGTCACGTGGTTATTTGTGTGCCGAACACCAGGGCTTGGCAATAATGGCTTGGCTCTCCCGAGGTGCAGAGGACTTGCAAACTGGGAGACATTTCTAATACTGTGTGTGTGTGCATGTGTGTGTAGGTATGCAAACATATACAGTGGTGTCTGTATGAAGTCAGTACTTTAATACTTTTTTTGAATTCCCCCCACTGCTGCATGTTTCTAGGCTGTTCCCTGAGTTCCAGCCCTGTACATTCCAGGAACTTGCTTTCACAATTCACAGAGCCAATTCTGGTTTGGGGAAAAAATGGGAAGGGTCCCTGATCCATTGTCCTTGAAGGCCCCCAAGGCAGAACTAGGGCCACCTAGAAAGTTAAGGAGAGATCAAACACGTCTCAGTGGAAGAAAGATCCTCATGGCAATAAGAGCTGTTAGGGAAACAAGGGCATGCACAGTTCATTTGCAGAGATAAGATTTGACTATTCCTGGCTCCTGATCCAGCGCCCCATTCCATCTTCTATGCCTGACCAAAAGCGGTGACAGGCCTCAGGCCATGCTGCTACCAGAGTTTGGTGAAGGGAAGCAACAATGGGTTTAAGGAGCCCCAAGTCTTTGAGGTGAGGTCTGCCTCTCTAGTTCAGGCACCTATGAACAAGACTCCCCCAGGAGACAGAGGAACTGAAGAAGGAAGTCTACCAGCAATGAGATGCCAGATCAAGATGGGTCCCCGTATTTCACTGTCTTGATACCTAATGTTGAAGAAACATATCAGCAAAGAGCACCGTGCCCTGGCTCCTCACTCAGCCTTCAGCCCAATACAGAGGCAGCCGCTGGCTCTCCAAGAGCACCAACCTTCAAAGGAAAATCCTATGAGGGAGAGGAGGTGTGAATTTTGGCAGCACTACTGTTGTATGTGTATGTGTCTGTGTTTTCCAAAACACATGGGGTAAACAAGCCAGTGTAAAAATAGACTGCAGCAAAGGAACGGGAGTGGAGCTGCCTCCTGCAGGTGTGAGTGACTGTGCTGCTGATTACTTCTTGGAAAGCAGTCTCCAGGAGGGACTGATCAGACAGAGGAGTGGGGCCAAGGAGGATGCAAAACGGAACTGGCTGCACCCTTGATCACCAAATAAACCTGTCTGTCCCCCAACCTGGGGCTTAACATCAGACAGCACAGCTTGGATTTCATAATTCCCCAGTGCAGACCACAGTCTCCTTTTCCTCCTGTGCTGGGAGGGGCAGGCCCCACAGGCCTTTTTGATTTCTGGTCTAGAGGCCCTTTGTTAAATCAGATACTACAGAACAAGCAGTGGAATGCGGCATCTTTCCCAAACAGAGGTCCTGAGGGGTTACTACCTGGATCAGGGTCAGTGTCACCTCAATCCTGGGAGAAACCATTGGGCAAAATGGACTCCAAGCAAGTACGCTCTCCTTCATTAACCAAGCCAGCAAACCCTCGTGGAAAGGAAGTAAATGGAGCCATCCACCCATACATTAAATGTTTGCCAAGGGTCTGCCACACTATGCATCTGTGCTAGGCCTGGGGCATATAGTGGGACCAAGACACCCAGCCCTTGCCCTTGTGGAGGAGAGGGAGGATACTAGATCATTGGGTGTTGGCTCCATTATCTAGATTGATGCTCTAAAGAAGAAACACCCAGGCCGGGCACGGTGGCTCACACCTGTAATCCCAGCACTCTGGGAGGCTGAGGTGGGTGGATCACAAGGTCAAGAGATCGAGACCATCCTGGCCAACATGGTGAAATCCTGTCTCTACTAAAAATACAAAAATTAGCTGGGCGTGGTGGTATGCTCCTGAAGTCCCAGCTACTCAGAAGGCTGAGGCTAGAGAATTGCTTGAACCTGGGAGGCAGATGTTGCAGTGAGCCAAGATCATGCCACTGCACTCCAGCTTGGCGACAGAGCGAGATTCCATCTCAAAAAAAAAAGAAGAAGAAGAAACACCCTTGGGTGGGGAAGAAGTTGGGCTTTCTCATGGACATCCTGAGCCTGATGGCTAGAAAGCCATCAAAGCAGACTGGTCAATGAGGCTTTGGATTTTGGAGTCTAGAGCAGAGCAAAACATTGAACCAGAAAGGACTGTGGGAGCCAGGAGCCTAGGTGGTGGAGCTCATATGGAGCAGATGAGCGTCCCCTGTGAGCAGTGTGGAGAATGAACCAGAGAAACACCAACACTGGTGGGATAAAAAGGTGAAAAAAGCCGGGCACGGTGTCTCACGCTTGTAATCCCAGCACTTTGGGAGGCCGAGGTGGGCGAATCACCTGAGGTCGGGACTTGAAGACCAGCCTGACCAACAAGGAGAAACCCCGTCTCTACTAAAATACAAAATTAGCCAGGCATGGTGGCGCATGCCTGTAATCCCAGCTACTCAGGAGGCTGAGGCAGGAGAATCGCTTGAACCCAGGAGGTGGAGGTTGCGGTGAGCCAAGATCACGCCATTGCACTCCAGCCTGAGCAACAGAGTTAGACTCTGTCTAAAATAATAATAATAATAATAATAATAATAAATTTTTTAAAAGGGAAAAATAATAATGAGTCTGAGGAGTGTCCAAAGAGCCAGAAGGAAACCAGAGGGGGCTCTGACCAGGAGGGAAGGCTCATCTGAGTCCATTGGTGCCAGGAGGTCAAGTGAGATAAACACTGGAGATCTTAATAAGGAAAATGCTCATGTCACCTTAAGGATAACAGCGAACTTCTAGTGGACTGAGGGTGAGCAGGTGAGGCCAGTGCAAGATGCAAAGGCAGTGAGAGGCAACAGGTTGTAGCTAGAAGAAGGAGGAGTGGGGTTGAGAAAGCTATATTTGGTTTTGAGAGCGGCAGCGCAGCAGGAGGCAGCCAAATGCCTAGGCAGATAGGGGTGGGTCCCGAGTGAAGCCCCACCTCCAAGCCGAAGACAGTTTAAAGCCTGAAAGCCAAGCTACAAGTTAAATCCTTAGACTGGATTGAGGACTTGTCTTCCTGTTTGGCACGTTTTCCTCAGATTGGTCCCCATCCTTCACCTGTTTTACACATACCTACTCTTTCCTAATTGTGTCTTCTACACTGCTATGCCCGCCTTTGAGTGGTGTCTTCGCTTTAACCTTTTTTGCATACTCACAAACCAATCAGCACGCACTCCCCATTCTGAGTCCATAAAAGGCCCTGGACCCAGCCACATGAGGAACTTTACCACCTTTGGATAGGGGGACCAACCCTGCGTCCCCCTTCTGCTGAAAGCCGTTTTCATTGCTCAATAAAATTCTTCTCCACCCTCCTCATCCTTGAATGTCCAGTGTATCCTTATTCTTCTTGGGTGAAGTGCAAGAGCTCAGGAACTGCCAAACATGGGTACAAGCTATAACACAGGTGAGCCACGCCAGCATCGCCAAGTGAGGCCTGGGTGGGTCATCGCCAGCCAGGAATCCCAGCTTGCAAAGAGACTAAGAAGAAAAATCCTATGTCAATTTCTTTGGAATGGAAAGACTGGGCACAGCTCAAGGCTGTTGGGAGTCAGGGGATAAGCTAAGAAGAGGGAAGGGTCAAGAAAGGAATAGGCTGCCAAGCCCAGGCAGGCAGGAATGTGGCAGTGAGCCCAAGTAGACTTGTCCTTGGCAGGCCATTCGTCCCATATTGGAAAGGGGGAAAGAGGAGATTGCTCGGGAAGCCTCCTGGGTCTGTAGGGCATTCTCATTTGATACCAGGAGGCAATTCTCACAAAGACCTAGAACAGATGAGGAAATAGAGACTGTAAGAGGCTAGACGACCTGGCTGCCTTCACAGAGCCAGTGAGCAGCCACACCAAAATTCAAACCCAGATCTACCTGACTCCAAAATCTATGCTCTTAATACCACATGCCTAGTAAGAAGAATAAAAGTAGCTTATTTCCCCTCTGGATCCTTCTCTTTAAGTTTCCTTTTCAAAGTTATCTCTTGCTGGGGGAGAAGAGGGAGGCCGGCTGTGTCACTCTACTCTGGCTCCGAGGAGGGTATTAGCCTGGGGAATTAGTGCAGCTTTTACCACTTCCTTATGACAGGCCTGCCATCTGCGGGGCCTTCCTCTTCAAAGGATAAAACAATTCAAAAACAGGAGACTTGCAGGGGAGAGCAATGAATCTCCAGGGCCCTGCTAATTAAAAAGCCCGCATTACATTACTTCCTCAAGGACTCATCTTCTAATTTTTAGGATTATGGTACATTGATTAATTTATACAAGTTTTTAATCCCTCTGTGCTTAATGAAGTCCAGGAACATTGGAACAGGAGCATAAATGAGCTTCATATTATTTTATTAGAGAGAATTATGGCCCAACCTGTCGTGAAGAAGTTTGTGAGGGTGGGGAGGCAGCCCTCAAGCTATTAACCCATTGCTTTCCAAATGCCAGCAGGGACATTCTTTTGGGGCAGACACAGAGGGAACTCATCTTTCTAAGCCACTCTTCTGTAGTTGCTGGTTGCCTGGAAGGAAAGTGTCGTCTTTCTTATGGGATGCAGTGCCCGTCCCCACCCTGGCACAGCCACCCTCCTGTACCTGCTGCCCCACCTACCCCACTCCCAGTGCCCATTTCCACCAGGCTGCCCCCACACCTGTCCCTGCTGTCCTCTGTGCCCCCTGATGACAATGCACTGACGCAGGCTCATCCTTTGATTCCGGCTCAAGCACCGTCTCCTCCGGGAGCCTCCCTGGACCACTTCTCTGCCAGGCAAAATTCATCTCTCCTTCTTTTGTAGCAGAAGGCGCTAGATCATCCAGGATCCCAGATTTTTCAAAATCGGGGAAGTTGGGCTAAAAGACCCTCCGACATCTACGTCTCAATCTTGGCAGCTCCCACCCCAAGGGAATTTAATTACTTACCTTGATATGACACAAAGACCAAAACACTTCATGATGAAGTGATGGAGGAAGGAGGTGAGCAGATTGGGGGAGACCTCCTCCCCAGTGACCATCACCCAGGCTGTGCAAAAGGCCTAAACTGGGACCCAGGTGACTTGGGCTCCATCCCAGGCTCTGCCTCTAAGTCTCTGTGCAGCCCTGGATGCGTTCTCTTCTCTAGATCTCAATTTCCTCAGCTGAGAACTCAGGCAGAGGACCTCACTCTGGCTCCTAGGAATTCTATTAGAGAATTCCAGGACTTCCTACAAATCATCAGGCTCTGGCCCAGGGCTCCAGGATTTAGGTGCCACACCATTTGGAAGCTAGAACTGGAGCTGCAGGTAAGAAACCAATGGAGAAGGCTGCCAGTTTTCCTGAGTCTGGAAGATTCCAGGACTAAGGAATCCTTCACCCCAGAGGGCTGGCCCAGCTCCGGTTCCTAAGGAAGCAGGTCTCAAAAGCTGAGTTCTATTTTGATTTTTGCCTCCTCCATCAACTTATCCTTGCTAAAAAAAATTCATAGCTCTCTCTCTGTCTCTCTGTCTTCATCTGCTTGGGCCGTCATAACCAAATAGTACAGATGGGATGGCTTAAACAACAGAAATTTATTTTCCCACAGTTCTGGAGGCTTGAAGTCCAAGACCAGGGTGCCAGTATGTCTGCTTTCTAGTGGGGACCCTCTTCCTGGAGTATAGACCACCTTCTCACTGTATCCTCATGTGGGGAAAAAGACCAAGCAAACTCTCTTGTGCCTCTTCTTAGAACGGCAATAATCCTACCATGAAGACCCCACCCTCATGGCCTCATCTAAACCTAATTACCTCCAAAGGCCCTGTCTCCAAATACCATCACACTGGCGATGAGGGCTTCAACATATGAACTGGATTGCTGTGAACACAATTCAGTTCACAGCACTCTCTCCTCCCTATAGAATAAAAGGAATACCCATTAAAAAAAACAGCTTCAAAACAAGGTAAAGGGAATTTTCTGGAGCTCTCGGTGCCACTAAAGTCACAACCCAAGAGTAGCTCACTATTCATAAGGGAGAATGAGAGTAAGGATGGTGCTCTGGCCTCTCTCAACCCTTCTCCAAGCAAGGTTTGTGGCTCCCATGAGAGAGCTTCCTTCAAATAATTTTTTCCAAGGGAACAGATTGGTGCCTAAAATTGATCTGTCATGGGATAGGAAGAAAAGGGATTTTGTGCTTAAGAAAGAATCTAAATCCTAGCCTATGATTCAGCATCATATAATTCAGTGCTTTTGTTTTGCAGGTGAGGAAACTGAGGCCCAGAGAGAGAGAGAGGAGAAGCTGTGCTAAAGGAATCAACAGGGGTTCCTAACACCCAGGCCCCAAGCCCAACCCCGAATTCCTGATGCCTTCCCTTCAGAAAATGCTCTAAATGGGGGCCATGAAAGAAATCTGGCCTCCAACCATGGCATCCTGTGTGAAGCACTGAGTCCAAAGTGACGCAGCAAGTGCCCAGCAAAAGGCTGGAGGGAGCATTTGCCCTGATGACTTTCTTTTTTTTGAGACAGAGTCTTGCTCTGTCACCAGGCTGAAGTGCAGTGGTGTAATCTCGGCCCACTGCAACCTCCGCCTCCCAAGTTTAAGTGATTCTCCTGCCTCAGCCTCCCAAGTAGTTGGGACTGCAGGTGTGCGCCACCCATGCCCAGATAATTTTTATATTTTTAGTAGAGATGGGGTTTCACCGTGTTGGCCAGGATGGTCTTGATCTCTTGACCTCATGATTGGCTCACCTCGACCTCCCAAACTGCTGGGATTACAAGCATGAGCCACCGCACCCAGCCAGATGACCAGCTTTCAATTGGGGGTTCAAAACCCCATGCCCCAGGGCTCACAAACACATCTGAGGGTTTTCAGTCATTATGGTGATAAAACTGTCTGCTTCGATTTTATTCTTTAAAAAACAATAAACACAATTATCAATGGAAATGTTTTCTGTTTAAAGCGGAATGTTTCGAGAGCCTTCCAGGGCTGGCCAAGGGCATCTGTGAAGGGTTCAGCAGAGGTCAGCTGGCAGTGGGTCTGAAACATCAGGTTTTTCCCCATAGGATGTGGGAATACATGAGGAACACAAAAGTGATGCCAATTCACCCCCAGACCATCTCCACCAGGATTAGAAATTGCATCCATCTGAACAAAATGCTAAAGGAACTCATCAAGCTGTCTCCACAACTTCAAAAGTCATTTTCTAAAGAGAAAATAGAGTAACTATCTGTCCAATTGACATTGTATTTATTAAAAATAAAGACCAGCTGCAGCCTGTGGGATGTTATTAGTGAAGACAGGCTTGCAAAAGTAGCCTGAAACCCTCTCTCATGTCATTTAGAAACAAAATGCTAAATTTACTTAAAAGAACAGTTTTAATTGTAAGCAAAATTTTAGGCATCTCAAATGTCAGAGCATAAAAACAACGTGTACCTATTTCTGAAGCTGTAATGTAAGGTCAAATTTTGGGTCACATGAAGTATATATTTGATCCCAAACCCAAACATGGTGGCAAATGTCAATTTTTAATCTATTTGCCAGCAAATCATGCTTTTTCATACTTCATGAAGTGTCACTGGTCATTTCTTAACTGACAAAAGGTCAAAATTTGCCTTTTCTATATTATGAATATGATTTATAATTTTATTTTAAAGGGTTTTAAAAACTCAGGTTTTAATAATACATCATGTAATACCATTTCTTGCCTAAAAGTCACATTTTTAGCCTTTATCACATGAAAACTTTTTTTAAAGACATTTGAAAATTCAAAAAGGGTATTTTTTTTGAGACAATTTCTTACTATGAAGGAAAATCTTCAAGCCAAAAAATGTTGGGAAGTGTAGGTCCAGATGAATTTATTTCCAGTCATCTCCTAGTGAAATGACAAAGTCAGTGCTCAAACTGCCTCAAAGTTCTCCACGACCCAGGATGCACAGGCCTGGATTGCAGATAGCAGATGACAGTGAAGTCATCTGTTGTCCATTGTGTGAGGTCTGCCCAGGGAGTGCAAAAGGCCTCAATGTGAGAAAAAGGTCCTTCCCACAGAAGAACTAAGGGCAACACCTAGGGAGTCTGAGCCCCAGCACTCTGGCTGGAGACTTCAACCTTTGGGTACGTTTGTCTATGACTTCACTACATCTCCAGAACACTCACCTGCCTGGCTGTTAGATGCCCACACTGGTGGTGGCTTAACACCACCAAAAACTCAGACTTGACTACAACACATCTGTGAATCTTTCCTAGGGAAATGATCAAATGCAGACAAAGCCTTAACTGCAAATATAGACCTTGCAGGGATTTGATAATAAAAAATATCAAATACCTACATATCCAAAACCAGGGGATTAAGACCAGCCCAACTTACTCATAGAACAAAGGTTTATAATTTTTGGATAAACATAGAAATTGACCCTCCTGATCTTAAAGCTTCAAACTTGCATTTGTCTTATCTGAGTTCCTTTCTCAGAAAACTGATCTTCAGGCATCCCAGATAGTATCAAGGAATTGAAACTTACCAGATCACCACATATGGACAAAGAGGGACCAGACCCCTCATTCAATATGATTGTTTCCTGACCCTAACCTAATTCCTGTTTTCCTTCATGTAGTTACATTTCTTCACTGCTATATAAACCCCTAATTTTAGTCAGTTGGGGAGACAGATTTGAGACTTATCTCCCATCCTCCTGGTTGGCATCACCCAAATAAAAAGCATTCTTTCCTGGCAATACTTGTCTCAGTGATTGGCTTTCTGTGCAGTGAGCAACAGAACCTAGACCAAACCCTGGCATTTCGGTAACAAGATCATTTAAGTACATTGTTGGTGCAGACAGTCAATGGAATAGAAAGAAGTTCACAAAGTATAAGCCATGTGCATGCCATTCACACAGTCAATTACAGAACTCAACAGCCTGTTGGGTTCAGCCAATTAGAAAACCCAACAGCCTGTTAACACCTTGTTCATAAATGTTTGTTTTATAAGGTAAAACACACAGGGCACGACGTTTCGAAAGGATGGCTTCAAAGTTCCATATTCAATTTGACATGGTAATTAAGAGCGCATACTGCCACTTACCATTGTGACTTTGGCAAGTTAAACTTTCAGCATTCAAGTCCCCTCATCTGTAGAATGAAGCTAATATAAGCAGCGTTGTTGTAAGAATTAAATGAGATTAAAATACATAAAATGGATAGGAAAAGTTTTGTTTTCTGCTGCTATGAATGCTTCCTTATGGCATTACCTGTATTATTATCCTGCCTTGACCTCTTTTATAAAGATAACTAGATTTCTTGCAGCCTATACTGCGAACAGGAGTTATCTCTGGTTGTGAGACTTAGGACAATTTTCAGTTTCTAGCCCGTGCTTTTCAGGAATTTTCTATATTTTTTACAATGAACACATTTACTACTATAAAGAAAAAAATTAATTTTAAATAAGAGAAAAAAAAGCAAGTTCCTCCCCAGAGAAAGCTCCTAGTCCCATCTGATCTCAGAGGGAGACCTAGTACCTAACTTAGCACTTTGGTTTCTCAATTCAAAGGACACTTAGTCAGGTGTTTTCCATGTTCTGGGAGCTGGGGTTACCTTCAGACAAAAGAAATACAGCACTGAGCCGTTATAATAAACAAATTTCCCTAGCATTTCCATAAGCAAAATAATTATGGTTTTTATTTTTAAACTGAGCAAGAAAAAGAGAAAAATTTTGATGAGATGTGTGTGTGTGTGCGTTTTTGTGTGCGTGTGTGTGTGTGTGTGTGTGTGTGTGTGTATAACATAAGCCAGACATTACTCCTTGCAGCAGCAATTAAGAATGAATAGTATCCTAAGGCCCTGTCAATGGGCTAAGCATGTTATTTTTAAGCTCCCCAAGAAATTGCACCCCTAATTTGTACCCTCATCAAAGCCTGCACTCCACTGCTGGAGACAGTTCAGGCTCTTGAGCACACCTGTAATCAGATTCCATATGTGAAGTGGAAGCGTGACAATCCCATCCATCTCTGCAAAAGAATACTTAAAAGAATCCCAGTAATCATGGGGGGCTGTAGCTGAGTGCTGTAGCTTTTAATTACCAGCATTTCGTTATGGAACCATAACCAGCTATTTCAATGTTCATTCTTCCTGGGCAAACAACTATCCTTATCACTGGGGTGGGGCTAAGTGGTGCCCATAAGCCAGAAATCTGGAGGCCTGGGTTCCAGTACAGCTCTGCCACTTGCTTGTGGACAAATAACTCACTTACGATCATCACAATAGCTAAGTTGTATTGACCCACATTATGCATAAGGCACTGTACTCAGTACTTGCCCAAATTTTCATTTAACCCTAATAACAATCCTATGAGGAAGATGCAATTATGCGAAAGGCCCATTTTGCAAATGAGAAAACTGAGGCATGGAAGAGTGGCAAATTTTGGCCAAGGTTGCCCAGGCAATTAGTAATGGAGTTGGACTCCTGGCTCCCTGGGTCTGTAAAAATAAATTCAAAATCCTGCTTTTTCTACAAGTAGTGAGGTCCTCATCCCCAGAAGCAATCAGAGACCAAGGCTCAGCTCTCAGAACAGCTATAGGAAAGATTCTTCCAACATGAAGTGGCCTCTAAAGGTTCCTCTGACACTGCGATTCTGTAATTCTAGATATACAGACCAATCATGAGGGCAGTGACTTCTGACAAAAGTGTAAACATTTAGAAGAGAGAAGAAAAGATCTCATTTACCATGGAGGAAATAAAGGAAAGAACTGTGATGGCAGCAGAAATGAGCAAACCCTCTCTGATGCAGAAAGCTCTGAAAGAAATATGATTAAATTTTGTGCTTCCTGCCACGCCCCCTTTCCTTCAATGGCCTTTTACAAGTACCAATTTCTGGAATCAATAGCAAAGGAATCCAAAGAGGGCAAATATTAAATGTAATTCAGTGGCATATTACAGTAATCTAAAAGGGAAAAAAGAACTAATCTTCTCTGTGCTTTGTTATTGGAGTGTGTATTTTTGAAGGAAATGTAAGCTGTACCCTCCTCTCTTCAGACACTTGGGGTTGGGAAAGGTTGCTGGGTTCTTTATGGGCGAGGTCTTCATGTTCACAAAGAGCAACATGAAGCAGAAACTATGACTCCTGATTTTCAGATGACGACATGGCCTTAGGACAAACCACTTGCCTGAAGTGCAAGGACTTGGATGTCCAGTCATCGCACTGTCTGCTCCATGGTGGTGCTGAGAGTGGCTGAGGAGTCAGGGGACAGCCTCTAGGGGTGCAGCTCCTTCACCTGAGAGAGGCTGGAGTCCACACCATTTCAGTCATCCTGGAATCTATCCTGGCTTCCCAAACTGCTACACCCAGCTGACACCCGTGTGAACAAATGGGAGAATGTGGTCCCAGGAAGTTATAACAGAAAACATTCACAGAAAGTTCCATCTGCTTCTTACCTCCTGATCTTCTCAGAGCAAAGGAGACAAAAAAAGAAGGATCATATGATGACGAGACTGTCTTGCCTAAGAACCCTGAGCTGGGTTTCATGAGTGTGGACAGGGAAAGGATTTAATGGACACATGGAGTTTGGACATTTCATTCCATAAAATGACATGGAAACCATCTCCTCTACAGGAGTCTCTTTTATTTTGTGTTATTTTTAAATACATTATGCAATATTTAAGATACACAAAAAACATAAGGAAATACTACAACAATCACTCACCTACCTACTCTACTGCTTAAGAAATCAAACCTGGCCAGGCATAGTGGTGTGTACCTGCAGTCCCAGCTACTCAGGAAGCTGAGACAGGAAGATTGCTTGAGCCCGGGAGTTCAAGGCGGCGGTGAGCTATGATCACGCCACTGCTTTCCAGCCTGAGTGACAGCCCTGCCTCAGGCAAGGCAAGGCAGAGAGAAAGGAAGGGGAAGGAAGGAAGGAAGGAAGGAGAGAGGAGAAGGAGGAAGGAGGAGGAAGGAGGAGGAAGGAGGAGGAAGGAAGTAAGGGAGAGAGAGAAAGGGAGGAAAGGAGGAAGAACATTTTAGAAATATAGTTGAAGTCCCCAGGTCCCCCTCCCCAGTTGTATTTTCAACCTTGCCTTCACCTCCAAGATGTAACTCCTATCCCTGAATTGAGTGTGTATCATCCTAATACATTTCTTTATATTTTACTTTATTTATACATTTATGCCTCAAGCAATATTTGGTAATTTTTTGCATGTTTTAAAAACTTTATGTAAATGGTATTGTCATAGACTGGGTGGCTTATAACAGAAATTTATTTCTCACAGTCCTGGAGCCTGGAAATCCAAAATCGGAATGCCAGCATGGTCGGGTTCTGGTGAGGTCCCTGTTCTGGGTTGCATACTACTGATTTCTATGTGTATCCTCACATGATAGGAAAACAGCAGAAAAGCATGCTCTCTCATGACCCTTAGAAGGGCACTAAGCCTATTCATAAGCACTCTACCCTCACGATCTCATCTATTCCTGATTACCTCCCAAAGGCCCCACCTCCTCATACCATCACGTGGCAGAGTGATATTTCAACATATAAACTTGAGAAAAATGAAAACATTCAGTCCATAACAAATATCATACATATAATTTCATCTGCAACTTATTTTTTCACTCAACTTCCTACTGGTGGGATTCGTCAATGTTGATATAAGTCACTCTAGTGGATTCATTCTCATTTCTGTAGAGTGGAAGTTGGCCCCTGGGCCAAATCCAACTGGCCACCTGTTTTTGTAAATAAAATTATTGGAACACATCCACACACATTCATTTAAGTATTTAGTCTATGGCTGTTTTCCTGCTACAATGGTGGAGTTGAGTGGCTGTGGCAGATTGTATGGCCTGCAAAGCCTAAAATCTTTATAATTATATTTACGGAAAAGGTTTGGCAACCCCTGCTCTAGAGTATTCCATTATGACTATTACTCAGCTAATTTATTCATTCTCCTATTGATGGGCATATAGGTTGTTTCAATTTGAGGCCATTACAAACTGTGGTCATGAACCTTCGTGCACATGTCTTTGAATTCATGTAACAGTTGCTCTAGGGTTTATATCTAAAGATGTTTATGCATGTTCAATTTTTCTGGAAATTTGAAAATGTTTCTCCCAATTGGTTTTTATTAATGTACCCTTACAACAGCAATGTAGGATAGCTCTGTAGTACCAAATTCTCAATTATATTTGATACTGTTGCTTTTTTTTTTTTTTTTTGCTAGTCTTGTGAGCATGAAATACAATCTTCTTATAGTTTTTATTTTCATTTTTCCTGATTACCCGTGAGTTTGAGCAGTATTTGTTTCTTAGCCATTTGTGTTCTTTCCTGTTCATATCTTTTGCCTACTTTTCTACGATGTTTGTCTTCTTCTAGTTGGTTTGTGGCTGATTTTTCTGTATTCTGGCCTGGATCCATTGTTGGCAATGTGATTCCAAGTTTCTCCTCCCAGTCTTATTGGTGCTTTACTTTCAATGATATCTTTTGGTAACAGGTTGAAAATAAATATTCATTAGTAAAATTATTGATCATTACTCCAATAAGGCAATGTGCCAGAGATACTGTGGACCCAGATCTTCTTTAGTACTAGGTATTTTTATACTTTTAATTTTTGCCAATTGAAGCTCTATAACAAGTCTTGGTGCCTGACAGAGTGAATCCCCACCTTATACTACTTCAAAAGTGCCCTCGATATTCTTAGCCCTTGGTTATTCCAGATCCAATTTAGAATAAGTCCATAAAGTTCCACACATACTTTGTTAAAATTTTTATTGGAATTGTATTGAGCTTATAAGCTAACTTAGTAAGGAGCAACATCTTTTCAATATTGAATCAACATATCCTTGAACATGGTATATCTATTTAGATTTGCTTCAAGTGTTATAATTTTCTTTCATAAAAGTCATACACAGCTTTTATTACATTTATCTGTAAGCACATTAGATTTTTGCTGCTATTGTAGTGTTTCAATATCTTGTGTACAGAATATAGCTTATTTTGTATATTGATATCCAACAAACAATGAATTCTATTATTAATGCTAATTATTATCTTTAGAATCTCTCAGGTTTTCTATATGGGCAAACATAATTGTCCATGAAAATGGCAATTTTGCTTCTTCTTTCCAATCCTTATACCTCCTGTTTCATATTTTGTCACTGTGAATGAGACCATGGCTAAGACCTTCAATATCATATTGAAAAGTTAAGAATAGATGACCTTCTTAATTTTAAGAAAAATGTGTTTTTACCCAGTAAGCATGAGATATTATAGGTTTTTGACATATATACTTTGTCAGGTTAAAGAAGTTCCCCATCCCTAAGAGTTTACAAGCACAGAAGGTAGCATCCTTATAGGTCCCAATTTGCAAGTTTACACATCCTGGGGTAATTATTAATAATGTTCCCTCATCCTCAAAAAGATTCTCATTTGGACAATAAATTGTATGTTACCTCCAATAGAAAAGTGATGTTAGATGACAATGCTAGGGAAATAATTTGACCATTTGAATATGAAATGAATAAGAGGAACTTAGAGGTTTCTGTCAGTGAAGAGATTTTAGAATCTTCCCTGCCAAACTGAGAAATTTCCAACCTCAAGTAACAAAGCAATAACTACCTACTCCTTCCCTCTGCAAATGCATGAGGAGAAATGCTCCAGAAACAGTCCCAATATTGCACAATTTGCTATTAGAGAAGAAACATGCACCAAATGAAGTAATTATCTTATCAAAAAGCAGCACTATTGGCAATCTGAAAATGAAGCCAACAACAACTTGGCCTGTCACATGCTCTGTTTTGTCACTTACGTCCCCAGTATAAATGCAAAAATGTGAAAACCGGGGGCAAGATTGAACGGCAATGGATCCATTCTGAAGCTGGGCATGAGCCACTTATTGAAGACATAAATTACAGGGCTGTCACCATCACCCTTCCTATTTGCAAATAAATGTTGTCATCTAATTGTACAAGACTTGGAGATTGTTTAACAAATTTCTCTGAGGGAGGCCTCAGCAGCAGCTTGGATTCCCTGGACACCCAGATTCTATCTGTCCACTTTGGTCATCTCTCTGCACGTGGCTCTTTTTGTTTTGAATGACAGATTCTGTTATCCCATCTTTTCAGCCTTTCTTGGTGATAAAGCTACAACAGTCTGGTGTGTTTCTTGGCTGATTCTATTAAAGAAACATTAAGAATGAGTGATGAAGAGAAGCAGGCTCTGAAAAAACAGGAGGGAAGGAAGGGTCCTCCTTGACGCAAGTATGGATCGCTAAGCAGAATGCCCAAGAATGGGGGCTTTACAGCAGAAAAAATCTTTTCCTTTTGATCATGCTGGAAAAAAGAAGTAACACACAAAAAAGAGCAAGGTCTGGGGACAAAATTGGGGTGTCTGAGTCTGTGGATGCCATATTTGCCACCCTGTGCACCAGAAACTTCTGGAATGAAGTGACAAGTGAGAAGGGCAAAGCTGCAAACATTGAGTAGGCCCACCTCATGCATTTATTCATTCATTCATTCAACTACCAGCTATGGAGCATGGACTTAGTTTGGGTTCCCCCAGAAGGAGATCCTCAGGTAAGAATTCAAGTGCCAACAGTTTATCTGTGAGGCAAAGAAAACACCTGGAGAGGAGAAGAAAAGTCAAGGAAGAGAAGGCAGCCAACAAGGAGTGTGATGTCAAGTCCGCCTGTGGTCTGAGAGGCAGTGTATAGCCAGGGCTTTAGACTTATGCCTCCAGAGCTGGGGTATTGACAAACTCAGTCAATGGTAGAAGACTGCTTTCCCAGTGGTGTAATTCTCCTACTTCTGGTCCTCCACTCAGGGGGTCAAAGTATTTAATAGATTTCAGCAACCTGAGAAATTTGTCAAGCAAAGAAAGGTAGAAACTAGCAATTGGAAAGCAGGTCAAGTGGCCTTAAAATGATGAGTGTTAGAGGATATGTGCAGGATACCAGCTCTTGCTGTGTGTCCCACAGTGTGCTCTATGCCCTCACTAGAACCATCAACAAGTCAGAAATGGTCCCTGACCACATGGAGCTTGCTGGAGGCAAAGAACAGGCCACACACCCCTATGCCTCTTCCCTTTCTTCCCAGGACAGACAGGCCTTGAGACTCCATAAGTGCATGCTTTGGTGCACTCTGCCACGGTCATCTCTGCCTTCTCTGAGTCCTTGCTGCCCTTTGCTTTGCCTTCATCTCCATTCTTCCCTCTCTCTGCTCCTCTGACCCAGGTTCTGAAATGTCTCCTTTTGCCCCATCCACATTATCTGATAATAACAACAAGGATAATCAAAACCCTTTATTGAGCACATACTGTATGCTAGCCACTGGGTTAAGTGACGTGTGGGTATTATCTCATTTAAATCTCAAAAACAATCATGGCCTCACGTTCATATACCAAACCCCATTCCTGCTTTATTCTACCTGCCAGATGGAGCCTTCTTGGGAAGCACTACAACTTAAAATTAAATGCAAGGTGCTCGCAAACCTCTGGCCACTGCATTTGGTCAACTTGTCACTCCTTTACCTAAGTTAGTCCTGCAGTGCTTGCTCAGGCTTCATAGCCAAGACTTGCCCAGGCCTGCCCAGCACTGTCCCCATGATCTCCTGCAGCTGAAGTTTCCAACATGTCCCAGAAGCCCCATTCTGCCCCATTCCAGTAAAAAAAAACCCATTTCTGAAGGCTAAACCGTGATCAGCATCCACCCAAGAGTCAGAGAATAGAAAAGAAGGCTTCTGCAGTCATTCTTAGTTGCTTTAGACAAATGTCAAAATTTGCCTTCATCTCCTCTATCCTTCTATCTTTGCAGCTTCCTCCTAAAATCAGGAAATTAGATTAAATAAGTAGTTCTCAAACTCTATTTCAATGGGCCATGATTCCACTTCTCATGGATTATTAATGTATTATCCTGTCTCTGATGATGTATTTTCATGGCGCTCTCCAGACACAGTACCCTGATGAAAAAGGAGTGGTTTTCATGGTTGGGATCTAGGCAAAGTAGCAAGGTCGTAGGAGAATATTGGGGTGGGTGGGGGTGCCACATTTGGCTGCCCCCTTGTCTCTTGGTGCATCAGAAGAACTCAGATTCAGAGCCTGGGAAATTCAGGCCAAGAAGAGTAAGTGACAACAAAAGGAAAGATAATAGCTCTTTGTTGGGAATAAAAGGAAAGCAGCAAAGGCAGAGGACCTGCTTATCTTGCATTCTGGCAGAACACAGACCACCAACTCAGATACTTCAAAAGACCCCTGGCTCAGCTCCCCAGCCCCTCCCCTGGGGCTCCTGCAGAGAGAACATCATAATACATCTCCTCATTTTCTCCTGCACTTTTGATGTCAAAGTGTGGTCTGGTTAATTAGATGTTAGTGGGGGCCAGGGGTGCTGGAATCCAAACTCAATAAATTTCATTTCTGAAAGACAAAGAGGTCAAGTGCATATTAAACTTGAGCGCTCAGGGAGTTCTGCCGGGGCATTTATTCAGTCAGGCTCGTTGCAGTTTAGGCAGAGAGAACACCAGGCAGCTTTTGGAGTCTGGCTGGGTGCGGAGGCAAGCCTGGAAGTCTGCCCATCTTACATTGTGGAAGAAGAGGGGGGGAAAAAGTCATTCAAATGTTTTCAACATAAATAGCTCAGTCCTGCAGTCAGATTTTGAAATTTCTGCCAATATCCAACTCCTTTCATGAGACTAGCTCAGTAAACAGCCTGGCCCTTAGTTTCACCTCCTGCCGAGATCAAACCCACCAGCTTGGCTGTCTTCTGGGGGAGGCTGGCACTGCGAAGAGCCTATTCTAGCCTCTTGGAGCCCACTGGACTTGGGGCTGCCTCTCACCTCTGTTTATCATTATCTCAGAGCTACAGCCACAGGATAGCTTCTTTCGCCCATGCTTCACCTCCCGGTTGCCTTGGGCTGAACAGCGGAGGGAACATGGCACACACCACTCCCCAGCTCTGGCTGCTGCTCCATGACTGCAAGAAAATCAATATCCACCAACTGTTCCTATGGCAAGAGACCTTGTTACCAGTGGCAGGGCCTAGAACAGTGCAGACCCGAAGCCAGACAGCCCAAGGTCAAATCCTTGTTCCTCTACATCTCAAGTTGATTCTTCAGGCATTTTACTTAGACTCTCCCATCTCAGTTCATGAGTGGGCACAGCCTGCTGCCTTTGCAAGATTAGCATTTGGCCAACCTTGTAAAACGAAATGGGTGACTTCCTCAGCAATATCTGACTTAGGTACAAGTTTGTAATAAAGCATGCAGAGTTCAAGGCTAAATTCTTAGGGGTGCATTTTGAAATATCCCTTTCATTTTGTGTTTGTTTTCTTCTTTTCTTAGCGTGTTTTGATTGGAGAACAAAGGTGTTAGTCATGCATGAGGTGTCCACATATAGGAAATTACTGACTTGGCAACTTAATTACATTTGGAGGCCACTTAATAGGACTGATTCCCTTTATTTAGACAGCCTGAATCTTCTTAGTCATGACTTGAGAATGTGATCATCTACGCGTTGCTTTATCTTGAAAACTTACCAAACCACCACAGCCATCTCTCCAAGCAAACAAAATGTCATGTTGAGACACTACAGTTTGGACATCCCCAAAACCCCATTCGAGATTTCTCATCTGGCAAAATTCACTGTTGCCTGCTGCAGGGTGGGTGGTAACACAGTCTAATTGTGGTTCTTCTTTTCTATTTCTGCAGCATAAAGTCATTCTGCCGCAATTGTTTCTCATCACTGCACCCTAGGTTTTCCACAAAGAACCTCTGTTTTGATAGAGGCCTATTTTTTTTTAACCCTGCCAAGAAGCAGTCTATTGTGTTGGAAAGAGTTCAGCTGAACTTACAAGCCCAAATTTAAGGACTGCATGTACCATTTTTAAAAATCAGAGACCCAGCATGGGAAATCTCCAAGAGCTATTTCTAGTGTGTGACTGCCCAATATTCTAAACTAAGAACTTGAGGAAGCCATTCCCAATGATCAAATTGGTGGCTCCCATCTGCCTAGTTTTTGCTTCCTAAAAATAATTTCCCAGAAGCCTCAGAGCTGTGGTTGAGAAGGAGGCAAAATAATCAGTCATCAGGGAGATTCCTGGTCAAAGAAATTCTTTCTTCACCAAGCTAAGGGTGCCAGCCCCCTACAGAAGCGGGGCCCACCAGCATCCTAGGACCCAGAAATGTGGATAGCATGAAGATGGTTCAAGCTCCCAGAGCCCTTTTCCCATGTAAACTGGCACTCCATTGAGATATCACTTTATGCCTATTAAAATAGCTATTATCAAAAAGACAAAAGACAATAAGCACTGGCAGGAGATTGGGAAAAAGGAACCACTGTACATTGTTGGTGGAAATGTAGAATGGTACAGCCATTATGGAGAACACCACTGAGTTTTCTCAAAAAATTAAAAACAGCACTACCGTATGACCCAGCAATCTGTCTTCTGGGTATACATCTAAAGCATATGAAATTAGTATGTTTAAGGGATATCTGCACTACCACGTTCATTGCAACACTGTTCACAATAACCAAGATATAGAATCAACCTAAGTGTCCATCAATGGATGAATGAAGAAATTGTGGTATATATACACAACGGAATACTACACAGCCATTAAAAAGAAGTAAATCCTGTCATTTGTGACAACATGCATGAACCTGGAGGACATTATGTTAAATAAAATAAGCCAGTCATGGAAAGACAAATACCACACAATTTCACTTATATGTGGAGTGCAAAAATGTCAACCTCAAAGAAACAGAGTAAAATAGTGGTTACCAAGGACTGTGGGATGGGGAAATTAGGGAGATGGTTATCAAAGGACACAAAATTTTAGTTAGACAGGAAAAATAAGTTCAAGAGAGCTTGATGCCCTTACATTTTGGTGACTAGAATAACAATATATTTCATATTTGAAAATTACTGAGAGTAAATTGTAAGTGTTCTCAACACAATAACTGATCAATATGTGAGGTAACACATATGTTAAGGAGATTGATTTAACCATTCCTCATGTATACATACATACATATATCAAGATGTCATGTAGTACACCATCAATATACAC
This sequence comes from Homo sapiens, assembly GCF_000001405.40. NCBI lineage: Eukaryota > Metazoa > Chordata > Mammalia > Primates > Hominidae > Homo > Homo sapiens. Next base: position 66,191,675 of record NC_000016.10, read on the forward strand.
AATTTTTACTTGTCAATTAAAAATAAACACATAATAAAAATCCCCCTTTCCAATACAATCCCAGGACTTTCATTGACAGTCCAGTGGATATTACCTAGAAGGAGCCACAGGTGAGCTCCACATTGCCCTGGCTCTAGAAAGAAAAACAATTTCTTTAGGAAGTTATTCAACCAGAAGGAAACTGACATCAGATGAACTCTCACATCTGCATGAAAGAATTATGATCATGACGTGGCTAAATATAAAAGACCTTTTTCATATCTCTTAATTTCTCTAAAAGACAATTTACTGCTTAAAAAAACTAACGCTCTATTGCAGGGAATATAACATACCTAAAAGCAAAATGTATCTTAAAAAGTAGAATAAAGAATCAGAGAGTTTTACAGAAGTATACTACTAGAAGGTTCTTAAATCATTCAACAAGTGATTATTTTGTAAGTGATATAATACTAGCAAAAAAGTATACATACAGGAAAGGGTGAGAAAAGTGAACAAACAACAAAGGTGACAAATGGAAAACAAATAGAAAGATGGTGGGTTTAAGCCCGATCATACAAATAATTACGTTAAATGGAAACGCAGAGATTGTCAGATTGGATATTTTTTAAGCAAAATCCACTTATATGATGTTTATGAAAGATTCACTTTAAATATAAAGAAAAAATGACAATAAAAGGATGAGAAAATGTATACCATGCAACAACATAAATTTAACCATACCAGGAATGAAAGAGAAGACATTACTACATACATGACAAGCATTAAAAGGACAAGAAGTATTCTAAACAAATGTATACTACTAAATTTAATGACTTAATGAAATTGACAAATTTCTTGAAAAAATACAAATTCCCAAAACTTATAAAAGAAGAAATAGAAAATATAAACAGCCATATATCTAAATTAAAAATTAAATTTATTATCAAAAACTTTGCCCCACACACACATAAAAAAAAAAAGCCCTCTTGGTCCAGATAGCTTCACTGTTGAATTGGGCAAAACACATAAGAAAAAAATAATACCAATTATTCATAAACTCTTTTGGAAAATAGAAAACACTTTCAAACACATTTTATGGGGCCAGTGCTACTATGATATCAAAATCATACCAAAGGCTTTAGAAGAAAAGAAAACCCCAACCCATATCCCTCATGACACAGACACAAAAATATTTAATAAAATATTAGGAAATTGAATACTTTAAAATTTACATATAATTTTTAAGGTAATATATCATGACAAATAGTTTATTCCAGGATTATAAATATCAGTCAATATAATTCAGAATATTAACAGATTAAAGAGAAACAGCTTATACATGTCTCAATAGATACACAAAAAGTGTTTGACAAAATCCAATACTTATTTATGATAAAGAATTCCAGCAAACTTAGAATAGAAATGAACTTTTTTCAACTGAATACAGGTTATCAATAGAAAACTTACAGTTATTGTCATATTTAATGGTGAGCGACTGAATATTTTCTCCCTGAGCTCAAAAACACAGCCAGGATGCCTACTCTCACCACTTCAGCACTTTGCTGGATGCTCTAACTAGTGCATCCAAGCAGAAAAAAGAAATAAAAGGTACTCAGGTTGGGGGGAAAATAGAAGCAAATTATTTTATTTTCAGGTAACATAAACATATGTAGACAATCCTAAAGATGCTACAAAAAAATAGAACTGAAAAGTAAAAAGCTAAAACCTAGCACAGCTGCAAGGCTCAATACACGATGATACATTGTATTCCCACACACCAGCCACAAAAAAAGTAGAAATTATAATTATAATACCAAAAAACATGAAATAGGGATAAATTTAACAAAATATGTGCAAGAACTGTAAATGAAGCTTCAGTGAAAGAAGTTAAAGACATAAATAGAGAAATATCTCATGTTCATGGACTGAAAAACTCAGTATCGTAAACACGGCAAATTTTCCCTAAGTACTCCCTCCACTTGTGGCCAGTAGCCACATAAGTCAAAAACCGGAAACAAACCAAATGTCCATTAACAGAAGAATGGAAAAACAAGTTGTGATATAGTCATACAAAAGAATACTACTCAGCAATAAAAAGGAACAAACTACTGATAAATCAGCAATGTGGATGAATATCAAAAACATTGTATTGGGCAGAAGAAGCTACACACAGAAGAGTACACACCGTATGGTTCCATTTTTAGGAATTTCTAGAACAGGAAAAGCTAACCTATGGTGAAAGAAGTGAGAATAGTGGTTCTTTGTGGGAGAGCAGGTGGCAGGGATTGCCCGGCAGGGGCACAAATCAGCTTTCCAAGATGATGGACATGCCTGTATATAGATAGGGGTGTGGACTACATGGGGGTAAGCATTTGTCAAGACTGATCAAACCATACAGATAAGGTATGACTGTGCATGTTCATCCTGAACTGAGAATTTACCATGTAAATTATACTTCATTTTTTAGTTTTGTAAATGTGTTTCACCACTACCTTTTAAATGTGTTTTAAATGTGTTTCACCACTACCTTTAAAGCAACACAGAAAATTAACAGTGTCCCCCAATGTCATTCTTCCCCTTGTATTACCCTCACCTCCCAGATAATGAAGGTTAACAGCCTGGTATGTGTCTTTCCACACTCCTCTACTTGCTCCTAAGACTCAGAGCGTCATAAATCATATCCACAGGTATGGTACATGTTTGTTTTTTCTTTTGTTTTGTTTTCTGAGACAGAGACTCACTCCATCGCCCAGGCTGGAGTGCAGTGACACCATCTTGGCTCCCTGCAACTCCGCCTCCCGGGTTCAAGCGATTCTCCTGCCTCAGCCTCCTGAGTAGCTGGGATTACATGTACCCGCCACCACACTCGGCTAATTTTTTGTATTTTTAGTAGAGACAGGGTTTCACCATGTTGGCCAGGCTAGTCTCAAACTCCTGACCTCAGGTGATCCACCTGCCTCTGCCTCCCAAAGTGCTGGGATTACAGGCAGGAGCCACCATGCCCAGCCTGTTTGTTTTTAATGAGAGTTTCCTATCCATGTGTTTCTGATACTTGCTCCTGTCACCTACTTATATTCCAGGTCAGAAAATATAGGTCATAGCTGCACAATATTCCAACTGCAATTTGTCAATCTGTTTGTCTGCAACACACACACACACACACACATTGGTGATAAGCTGTCAGACTCTCCCCACTTTTTGTCATTATAAACAATGCTACAAGAACTTCCTTAATCATATAACTAATCTTCCTAGTGCTTGTGTTTCTGTAGGAGAATGTCCCAAAGAGAGACTGCTGAACAACAAAGACAAGTATGTTATTTGTTTTAATAGATATTCCAGATTACATTCCAAAAAGGTTGTAGAAATCTCATTTAGTGCTCAGTCTGACATATTTTAAGTTTTTGCAGACTGGCTTCAGAAATGGAAATAAATTATGAACATAGCATAATAATCATTTTAGGCAATTCATCTAGGCTTTGAAGGAGAAAAACTCAGCAACATATCTAAGCCTGCAAATAATCAAGTTATCCTAGCAAAATACATCCTGAGAAGCAGGAGAGAATGATTTTGAGATAGCCAACCCCAAGGGACTGTCCAAACCTGCCATATGTCATCACTGTGACCTTGAACAAGTTACTTAACCTGTTTACACCTGAGTTTCCTCATAAATAAAATCATAAATAGTGCCTATATTATGAAAGACTAAATAATGTGAAGAATCCAGTACATGGAAAATGGAAAGTATCTGATACTCAGGAAGTGCTCTGTGTCAATTATTATTTGGGCAAGTTGCTTAATCTCTCTGGGTGTCCGTTTCCTTATCTGTAAAATGGGGACAATAACACCTTCTGTCTCATAGGGCACATACAGTGATTAGAATAATACTCCTCTCATATTAAGTGTTCAACAAAATCAGCTAACATCACTGTTAATTTGCCATACTAACATGAAGGAACTAGGTTTAGGGGGCTGCAGAGACCTAAATGTGGTGTTGTGTGGTGTGGATGGCAGACATAACCTTCCAAAATTCAGGGAAAAGCTAAGTTTCTGCCAGGCCTATTGATGACATTGAATTCTTGGAAGGCCACACAAATCTTCCAGAATAGAGGAAGAAATCAATAGGCGCCCTTGGGAAGATTTGCTTCCCCATGGCAAATTATGCACATCTATCTCTTCCCAGTCCTGAGTGGCTCTGAGCATTTGAAGCATCTCGAGCGACTGTGTTGGATGCTCACCCAAGCAGCGGACTTCCTCCTTCCAGGGTGCTCCTGCAGCTGTGCCCTTCTTGAGGGACATGTGCCCAGAGGAAAACCTTGGCAACTGAGGCTACCAAATGGCTCAGTGTGCAGGTGACCTGGAGTGTTGGGAAAGTGAGTCACTGGAGTCACCTTCACTGACTGAGCACTGACTGTGCCCAAGAACCTAGGCTCTGGGCTGAAAGTGGGGGTATTCAGAATTATAAAAAACAGAGTCCCTACCCTGGGTGATGCAGCCTAGGGACCCCCACTGGCCCACATCCATCAGGGACTGCCAATCGGTAGAAGGCACCTGCATTGTCAGTTTGAAGGTTTTCAACTCTCAGTTTATGAAATTAACTCAATTGTGGATTTCAGCTATTTTTTTTTTTTAAAAAAAGCCCTAAATCAAGTCAATGATTATATTTATGATATTTGGGAAAAGCAAGCATAAACAAGCCCATTTTATCTCTTTACCAGGATCAAACATATAAGTTTGGTTTTGATTTACTAAAGGCTCCTAATGACGCTCTTATCTGAAGGGTAAATGCTGTCTTTTACCTTGGGAACAGAAATATCAGCTCAGGCAGTCAACTAAACTGATGGCCATTGACAATAACCTGGTGCCTGATGGATGAGAGGTACAGAGAGTTCCACCAGCTACTGGGTTCAGGGAAAGAACCTGCAGCTGTGCGAGGTGACCATATCCCATTAGGGCCTTCATACAGGCCCAACTCCTACAACATTGACTCCACTAGGAAATAGATTCTCCCCACCACCAGAACACTCATGCCTGCTCCCAGAGAGCCTCGGTCTGACTACCAAGGGACCAAGGAAATCCAATTTGTGACCGGAAAGTTATGTGTGGAATCTGAACAAAAGATGATGGCTACTCTTGGAAGATATTGGATCTAGCTATGAATAAGCTCATGAATGCTTCCAGGTCCACATCTCTTGTGTGCTTATCTCCCCAGATTGACAGGGAGAGGGCCACGTCCACTGATGGAGACCCACGTGCTTCATCCTTAGAGATAGATTTATGCCCATGCCTGGGGCTCCCTCACAGGACCAATTCCCTCTCCATACAGTGACCCCTCTAACGGGGGATGGCCTACTTAAAACACACTCACCCACACTGGGAGGATCCAGAAGACATACCTTTCCCCAACACTTTGTCAAATCAACTTGTAAGGGGAGCCCAGCATTCTTGAAGAGCTCCATGACCCCTCCTCTCTCTAAGCCAGACCTTTCAGTGGAAACCACAGCCACTCAATTAGAAAACTTAAATGCAATAGGAATAGAGATGGTCCCCAACTTACAATGGTTCAGCTTAGGATTTTTGGACTTTACAATGGAACAAAAGTGATATGCATTCAGTATGATCTTCATCTTACAGTGGGGTTACATCCAGATAACTCCAGTTGAGGAGGATCTGTAATTGGCATCTGATGTGGCGGAGGCCAAGTGGCAACACACAAAAGCGGAAAAAAAAATTATGCCAGGTGGGCGTAATTACCATAATGAATAGCAGAGGCAAAGCAACAACCTGAATAACTCTAGAAGTGCTCCTAGATGTGAAATAGGAAGTCCACTAAATCCTTGTTCTATAGAAGCAGAAACTTCCAGGTTAAGTGAACAAGTCTAACTTGAATTATAAAAACAGAGAATCATAGTCCCTCAATCAGCTCCCAGACTTGAGCCAGTTTATAGACCCAGAACCCCTTGAATGAAGGGAAGCCTGGGTCCCCTTGAAGAAGGACCCCAATACACTACCAAAAAATGTATTCTGTTCATCATTTCCGCAGCCAGGGACCTGTGGCCTTTCACCAGAGTAACTGCTAAATAAGTAGCATTCACCTCTTAGACCTACCAGTCACAAGGAACAGAGTTACATTTTTACCGTAGAGTGCAAATAAAACATGGTATTACCTGTTTTTCTATTTGAAGCCACATTAAATCAAGTCACATTCTAATGGCTGTATCTATGACACGTGTTTCAAGTGTTTGAATGTGTGTATGATGGGGCAAGAGGCCCTAGAGAAAAAAAAAATCAACAGCCCAGCGTCCTTGAGTGCAATAGGAAGGAAATATAATAAAATTCACCAGGCAGCATAAACAAATAAGGTATACTCCTGTGTCTTTTACATGATGTCAATCCTGGGTCATGGCCTAGATTATCTGACTAAAGGCTCATGGAACACAGTGGATTGCTTATTGATTAGAGGCTTAATGATTAAAAGAAACTTTTAATCCCCATCTCTTCCCTTCACCAGCCCTATCATCTCTTTTGGAAATGTAATCACTTACCTGCTTAAATGACTTCCCTAGTTTAACAAGATTATAGGGTAAAATCCAAATGTCTTAGCATAGAATTCAAGACACTGCTGAGCCAACCTCATCTTCCAGGAATCACCACCTCACACCCTCTGCCCAGCCTCCCAGAGGATGCCTCTGTATCTCCAAAAACCAAGTTTCCCCACCTGGTATCACCTTCTCCATATTTTCTACTGTTAAACTTCTATTCATCCTTGAAACCCAAACATCACCACATCTCTAGATTTTTCTACAACATTTTTCAGAGTTCAGACAAGGCAGGCAGGCTCATGTCTGTAATCCCATAACTTTGGGAGGCCAAGGTGGGCAGATCACCTGATGTCAGGAGTTCAAGACCAGCTGGCCAACATGGTAAAACCCTAACTCTACTAAAAACACAAAAATTAGCTGGGTGTAGTGGCGGGTGCCTGTAATCTCAGCTACCCAGGAGGCTGAGGCAGGAGAATCACTTGAACCCAGGAAACGGAGGTTGTAGTGAGCTCAGATCACACCATTGCATTCCAGCCTGGGCAAGAAGAGTGAAACTCCATCTCGAAAAAAAAAACACACACACACACACACATTTTTCAGAGTTCTGTTTTGTATTTCTTATATATTATGTTGCAATTTCTCGTTCTCCTGAGTATTTCCTATTTATCTTATTCCATCTCCCTGAACAATGCCTGGCATACAATAAGTGTTGGTAAACATTGGAGAGTGGGTAGAGGAGATGTTAGTTGGATGAATGAATAGAAAACAGAAGAGGCCATATATTGAATAAGAAGATAAAAATGATAGATAGATAGATAGATAGATAGATAGATAGATAGATAGATAGACAGATAGATAGATAGACAGATAGACAGATGATAGAGGAAATTTCTAGGACTTTGTTACTCTTTCTCTGCCCTCCAAATCACTCATACATTCTACTTTCTAGAAAGGAAAAAAATGTTATTTTTGTCTCAGGTAAAAATTGGTAGGATTTTTGGCAAAAGAAATTGGGTACAGATGATAGATAACCCAATTTCTTTTCTCTGAATGCAATCTACTTTGGTAAATCTTAATTTGCGAGGAAACTTCTGAAGACAGAAGACCTCAGAGGAAGCTAAAACCAGGCTTCTAAATACATGGGAGGATTTCACAACTGCAGCCAGCATTTCCTTACAAAATCTCCTCACAGCCTGCACACTGCATTTCAGGGACAAATTGACCAGGAACCTTCAAATATTTATTGAGGTTTATGCCAAGCCACACTTGCTGTCTACCAGCTCTGGCTAGGCTCTGTGATGTCTAGGCTGCAAATTGAGTTAGGCTCATACATTTGTGTGCCATGTCTTGCCTGCTACTTCTGAAACATGTCCTAGAAATTAACCCTTTAGTGGCCAAAGACTATGGAGATATCCTCATTGACATGTTTCCATTCCTACAAAAGGCCAATTAAATTGCTAGTGTTTATCACAGGCCAAGTGTTTGCCAGAGACCCTGTTGAGTGTGTTACACGCATTATCATGTTTGGGCCTCACAACAGCTTCACAGGGAAAGTGCCAGTGTTAGTATTTCCCATTTGGATGACGATACCAAAACACAGAGCAGTTAGGTAATGTAGGCAAGGCCCACAGCTACTTAGCAGTGGAGCTGAGATGCCAATCCAGACAGCACTACACTATACTAAGTAACTAAAATGATTGCAAGCATTTTTTCTCATGGGACTAAATCAAATTACTTTCATTTTCTACCTTTTAAAATGCAACCCATAAATCTGTTTATTTTTCCTAATGTGCCCCTAATGCCAGGCCTCCATTGATCTAGGCAAAGAAGGAAGAAGTGGGCTTTGGAAGTCCTCTATCGTGTATGCAACATTCCCTCCCCCAGCCCACCACACCTCCAACCCCAATCTTAACTTGCCTTCAAGGAAAAGAGGGATCCTTGCCCATCATGTTTAAGAAAGGCTCATGGTCAAAAAGTTAAACACTGAGTTACCACCATATGGTCCGGCAATTTCACTCCTACATACATACCCAGCGGAGATGAAAACATATGTCCACACACAAAAAAAAGGGATACACAAATATTCATAGCAGCATTATTCATAATAGCCAAAATATGTAACAACCCAAATGCCCATTAACTTATGAATAGGTCAACAAAATATGGTATATTAATGCAATGGAATCACACTTAGCCATGTAAATGAATGAAGTACTGATTTCTTCATTTATATGAATGAGTGAAATTGTACAAGGATGAACCTTGAAATCATTGCACTAAGTGAAAGAAACCAGACACAAAAGACCACACATTGTATGATTCCATTTATACAAAATGTCCAGAATAGGCAAATCCACAGAGATGCAAAAGGGAATTGTAGTTACTAGGGACTGGGGCCAGGGGAACAGGAAGTGACTGCTAATGCATACAGCGTTTCTTTTTGGGGTGATGAAAACATTCTGGAATTAGATAGTGGTAATGGCTGCACAAGTTTGTAAATTACACACTTTAAAAGGGTGAATTTTATGGTATGTGAATTATATCTTATCTTTTAAAATTTTTTTAAAAGATTAGCACTGCATAAGCAATTTCAAATGCCCTGAAACTGCAAGAGATTCTATGTGAAAGAAATTTGACAGATGCTTTTCTAAATTTGAAAACATTCCTAAAAATGTGCATATAACCAATAAAGAGTAGCAAAGCTAAAAGAAACCATTCTAAAAAATCCGTCATAAATATATTTCAATCAATCATGCTAGAGGAAGAACTGAATTATCCTTCTCTCTATGGAAAATCATTATAAATTTGTTGTCATATGAAGAGGCAATGACAGTATAAAACCAAAGACTCTAGGAGAAAAATATGAGAGATGTGTCAAGAAAATAATAAAATTATCTTGTTTTCCTGAATTTGTATCATATTTATTATATTTATCCATTTTTTTAAATGAGTGATTTCTTAGATCTCTTCTTACTCTTAATTTAAAACTCACTTTTGTAACTAAACAATTGTCAGAGGGCAGGGAGAGTGTTTCGCTGGGCTGGAAGTGACATCACACCCATGTGAATATGGTCTCTCCTGTCTTTTCATCCATGAAGCCAGAGTGGAAGACTTGGAGCAGGGCATGGCTTTCTGTCTCTTTTCCTCATTCTGCCTTCTACATCAAGGTAGCAGACTCAGGTGCACCCCAGACAGAGAGCTGGGGTAGGCAGCCTGGGACAGCCCCCTCCAGGAATGGGGCCCTCTCTCCTGTCCTGAGGCTCTCACACCTTCTCTTCCAGGGATCCTGGGTGCAGTCTTTTTTTCAACAAGGTGGCCCTGCCGAGACCTGGGTCTCCTCTTAAGTCACACGGATGGAGCAGACTAACCTGGGGTCCCTGGGGTCAACTTAAATTATCCAGAATCCTTCACAGTGTCTAGTCTGATACGCTGGAAACCTGCTTTAGTTTGTTTTTTGGGTTTTTTTTTTTTTTTTTTTTTTTTTGAGATGGAGTCTCGCTCTGTTGCCCCAGGCTGGAGTGCAATGGTGCCATCTCGGCTCACTGCAATCTCCACCTTCCAGGTTCAAGCGATTCTCCTGCCTCAGCCTCCTGAGTAACTGGGATTACAGGCAACCACCATCATGCCCAGCTAATTTTTGTATTTTTGTAGAGATGGAGTTTCACCATGCTGGCCAGGCTGGTCTTGAACTCCTAATCTCAGGTGATCTGCCCGCCTTGGCCTCCCAAAGTGCTGGGATCACTAGCTGTAAGCGTGAGCCACCACGCCAGGCCTGCTTTAGTTTTCAGAGGTGAATCTCCCATTAACAACATACTACTTTGCTCTTTAATTTTTATTGTCCTGGGCAAAGAATTCTCCCCTAGACATCATAGAAGAGAAGATTGTTAGGGATCAGGATTCAGGACTTTCTGGGTCCTCTGACTGTTATAAAACCTCACACTTGGAAAACTTGTTACTCTCTGAAAAAAAACAAAGTATGATCCAGGATGTGGAGACAGGACCCAGGTAGACAGGTTACTGGAAGAATGAAGACTTAACCTCAATGCAGCAGATGGGTGAGTCTAGAGAAGAGAAAGAAGCCACTATAAAGGTGGGAAGTGGAGGGTGGGGACTGCCGAGAAGATCCTGTAAGGCCTTGAACACCAGGAACGCCCTCCTCACAAGACTTAGGGGCTTCATATTCTAACAACATCCCTGAACAACCCGCATGAATGCTCCCTGCCAGAAGTGCTAAAACCGTCAATAGGAGCTAATTTCAGTTCTACTACCTGCCCCCCTCCTTATGATGTCATCCCAAAGACTCCGAGACAGACAACTGTGGAGAGATAGATGTCGGGGGATAAATGTCAATGGCCCCATTAATTCCCCAGGTCACTTTGCAGATTTCCTGTGTTCTGACATAAATAGTTTGTGCTATGTTCATAGTAATGACCATCAAACCTTAGCATTTAACATTTTACAATTTTTATGAACTCATTGGCTCCTTATAGCTCCATGATAAGTATAACGGTATAACAATTCTACAGATAAGAAAACTGAGTCCTGGAGAAGGGAAGTGATGGCCTGACCAAAGGTTGTCAAGTTTCCAAGTATTTTTATGCCTAGAAGTTTGTCCCTGTTTCTCTAATGTGAATGAAAATCCCTCCAAGTCTGGGAGTCAGAGTAATCTAGCCTGCAGTTTTCCGTGGAGGTTCTTTATACATAAAAGGTGGGGGCTGTCTCCAAATGTAATGAGCCCTAAAGAAAGGCCACCACCACCTCCACCTGTCCTTCAGACAATGGCAGATGAATGTTTTGTATAGCATTGATCTTCAGGACTTCTGAATCATAGAGCTCTCTCCTTTAAGAACTGTGGATTTTACAAAAACCTGTTGCTGGTCAGCTCTCTTCTCAGACAATAGAGCAAATTCACCTTACTCTTCATCCTCAATCATAACTCATCTTGAATGGATAAACAAAGTAAGAACACAAAGGCTGAGTGCGGTGGCTCAAAACTGTAATCCCAGCACTTTGGGAGGCCAGGACAGGAAGATTACTTGAGCTCGGGAGTGTGAGACCAGCCTGGGCAACATAGTGAGATCCTGTTTCTACAAAAAATAAAAAATTAACCAGGTCTGGTAGCACGCACCTATAGTCCCAGCAACTCAAGATGCTGAGGTAGGAGGATTGCTTGAACCTGGGAGATTGAGGCTGCAGTGAGCTGAGATCACACCACAGCACTCCAGCCTGGGCAACAGAGTGAGACCAAAAAAGAAAACACATAAAATAAAGAAGACTGCACAGAAGACTCAGTTTGAAAGCTGCTGCACCCTAAGTGGCAACAGAGCAACACATTCCAAACATCCAGCCAGTGGCCAGGACCGGGCATCTGACTAGGAGGAGCCCATGTCCTTTCTCCAGCCCTGTGTGAGCTGGGGATGGTCCACTGGGCTCTCCGATCCTCTGCTGCAGCCATGTCCAAGCCCCTGCCAGCCAGGAGGTCCTGTAGAGACTCATCCTGGTTGAATCAGAAAAAGAGTCATATCCAACTAAGAGGACAGGGTAGGGAGGAGAGAGGGGACCACAGAGGTGTGAGCCATCCAGACCCAGAGCAGGGACACGTGCAGGGCAGCGAGCTCTGAACTCCAGACAGAGGCAGGACCAAGGGACACTGTCCACCAAAGTAGCCCTCAAAAATAGTTCCCACAGAGGCCTGTCCCCCAATTCCATCTCCTTTGGAATTTATCAATTCAATTAATGGAATACATCAGGTCAGGGAAGGTTGTGGACTATTAGTTGTTCATACCGTAGTAGAAGTTGTTTAATTGCATTGCCTCCCTCTCTATCTGTCTATCTAATGCAGGGGTGTCCAATCGTTTGGCTTTCCTGGGCCACATTGGAGGAAGAAGAATTGTCTTGGGCCATACATCAAATACACTAACACTAATGATAGCTGATGAGCTAAAAAAGAAATAATCACAAACCTCACGATGTTTTAAGAAAGTTTATGAATTTTGTTGGGCCACACTCAAAGCTGTCTTAGGCCACATATGGCCTGCGGATAAGACAAGCTTGATCTAATGTATTTATCTATCTATGTAATTCATGCTGACTATGAACAGCCCAGTACCCACAGGTGTTGAACATTAAAAGGTAACACAAACCTGTAGGTAAATTCCAGCCCCAACTGAAGCAGGGTAGAGATGCTTTAATAATTTACCTATTATTCATCCACCTCTTCCTGCCTCTTTCCACCCATTTATCCACTTGTGCATCAGTGATTAATAATTCCAACTATGTGCCAGAGCCTTTGGATTAGCTCGGTCCCCTTTCCCAAGAATCTCATGATCTGCAGGGAGAGACAGATACGTGAACACTACAAGGTGACACAGTAGGGACACGGAGTGTCACAGAGGGCTTCTGAGAGGACGATTCGGGGGAGCAGGACCCTAAAAGATAAGTAGAAGTTGACGAGGAGGAGGTGGTCATGAAAGGACATTCCAGGTGGAGGGAACCGCAGATGAAAAGTCAGAGAGTCTGGGAAGATCAGGGCCAAATCCAGAGTTCACCCTGGGAGGAATTCTCTTTTATTGCTGGTTTGAGACAATAACTAAACTAATGTTTCCCACATTTTCCAGTCATAGGTCCTGTTTGGGGTTGACTTAACGTTAGAACTGTAACGGTAAAAGAAAGAAAAAGCAGATGGAACAACATCCCAGGAGTGGTAATAAGTAAGTCAAGTTCTGGGAATATTGAGTTAGTGAGCCAAGCTGATGTGCTTAATTCAAGCAGTCCTCCTACTAAGCAAAGAAGATGGAAAACTATGCCAAGCCAGTGGCTCGGCATGGGAGAGGCCATAGTGGCAACCTTCCAAAAATAAAGTATTACATTGCTGACATATTAGCATTTATTTTCTGGGTCCCACTTAGTAGGAAGGGGCACTGTCCCCCAAATCCAGACCACAGAAATATTTCCCACATTCACCCCATCATATAGAGCTTCCTCAAAGTTAAGAAATTCTATTTTTTAAAAATGATAAAACCCCAGCAAATATTATGAGCTACCATTTATTCTTATCTTTGAATATGTTTTTTAAATCAGATTGCTTTCCTAGCTCAGGCACCCCTTTTAGATTAACCATAACGAAAGACTGTGAGTTCGGATGGGACAAGGGAGATAGGAATTATGAGAAAGAGATCCCTAGCAGGGTCCAGTGTAGAGGTGTAAACCAAAGAGCGACCGCAGCAGGTCTCAATCGATTCACAGTTTATTTATCCAAGGACACACCCTGGAAAAACAAACACAAATCGCAGGAGCATCTGTGATCTCTTTTCTAAAGGGGGTTTTGGGAACTTCAGTCTTTAAAGGGGGAAGACAGGCAGGAGGGGGAACAAAGGGAGGGAGGATAGGCAGTGAGGCAGATGGTTACATTTTTGTGAGGCTCTGCTAAGCCCACCCCCGTCCCGTCCCACCCCACCCATAAATCTACATTTTACATGTGAAAAGGAGTAGAGGAAAAGAAAAAGTCAATTTCTCATTGTCTCTTGCTTAGTAAATCTACATTTTATATAAGATAAACACATAAAAAGAGGGAGTAGAGGAAATGAGTCTGATATGGGATTGTGAAATTATAACTATGGGTTTAAGAACAAAAGGAAGACAATATTGGTGACTCAGTCCCCAAGCTTAACTTCCCCTTTAATATAGTAAATTTGGGTCCCAAGTTGTTTTTTGTGGGTTTTTTTGTTTTTGTTTTTTCTGTTTTTTTTTTTTTCACAGAGATTAGGAAAAGCTTAGAGTCAGCAAATGCCAACCAGTCTCTTGGTCAAGGCAAGAGGAAAATGGGAGTGTGCTAAGGGCAAGCTTTGCCCACTCTCCACCCCCTAGAGTTTCAGTTCTGGGAGTTAAAGTCTGTGTCACAACTTAGGATCTTCAAGCTATGAAATGCCTGGATCTGAAGGAAACAGCTGCTGGATAGGATCATCACCATCATCAACACTGATCATAGATTTTTAGCACTTCTTGTAGTTGAACAGTGCTAATTACTTCACATGAATATTCTCAATCTCCACAACAACCCAGGAGGGAGGTGTTATAGTCCTCATTTTACAGATATGAACTCTGAGACTTGGGGAAGTTGCATGCCCTGGACTGCACAGCTTTGAGGAGCAGAGCTGAGATCTAGTCTGGGTCTGCTTTACTCGTGTAACTGAAGTGCAGGTTCAGTCACTTGCCACTTGCAGGTCCAATTAACAAGAGCAAGGTCTGGTATAAAGAAGGTAATTTTTAAATTCCGAAGCCAACTTAAGGGAAGTAGTATAGGTTACACTACAAAGCATCTGCTTTTACTCACCTCTGGGCTATTTCCTTTTTGCAGGACTCAGACAGAGTGGGCACACATGCAGACTGGAGTAATCAGCATACAGTAAATATGTGAATGATTGGCAAGGGCACTGGGAGGATAATCGCCTCACCCCATCTGTATCAAAAACATGATGCTTTATATTATTGGAGAGGTTGTACTCATTGCCCAGGGCTGCTGTAACAAAGTGACTTCAGACAACAGAAATGTACGGTCTCACCATTCTGGAGGCTGGAAGTCCAAAATCAAGGTGTTGGCAGGGCCATGCTTTTCCTAACAACTCTAAGAAGAATCTAGCATTTGCCAGCAATACTTGGTAGTCCCTGGCTTGTAGATGCATCACTCACATGACCTCTGCACACGTCTGTCTCTGTGTTCAAATTACTCCTTTTATAAGAACACCAGTCATATTGGATTAGGGCCCACCCCAATGACCTCATTTTAACTTGATTACTCTGTAAAGATCCTAACTCCAAATAAGGTCACTATCTGAAGTATGAGGGTTAGAACTTCAGCATATCTTTTTAGGGGGACATAATTCAACCCATCACACACCTCAACTGCTAATGTTCCAAGTTCAACCTTGATTCACACACTGCCTGCCTTTGGCTCCCACCTAACCCTGCTCTGAGAATAATGCTGTCCCAATGCCTCCGCAATGCTGGAGATCGTCTGGATCTGCGGTTGGAACAGCCCGTTCCCAGCCCTGAACCTCACCCGATCCAAGCTCATCCCTATTGTGCTGCCCATGGGTTTCAATGAGGTGGGAAGAGACCTCTCTACAGGCAACTCGCCAATGTCACTTTTGTTCCCACTTGCTAACAGCATCTGGCAGCTCAGCACTAAAATCCTGGTGCCTCTGTCATAATCAGTTTTTTGTCTGCTGCTTCCGGTTGGGCAATTTACATGCAGCTGTGGACAGTCAGCCATTTCCCCAAAAGCTATTGTGTGCCTAAGAAGAAAAACTTGAGTCTTTTTAATTAACCACCGTCTCTCAACATGGAAGCCAAAAGCAAGCATATTCACTTTACCTCACTTCACCCACAGATGTTCCCCTGAGGTAAGGGGGCTGGGGGAACCATATGATATGGTAGCATTTGTATTATGTTTCTAAGCACTTTTCCATCCATAAAGTCTTGGAAATAAACAGCACGGACAGGAATCCCCACTGGGCTGATGGGGAAACTGAGGCCAACCCCTGCGATTAAATAATTGGCAAGTGGTCTCTTGGGCCAGGCATCATTCTATTTTGTCTTGACTCTCCCATTCATAAGGTCAAGAAAAACCTTATTATTTAAACAAATGCTGAGCAAGGATAACATCTAACATCCAGAACGGCCCCTGTTCTTCCAACTACATTGAGTTTTGATTTGGAGGAAAGCACTAAGTTTCTTTGTGCCCCCGTGCCTTTGTACTGGCTGTTCCTGCTACCTGGAAGTTACCTCCCTTCGGTATTCTTCCTTCAAGTTTCGGCTCATGAGTCAGAGCCCCCAGGGAGCATTTCTTAATGCTTCCGGCTGGGTCACCTCTCCCATCACATACTCTCACAGAACCTTGCACTTCTCCAAACATGTAGCACAATTGAAATTAGTTGATTTGTTGTGTGATTATATGTTTAACAACATCTTTCCTGGGAGACCAAGAGCAGGAACCAAGATGTCTTATTCATTCCTATTTCCCAATGTCCTCATCTTCCTACAACTAAGCTTCACACGTGACTCAATGAATATCTGTCAGATGAATGAATGAATGAATGAATGAACATCATCTCCTCCGTCACCCCCTTCCCCCAACAGAACTACCTCTTCCTCTGCACTATGCCCCTATCCCCTAGCACTTTGTTGATAACCAGAATATAACTAAGGTGACAACACCTTCAAACAAAAAGTTGTGACAGTCACATGATACATAATCCATGTACTGAAATAAATGCTTGGAAGTGGGATCAGCATAAAGTTCATGACACAGAAGTGTTGTAATTGGTCGCATGTTAATTTGGGTTGTAATTATTTTTTATTTGTCTCCTCTTCCAGATCCTCGAGGATGGTGACCCTGTCTTACTCCTTCAGGACATAGCACAAATGTTTGTGAAATGAATGAACTAATGAATGAATAAACACATCCAGTAGTTGAAGTAGAAAATACTTTGCAATGCTAGCAAACATTGCCCAATAAATTGCCTTGGTAAAATAGAGGTGCTTCTGTTTTAATATCAGAATTTTCTTTAATAAGAGAGCACCTGAAAACCTGTTAGAATGAAGAATTTTCTACTCCATTTTCCCTGAAGGCTTTCTCATAGCCTTACAAATTTGGGACTCTCATGTGCTATATTTCCATGCTGATCAATCTCAAAGCATAATGAGCATACGAAACCCAGAACTCACACTGTTAAGTAGAAATATGCACTCTCTGAGGACTTAAACATTATTCCTGGCCAAAATTGCTCCACATATTTAGGAATAGACACAGTAGCCAAAAGTAGAGCTAACGTTGGGTCATGGAAAGAAAAGAAACTTTGAAGTCAGATTGACCTGGATCTTCCAGGAGCCAATGCTTCTCTGACTTTATTAAGCACAGAATCACAGGGGGGCTGGAAGGGTGGGGCGTCTTGTTAGTGTGCAGATTCTGACTGCCTAGGACTAAAGTGGGGCCTGGTATTCTGCATTTTCAACAAGCTCCCATGTGATGCTAACACTGCTGGCCATGGACCATGGGCCACACTTTAGAGCACATAGCTTAATTTACCCAAACATAAGATGGGGCTGGCAACCCATCTCTTTGAGAGGCTATACTGAGAGGCTGTAGGGACACTGAATTGTGATCAAATGTGAACCTCGGCCTGATTGCCTCTCCCTCTCCTTTGGTGGGGTAAGAGTTCAGGTTAACAAATTCTGGAAAGAACCTTTGAGGTAGTTTATATCCTCACCTCTTTTCCAGAATGGTAGATTTAACAGAAAGGTCTTCTGGTGCAGGTAACTAGTCTTCCTCTTGGAAACCTCCAAGTTCCAGGAGCAGCAAGGAGTCTCTTTTGGGTAAGTGACATAATTCTGTTCCATTCCCACTGGTCACTGCTGCTCTGTTAACCATTACATGCTCAATAGATGTTGCCTACACTAAAATATGACAAACAAGTGAACAGACACATAAGCCAAAAAATGCAAAAACAGGCAATCAAGCTTAATTCAAGTCTTATTATTTCATATGTGTAGCATTCTCAAGCTTGGGTCTTTGCATTGTGTTTTATAGTGTGCAGACAATCACGGCTGGCATTTCTAAAGGGAGAAAGCAGAGGAAAAGAAAAACCACGACTTGACCGTGAATGAGGTTTTGGGATAACAACAGACTTCTTGGCTGGTCATTCACAACCATCCATTATATGACCTCCACCTGATTCTCTGGCCTTCCCTCTCACCACAGCCTTGTCCCACCATGCTCAGTCCATGCCATGCTGCTTCCTGGTCCTGAACAATCTGTCTCCCTGTCCTACCCCAGGGCATTTGCACACACTATTCCTACCACTTTGAATCCTCTTCTCCACTTATCTGGGATATAAACACTGGCCCATCTTTCAAGACCTCATAGGTAAAGTCCTTCCTGACCCCTCCCCTGAAATGACCCCTCCCTGCTCTGGCCTGCCCCACCATACCCCCTCAGATTGCCACCACTTGTACCTATTTATAATCTGTTTCTGTGTCTGTTTCTGGCTCCTATACTGTGTTCACTGAAGCAGTCACCATGCCCTGTTTATCTGTATGTGCAGAGGTCACACCTCTATCTTAGGAGGTCTTAGTCTTTTATTTTTTCTTTCTGAGACAGAGTCTCACTCTGTCTTTCAGGCTGGAGTGCAGTGGCATGATCATGGCTCACTGCACCCTTGACCTTCTGGGCTCAAGTGATCCTCCCACCTCAGCCTCCCAAGTAGCTGAGATCACGGGCATGTGCCATCACATATGGCTTTTTTAAAAAAAAAAAAAAAAAAAAAAGTTCTGGGATACATGTGCAGAACGTGCAGATTTGTTGCATAGCTATATATGTGCCATGGTGGTTTGCTGCACCTATCAACCCATCATCTAGGTTTTAAGCCCCGCATGCATTAGGTATTTGTCCTAATGCTCTCCCTCCCTTTGTCCCCCACCCCCCAACAGGCCCTGGCGTGTGATTATTTTTCGTAGAGACAGGGTCTCACCATGTTAACGAGGATGGTCTCGAACTCCTAGGCTCAAGCAGTCCTCCCATCTCAACTCCCAAAATGCTGGGATTACAGGCATGAGCCACTGTACCCAGCTTTAGTCTTTTTTGAATAAATGAATCTATCCTTGTGGCAACACTACATCAATGCCTAACTCTATGCCCTGATCACATGAAATTGCTTTTTCTTATTTTGCTGATATGTCTATTTCCCCATTAGACTGTGAGCTCCTTGAGGATGGGTCCTGGGCCCTACCTCTTCGGTACCTGTTGACCCCCAAATATTTGTTTAATGAATACAAGTTGCTTTGGATCAAAGGCCAATAAGCCTCCCTCACAATACAAAGAATAAATGCATGATGATAAAGATTTTTAAAGGTTGTCAAGTGCATGTGTTGATTTATGGAACAAATTAATACGACAGCATCAACACTTCCAGCCCTGCTGAATCAGTTTCAGCAATTATGTGTACCCAAGGCAGGGCACAGCTGCTTGCGAGACGCGACATGAAAGAGGTCTCCCTTGGTTTGCTCAAAGGTCTTCAAGATATTTTTAGTTGACAAACAACCATGTGTCACTCATCAGTAAACCAAATTGTACAATTTGTTAGACAGTCTCTCATATTAATTTTGAAGGCTCTGTATGTGGCTTCAATCCCCCTGGGTGCTGAGTCTACCCCAAAGCCAGAGGCAGGACACATATACACTTGAAAAACCCTGACCCCATGGCTTCTTTTACCCACAGTCTTATCCCACCCATGTCAGTGCAATTTTGCACCAACTTCCACAGGGAATTAACAACATGGTATAGATAATCAGTAAATTCTCTAAGAACCCCTGAAAATATCTAATGGTATGGGAGCTATCTAAGCTCTCCTGCCACAAAGTCTATTTAGAAGTTTTATCAAAAGAGACTATATAGTACACATTAAATGTTGCATGTGTGTGATGCGTATAGACACTGATCGTTCTGAGCCTCCAGCAATCCCCCAGATAACCCATCTCTGAGCCAATGGGAAGGGGCTTTGGAAAGGGAGCTATGGCATTTTAAAGCAAATCTCACAGGTGCCCGGAGATTCTGGAAGGTCACCGCATGAGCCGACATGCTGACTTCCTGGTACCCAAGGCTCAAGCAAGGTAACAACGAATCTTGCAACGAGGCTCGCCTTGTCACAGAGCCAGCCTTCAGATGCGAGAGAGCAGCAGAAAATCACTTGTGACCTTTTCAACGCAGTTGCTCCCTCACCTCAACTGCCCCATCTCCCAAGCTCTCCACAGGAATGGACTCTCCCTCCTGTCTTCTGGGGGTAAATATTTTTAAATAGGATTGCTTAATTTTATATATGCAAAAACTAGTTGTAAAATATGTGGGGAAAAATATAGTGGAAAGCAGAAGCAGAAGCACATTCAGAATATCCACAGCAATTATAACGCATCTAAAAATATGTTTCACAAGACAAATACAAGTGCTTTCTATGAAAATGTTCTAAAAGGCATTTTCAAAAGACCTAAAATGAGAGATTATATTATTGGATGTGAAGACACACACTGTGTATTTCTTTACTCTTCCCCAAATTAATTCATGAGTATGATGCTATGTCAGTCGGAATTCCAATGGTTGTTATTTTAACTGAACAAATTGATCATTAAGGTCACTTGGAAAACAAATGTGCAAGAATAGTAAAGATGCTATGTAAAAAAAATACAGAAAGGAACTTGAGAGCAAGTTTCAGATACTGAAATGTATATTAATCTAAAATAATTAAAAAGATTTAGTAAGGATGGGGTTAGGATACAGCAACACCCTTCAGGCTATTTCACAGCCGATAGAGAAATAACTAAGACACGGAGACCAGGGGAACCCCGGAGGCCAAGCAGGAAGTCAGAAGGAGCAGCCGGATGGGGACCTGGAATTGACAGGGCAGCTGCTTGCTAGGTCTGCTTTGCTGAGTGCTATCAGATGTCTCTCAGCCCACTAACATATGTGACGGGAAAGAAATATATATATAAGGATTCCCAAATATTTCTTGCCCCTCATCTTTAAGGAAAACAAAAGAGTATGGTACCAGCAAATAAACAAACATAAATCAGCGTAAGAGAAGGAAGTACAAAAAACACCTGTTACATATGAAAACTCAGTGAGTAGAAAATGGCTTTTCACATCAATCAGGAATAAACAGACTATTTAATAAAGTGTGTTGAAAAAATCAGCGATCTTTTGGAAAGAGATGATTGATATAAACATACGTATTTATAGATTACTATCTCACTCCGCACATAAAAATAAAATTTCAGTGGCTTAAAAATATAGCTGTAAAATCACTACAAAGAAATGTAGAATTATTAAGACACGAGATAAAGAAGGCCTTTTTTGCCTTTTTCTTTCTTTAAATATTTTTTTTAAATGTCACAGAAAACCCAGAAGCTATTAAGAGGGGGACAGTAATTGACACATCTGGCTACATAAAAACTTAAACCCTCTACCAGCCTGGGCAACATGGCAAAACCCCATCTCCACCAAAAATACAAAAATTCACCAGGCATGGTTGCACGCGCCTGTAGTCCCAGCTACTCGGGAGGCTGAGGTAGGAGGATTGCTTGATCCCAAAGTCAGAGTATGCAGCGAGCCAAGATTGTACCACTGCACTCCAGCAACCCTGTCAAAAAAAAAAAAAATCCTTAAACCTACTCCTTGTTGAAAGACATGCCAGATAAAGGCAATATATTTACAACTGGAAAAGGATAAATAGCTATAATATGTTGAAAATGCCTAATAAACAATGAAAGGAAAAGCACTCAACTTTAACCGATCAAATTTCAAGTAGGCAATTCACAAAAGAAGAAATAGCCTATCAGTTTGTTTAAAGATTCTCAATCTCTTTAGCAATTAAAAATATATATACCAAAGCCATATTTTCCCTACAGGACTGAAAACAGGTTGGTGAGGGTGTGGAAACATCGTCCTCTTGTCCATTCACAGTGGAAGTTGAAATTGATGCAACCCTTTTGGAATGCAATTATCTAATATCTATTGAAAAACTTAGTCCTTGACCCTGCATTTTATTTCTGAGACTTTCTCAGTCAAAAATATTCCCTCCTATACTCAGAAATACAATGCCACATGATTTGTAAATAGTAAAAATGGGGGGATATATTTTTTTCTTGAGTCAATTGTGTAAAATTACATAATATTCTTCAGTGAGTAGAAAGAATGAGTTAAATCTAAGTAAAATGATATGAACAGATGTCCATAATATGAATACTGCCTGACACTTCCCATTTAAATTCAAGACTACGGACTTGCTGTATAATCACTTCTATATTGCATCCATATCTTCTTTCTTCCACACGAAAAATAACAGTTCTCAAGACACAAGAGATTAATTTTCATATCTCATAATTATTCATTTGCTTCATCCCACATTACATACATAACAATTTCGGAATAACAACATTAATACAACCTCCACCAATATGATTTCTGAAAGTCAAAAAGAAATTGTTTTTGCATTTGATCTTCTTATTCTCCTCCCATTTTTATATATTTACATGGTCAGAGCATTTAGCAACTACAGACTATTCTCCGTCCCTTTAAGAAAAAAAAAAATTGGCAGGGTGCAGTGGCTCACGCCTGTAGTCCCAGCACTCTGGGAGGCCAAGGCGGGCAGACCACCTGAGGTCGGGAGTTCAAGACCAGCCTGACCAACATGGAGAAACCCCGTCTCTACTAAAAATAAAAAATTAGCCAGGCATGGTGGCACATGCCTGAAATCCCGGCTACTTAGGAGGCTGAGGCAGGAGAATCGCTTGAACCCAGTAGGCGGAGGTTGCAGTGAACCAAGATCACGCCATTGCACTCCAGCCTGGGCAACAAGAGCGAAATTCCATCTCAATATATGTTTAATGCTTACCACTAGTCCTTATGTTATCTTTCTAGTTGTTTGGGTCATCTGAACTTCATTTGCCAATGGATTTCTCTTTAAAGACTCAAAAGAACTGTATTTCTTGAGTTCTTGCATACAGGTAGTAGTCTGTTCCCTTTTACAGTTGAATGTCAGTGCTGATGGGCATAAAATCCTTGGCTTACACATTTTTTCTTCAGTATATTTAATGTTACTCCTTTGTCTTATGTAATGAAGCATCACTTTGTAAAACTGTCATGACAATCTCATTTTGTTACCCTTTAAAATCACTGGTTCTTTGGGCCTAGATGCCTACAGGACTTTTTTTCTTTATGGATCAGTAATTTTACTGGGATACATCTTGGAGTTGTTTTATTTCCGTATCTCGGGACTAAAGTATGGTCTTTCAATATGGAGTTTTTAAATCATATTTTATTTCAGGAAAGCTTTATTTTATAGTTTTGGTATTTATTCTGTTCTTTTGCTTTGGTTTTCTTCTTCAGGGACTCCTACTGTCTACATGTTGGATTTTGCTTATCTTTAATATTTGCCTCTCTCTCTTGAATTTTTTCTATTTTCATTTGTCTTTCATTTTTAATTTTTTTCTTTTCACTTCTATTTCAATTAAGACATTTACAATTGACGTTCTCTTCAGTTCCTTCCAGTTTAGTCTTTATTTTTTTTAATATGTGATTCTTTCTTGAGTTCTGTCACTTGGATTCTGAGTTTTTCTCATTCTGATTTATGGCTTTCTTTCAAACATTGTATTATAATGTATTTCATACATTAGAAACAGAAGGTTATACTTTTGTTGTTTTGTGGCTTCTTTGTCTGCAGAAATGCTATTCTGCTCCTTATTCTTTTGCTCTCTTACAAAAACTTTGGATTGACTTTGGTCTTGATTCTTTCCTGTGGCTTATTTTCATGTAAAACTAATTTTCCTGAACTTCTAGGAGGCATTGTTCAGAAGTTAGAAACAGACTTCACAGGACTCCTTCTTCTGTTGTTTTTGTCTAGTCAAAAATACGTGGCTTGCTCTCAGAGATTTCCTGGCCCTGTTTTCTCCTCCCTCTTTTGAGACAGTCTCGCTCTGTCGCCCAGGTTGGAGTGTAGTGCCACGATCTCGGCTCACTGCAACCTCCACCTCCCAGGTTCAAATGATTCTCCTGACTCAGCCTCCCGGGTAGCAGGGATTACAGGCGCCCGCCACCACGCCTGGCTAATTTTTGTGTTTTTAGTAGAGATGGGGTTTCACCATGTTGGCCAGGCCGGTCTCAAACTCCTGACTTCGTGATCCACCCCACTCGGCCTCCCAAAGTGCTGGGACTACAGGCGTGAGCCACCACACCCAGCCTGTCTTCCCACTCTTATCTGGACTTTATCTTTGTCTCTACCATCCTTGTCTGGCTCAGTTTTGATTCCACAGTCAGCAGTTTCTCATGCATGTGGGAGCCTCGCCTAGAAGGGGATCTTGGGCCGTCAGTTCTAAGAGCCCACTAGGGCTTCCCTTGCATGGTCCCTCTATAGGTTTGAGCAAAATCTCTCCCAGGATTGGCTGGATTCTCTAATTTGCCTGCCATCTGCAATAAATATTGGCTAATTTTTGATTTCCCTGCACTCAGGTTTATCGAAGACTCCATTTCTTCTGCTGCTTCTGCTCACGCAGATGCTAATACCGTGCAGATCACGTGGCTGTCAGTGATTTTTTCCCCCCACCGTGTTTTGGGATTTGTGAAGATACCTTAGTAGCTAACTTTGTTATAAATGTTCTTTATGTACCTTTGGTTTTGTTCTCTAATTGCTTCATCTGGTTTCTGAGGGATCTAAGGACATTCCAAAACTATGCTGCTGACATTGATGGTTTTCTTCATTTGGGTTTTTTTTTTTTCTGTAGACTTTCTACACTCATATTTTTTTAAAAAGTGGCTGGGCACAGTGGCTTACGCCTGTAATACCAGCACTTTGGGAGGCCAAGACAGGCAGATTACTTGAGGTCAGGAGTTTGAGACCAGCCTGGCCAACATGGTGAAACCTCGTCTCTACTAAAAATACAAAAATTAGCCAGATATAGTGGCGCATGCCTGCGATTCCAGCTACTCGGGAGGCTAAGGCATGAGAATCACTTGAACCTAGGAGGCGGAGGTTGCAGTGAGCCAAGATCGTACATCTGCACTCCAGTCTGGGCAAGAGTGAGACTCTGTCTTAAAAAAAAAAAAAAAAATTAAAAACTTTATTTATTTTTAGAGACAGGGTCTCACTCTGTCACCCAGGTTGGAGTGCAGTGGTACAATCACAGCTCACTGCAACCTCAAATGCCTTGTGGGCTCAAGCAATCCTCCCACCTCAGCCTTCCAAGTAGCTAGAACTAAAGGTACAAGGTACCATGCCCAGCGATTTTTTTTTTTTGGTAGAGACGGGGTCTCGCTATGTTGCCCAGGCTAGTCTCAAACTCCTGACCTCAAGCCATCCTCTTGCCTCATAGGCATGAGCCACTGCACACAGTCAACATTGACTTTTTACTGTGTGAATTTTTGTAGTCTTCGAGTTTTTCACGATGAAGCACTACTTTTTTAAATTTATATCTCGGTTGATACATCACTTCTCCAGGAACACTATCCCTGATCTACCCTACCCTAATACCAGATATCAACATTATTACCCTCGGTGTAATGTGTCACAGCTCTTTGTATCCTTCCTTCACGTCACTACTCTCAGTTTCTCATTATAAAAGTGTGTGATCATTTTACAGTTGAGGAAACTGAGAGCTTGAGAAGCAGAGGTAATTTTCCCAAAGAAATGAAGCTGTTGGAAGTTAGGAAATTCATCCAGATCTGTCCAACACCAGGGCCCTGCCTTCCTGTGTGTGGCATTGCCCCGCAAGAGCCGGAGGTAATTCTCCAAAGACTGCAGTAGGCAGACACCGGTGTGAGGGCAGTATGCAGGGTGGAGCCAGAGGCTGCAGAGAAAATGTTTCCCTAGCTGAAAACCAGGACATCAGTGCTTAGCATGGAGGTCCCTGTGGGTCAGCATGGAAGCAAATCTATCTCATGTAAGAGGCAGTAATATACAATGGTTAAGTGCACGGCCCGTGGAGCAGGGACACCTAGGTTCAAACTCTGGCTCTGCAATCTAACAGACCTCGAGAGAAAATTACACACCTGCTCTGTGCCTCAGTTTTCTCATCTGCAGAATGGACAGAAAATAAGAGTTATTTCGCTGTTATTTTGCAGATCCATTAAGTTAATATACATAAATCACTTAGAACATTGCCTGGCATATGATAAGTTCCCAACAATTTTAGCTATCATTATTACAAAAGAATGGGGGTGGGCTGGGGAGAGGCTCAGAGTCTTCTGAGATTGGGGCTGTGTTTGGTTTTATTTTTCCCTTTAGCTGCATCCTCTGTGCATATGGCTCCTGATACTAAGCCCCCATATTTGCACCCAAAAGAGCCCCCGATCTGGTCATATCATCCAGACCAATCAGAGTTGAGAGGTTGGTTAAGGAATCAGCATTCAGAAAAACTAGTTCCTTCTGGCCTTTGATAGACTCTCATTGGGTTTTTCTGGATTTCCCCCTCAGCCTAAGTCCACAGCTTGAAGCTTCTGATAAAATTCTAAAATTCCTCCTCATCTCACCTCAGATAGGTGGGGGAAAATCAAGTTTGTCTACTTCAGAGTGTCTTGATGGCTGACATTAAAGGCAGCATCAGCCCAGCCCGCAACAATGGGAAAATTTCAGGATTGAGGCTATGAGAACAGGTGAGAGTTCCTCACTCACTAAGGAGAATATCGGAATGACCCAGCATCTTACCCACCCTATAGCCTGTTACTTAGCAGCATCTCTTGCTAGGGTATGGAGGGCTCACAGAACTTCGTTTCCACCTAGTGCTGCATTTTAAGAGAATACACCTTACCTTTAACCAAACAAGTGACTTTCTAATGGTGTGATCTCAGGCACCATGGCAGATAGATGAAGCGATGGTTGTCAGCAACCTTCAAACACTCTTCAACTAGAGCTCAGGTCCCCAAGCCAGAGCGAGGATGGGGTGTGGTCTAGGCAGTAACCTCAACAGAGAGAGAGTGGAAGTCCCATGTGAGTGATGGGGCTGGATAACTTGTGCGGGAGTGAAGACCCGGGAGCCTCAAGTGCTGAGACAAGCAGACATCACTGACCACTCCAGAAAAAAAGCAAGATGCCCAAAAGATGGAAAAAATTGGGAAAATGACAAAGAAAAACCAGAATCTGGTGGGAGCTACCTGCATATACTTCTGTAGTGGCAAATGCCAAAGACACAGGAGACTAACAGGCAAGGATAAGGTGGAGCGTTAGCTTCCGGGTGTCAATAACCCACAGGGAAACACCAGCCAGAAATTACCTTCCTACAGGGCAGGGGAGTGGGGTGAGAAGGTTAGGAGTAGACAGACCCTAGTGGGGAGAGGCTCTCTAGTAGCCAGCATAATGTCACAGTGAGATCCTCAGCACTGATGCCTGAAGGTGCATCAACAGCTGTACACCCCAGGCTACCAAGAATGGTGTTATCCCACATTTAAGATGAAGAAACTCAAAGAGGCCAAGGGACATGCCAAGGATCCCACAATGACACATCAGTGGGCAGCAAATTCAAATCCACGTCCTGTTGCTCCAAAGCCTTTGCTCCTCATGACTGGACCAGGGTCTAACTCCTGACTCTGTCACCACCTTGCTGTGTGACCTTGTCCTGATGGCTTAGCCTCTCTGAATTTAAAACCCTTCATCTCAGAAACAGAGATGATTCCTTCAAGTCATATGTGTTTTGTATCTAGTGCAGTGCCTGGTGCCTAGAAAGCTTTGGTCTATCTGTGCCAACTTCCTGCCATCCATCATCCACTGCCATCTGCACATGATCTTTCAAGCAACCATTAATCTGCTGCCATCCTCCATCTTACCTGCCTCATTCTTTTCATTAAATCTATAGAAACTGCCTCCTAGAAAGAGTTATACAGCATTTGTGGAAAGTACATGGGGAAAGATTACAGTTTCATCAATGAATTCCAATAATTTTGACTTCCCTCCATGACATTTCAGAGCAGCCAAAATATGTGCTTTTCCTAGAGAGTCAACTGACATTTGGAAAATTATGTTTTCTGTCTTATTGCAGGGAGATAATCCATCTAACCCTTAAACATCTGTCAATAAACCTGAGCAGGAGACCAGCTGAGAGGCCAACCCTCTGATGGCCTCCAAGACTTTATCTGGAAGAATTCAGGGAGACCTGGCTGTGTGGCAGGGGAGGACAGGGCCCAGGAGTGCTATCACCTATGGATTCTCCTCCTGACTGCAAGAGTCAGAAGGGCTTTCTGACATGTTATGGCTCTATCTTTGCATTTCACAGACAGGGAAACTGAGGCCCAGAGAGGAGAAGCCACTTGTCCACATAACTGCTAAGCCTGAAACTTGCACTGATAGTCCAGGACATCAGTAGCCTGTCCTTAGGGAACTAGGGATTGCCCGTCATCCAAAACAAATCCAGGCTCCATCAATTGTTGGCAGGACGCTGGGTCCACAGCAAGTCTGTTTAGCCTTAGTTTCCTGATGTGGTAAAATGGGAATGACAAAGTCATCCTCACAGGATTTAAAGAAGTGAGGATGTGAACACACTGGTACAAATCTTTGCCAATAGTAGGCACTCAAATACAGTTTCATTTCGTTGGTTTTTTTTTTTTTCTTTTTCTGGAGAGACAGGGTCTCGCTATGTTGCCCAGGCAGGACTCAAACTCCTGGCCTCAGCAATCCTCCTGCCTCAGCCTCCTGAGAAGCTAGGGTTACAGGCACATGCCACAGCATCTAGCTAATTTTTTTTTATTTTTTGTAGAGATGGGGTCTCACTTTGTTTCCCAGGCTGGTCTTGAACTCCGGGCTTCAGGCAATCCTCCCACCTCAGCCTCCCAAAGTGCTGGGATTACAGGCATGAGCCACTGTACCCAGCCCATTCCTCTTCTTGTCTAGAAGCAGATCTTGGCACAAGGATTTAAATGCAAGTTGTTTACTTAAGAAATGATCCCAAGAAGCCCCAGATGGGGAGTGGGAAAGTCGACAGGAAGGAGAGAAAGCCCACATAGAGAATATTAATAAGTAGGACACACTCTGGGCTCCCAGGCCCAATCCCTCTGGTGACCTCTGGAAGACACTGTGGAGCCCCCCTTTCATCCTTGCTGAGGATGAGGAAGCTAATTATCTGTACGCTAACTCTCATCCTTTGCTGGCTGAGGGCTGCTCCTAGGGGCCTCACTCAACTCTGCAGCACTTCCTGCCTGCCCTGAGCACCAGCTGAGCAAGCCCCAGAAGACCCTGGGAAGGGAAGTCACAGGTGCTTGCCGCTGGAAGCCATCTACGTGCGTACGAACAATGAGCACCAGTGGAAGACCGGCACTGCACTGGGAGCAGCTGCCACAGCCCAGCCCTTGTGCCACTCAGCTCCAACCATGCTCCAAATTCAGCTCACTCTCTTCTGTCACTGGATTTTCAATGTGATAACAGGTTACAGTTTCTTGTATACATAAATAAGCAAAGAAATTTAGAACAGTGGGAATCCTCCCACCTCAGCCTGCACCTGCCACTGAGCCTAGCTATTTATTTTTTACTATTTTTTGTTATCGGGGTCTCACTATGTTGCCCAGGCTGGTCTTGAACTCCCAGGCTCAAGTTATCCTGCTACCTCAGCCTCCCCAAGTGTTAGGATTACATGTGTGAGCTGCTACACCTGGTCCAGTGTGGTTCTTTATGCAAAGAAAGGCGAGGCACCCAGGCTGGAGTCCATGATAATTCAAACAAATTTAGAACAGTTCTTGCTGGGACAGTTGGTACTGAGGTTATCATTAATATTCATCATTGGCCCAGCGCAGTGGCTCACACCTGTAATCCCAGCACTGTGGGAGGCCGAGGTGGGTGGATCACCTGAGGTCAAGAGTTCGAAACCACCCTGGCCAACATAGTGAAACCCCATCTCTACTAAAATACAAAAATTAGCCAGGCGTGGTGGCAGACGCCTGTAATCCCAGCTACTCGGGAGGCTGAGGCAGGAGGATTGCTTGAACCCAGGAGGCAGAGGTTGCAGTGAGCCCAGATTGTGCCACTGGACTCCAGCCTGGGAGACAGAGTAAGACTCCGTCTCAAATACATATATACATACACACATATATATACACATATACATACACACATATATATACACATATACATACACACATACATACACACATATATACACACATATACATATATATACACATATATATACATATACACATATATACACATATATAATATACACACATATATATACATATATACACATATACACATATATACATATATACACACATATATACACACATATATACACATATATACATATACACACATATATACATATACACACATATACACACATACACACACATACACACACACATACACACATACACACACATACACACACACATACACATACACACATACACACACATATACACACATACATGTACACATACACACATATACACATATACACACATATACATATATACACACATATACATATATACACACATATATATACATATATACACATATATACATATATACACATATGTACATATATACATATATACACACACATATATGTGTATATACACACATACATATATACATATATAGATACATACATATATACATATATATACACATACATATATACATATATATATATTCAACCTCCTTGTTATAGGCTATAGTGTATCCCCCAAAAAATTCATATGTTGAAGTCCTAACCCCCAGTAGCTCGGAATGTGACTATTTGGAGACAGGGCCATGAAAGAAATGATCAAAATAAAATGAGCTCAATTACGGTGGTTGGTCCCTAATCCAATATGACTAATATCTTTATAAGAATAGTCCTTTTGGACACATATGGGCACAGAGGAAAGACCATGTGAAAACACAGACACAAGATGGCCATTGACAAGCCTTTAGAAGAAACCAACCCTGCCAATACCTTGATCTTGGACTTCTAGCTTCCAGAACTGTAGACACTGTATCTGTTGTTTAAGCCACGTGGTCTACGGTAATTTGTTACGGCAGCCCTAGAAAGCTAATACAATCCTCTGCCACCCCTTCTAGAATCCCCCTGGGCAGTTCTTCTATTCATTCAGGCTCTTGCCATTCCATTCCTAAAGGGTCTGAGTTCCAGGTACCATGTCCTGGTACCATACCTGTCACTGCTTGTTCATGGCTATCTCCAGGATTGCAAGCACCAAGAGAGGCCCCAGGGTATCCCCTGAATTCTAGACTTGCTCTTTCCTGCCCCAGCTGTGTAGCAACTCTACCTCCATGGGATAGTCATTGTGATAACTCATCATTACCCCTGCCAGTATTTTAACTCCTTTCTCTGGCAGCTGGTCCACGAGCACAGAGGAGCCCAATGTGACCAGGCAAAGGCTGTGATTTTAGGGGAACCCTTGCTGTATTCCCTGGGAACCAGGACTTCAGTTCAGCAGAGCCTAAAGTAGCAAGGATAGGAAATGCAAATCCCCCACATGAGTCCCTGGGAGTGATGGTGACAGGACCCACTTCCACATCCGGTTCTTGTTCTCACTCCAGGTGCCATATCACCCCATAGTTGGATCCAACCACCTTCTACTAAGTGGGTCTCACAGGTTTTGCGCCAGTGACTGAGGGCAGTCCTAAGCTCCATCAACCTCCCCTTTTACTCCTAGCAGCTCATGGATGGGGTTCAAGGAGCGAGTCAACAGCCTGAGCTGTCATCTGAACCAGAACAGTGTTTGGCACACAAAGTATGTGCTAAAAACATAAATGTGGGGGTGGTAGGTGCCTGATGACGGGCTAATATGCTTTACACGGAGAACAGCCCCCACCCTCCATCCCCTGGGAAGCTCTGACTCATCCATCAAGACCTGCCCCTGCCATCCAGCTCCCCCCTGCAGCCTCCCCTGACATGAAACACTGGAGAGGGACAGCCACACACAGCTACTGCAAGGATGAAAAATGATTATGCAGGACTGACTGTTCTGTTCAAAGTGATATGTGCACGTGATCTCCTTCAGTCTGTGCGAGCCCACCTGAGGTGAGGAAACTGACTCGGGAGGTTAGGGAACTTGCCCAAGATAACTTAGCCAAGGGTGAAAGCCCTGAGGTGGGAACAAACACTGCTTCCTTCCAGAGCCCCTGCTCCGCACTTGAGAAGAGAAGTGACCAAGAGGTGAGCCTCAGACAGAGGGTTGAGGGAAAGGGGAACCAAGCCACACTTTTGTTTGTTTTTAAGAGACAGGGTCTTGCTCTGTCGCCCAGGCTGGAGTGCAGTGGTACAACCATGGTCACTGCAGCCTTGACCTCCTGGGGTCAAATAATCCTCCCACCTCAGCCTCTCAAGTAGCTGAGACTACAGGCACATGCCACTGTGCCCAGCTAAGTTTTAATTTTTTGTTTTAAGAGATGGGGTCCCACTATGTTGCCCAGGCTTATCTCAAAATCCTGGGCTCAAGCAATCCTCCTGCCGCAGCCTCCCAAAATGTTAGGATTACAAGTGCGAACTACCATGCCCAGTCCAGTGTGGTTCTTTATACAAAGAGAGGTGAGGCACCCAGGCTGGAGTGCACAGTCATGTGCCTTCTCCCTTCCCACCCCTTTGCTGGGGTCCCCTCCCTCCTCACTGCACCCATTGTACTTGCTGTTTCCACCAAAGCACATGTTCAGTTTGTCTGAACAATTGAGTTAACATTGTTGGGGGTGGAGGTGGAAGCAAGAGAGAACAGGTCTGTGCCTCCCTTGACCCAAAGCACACCCCACCCCTGCCCAAGGAGCCCTGCTTGAGAAACCAGCTTTAAGAAATCCGGCTCTGAAGTTTGGCTGAAAAGTGTAGCCAAAATATCCCACAAATGTCCTACTTTTCAGTGTGTAAAGTTAAAAAAAGTTTTTAGGAAACAGGTGTGTTTACTCTGAACGCAAAACAGCATTTGGTTCCCTTTTTTTATCTATATCTTTAAGACAGTCACAGCCGGGAAGGCTACTGGGTGGCATTTACAATTATGAGCAGGTTGATGCAGCATCGCCTGCCAAGGTGCCGCACTGAGGAACAAAAAGGAGCTGTTTGGAGGTGACAGGATGTCACGGGCCCCATGCCATTCCTCAGCCGTTGTGGGGCAGGGTTGCAGGAGCCCTTTGAGAACACAGAACGTTCTTTCTGCACAGCATGTGGCCTCTGCTCTGTATCGCTTGGATAAAAGGATGGAAATGCTTTCCATTGATGCTGACATTCAGCCTTGTTTCATGGTTTCCATAGAACCCATTGCTTAACTGTCTTATGACCAAAATAAAAGAGACAAGGCTTAAGGGGCACCTAGACGTGTCCCCCGCGTCTGGAATAATGGAGCTGGCATTGCAATGAGATCATTATGCTTTGTATTGAGCAAAGACAGGGCTCTGGGCCTGGAAGCTTTGATTAAGAAGGGGTAGGTGGGGTGGTCTACACCTGCCCTCAGCTGGTTTCCAAAGCTGCAAGGCTGGGAAAGAAAGCGCGCAATGCCACAAAGTTCTGGACACAGCCAAGGGGAATGAGTGTCAGTGGAGGATGCCTGATTGCAAGCCCCTTGAACAAATGGTATAATAGGTGGAGACTGGGTTTGGGATTCCCGCAGACCCGGTGGAAGCCCCTCTCTGCCACTTAATGGCTGTACAACCTTGCATATTGGCCTTTCCTTCTCTGAGCTTTCGTTTCTTCATCTGCAAACTGGGGATGACAATACCCATCTCACAGGATCAGTGTGTGTCTTAGGTCGGGTTCCCCAGAAGCAGACCCTGAGATGAGGATTTAGATCAAAGTGATTTTGTAGGAAGCTTCCCAAGAAAACCAGTAGGGTAGAGGGAAAAGGGAATCAGAAAGAAAGATCAGGCAAAGACGCTGTATCAAGGTTTCTTTGTGGCCTGTGGACCTACAGTGACCATCACAACACCTGGAGTTTGTTAGAAACCCAGAATGTTGGTGTCCACCCTGACCTACTAAATCAGAATCTACCGAGAATCAGAATCTAACAAGATCCCCAGGGGGTTGGAAAACACTGGTGTAGGACAAGCCTCAGAGATGCCCCATCCAGGAGGATCAGTCCTTGGTTAAGGAACACCCAGGCTGGTGGGGGGGGCAGCGTGAATTCCCAGGCAGCTCCAGGTCCCCACTCTGGCTGCCTGAGGGCAGCCCTCTGCTGGGGGAGACGCAGGTGTGGGCTGTTGGAAGCAAAAGCACAAATGCACAGAAGCAGGTGCTCGGGAAATGGTGACCCTGGTGAGGGGCCGGGCCAGGGAACTGACAACTAATGCTAAGGTGTGGCACTGAAGGGAGCTGGTCAAAGCCCTGGCCTCCCTTTGGATTTCAGTTCCCACTGGTTTCCTGCCCTTTCTTCCCTCCCTTCATTCCTTCAAAGTCAGTCAGAGCCCAGCTGAGCACCTCTTACTCCTCCTGCTGCGGATGACGGGGTCACCTCTCACGGTCTTGCCAAGAAGACCCTTCTCTAAAACCTTATTTCCACATCTGAGTCTCACATCTTTGACTTGTCCCTTCTCCCTCGGTGTCCATGGGCCACCTGTTCTGCCAGCCTAGGGAGGGAAGCTCAGCATAGAGGCTCCCAGGAAGAAAGGTGCTGGGGTTTGGCGGGAGGGAGGTTGTAGGTGGATCCCCGTTACAGTATCATGCGTTTAGTTTGGGTCCCTAGCACCCTCCCCAGCCGCCTCTGCTGATGTCACCCAGCCTGGTCCCAGACATGACTGAAGCCCAGTGTGAGGGGCATGGAGCACAGGTGTCCCTTCAGTGCCACACAGCAGGGGCGCTCATGCCAGCCCCACAACCATGGGTCACATCACCCCCTGCTCCTCCCTCTCTCCTAGCATGCCCAGACCTCTCGCCTCTCATTCCCACCTCAGTGTCCCCACCTTTCATGCCATTTCCCCCAGAGACTGGAGACCTGCTTGAGGCTCGGCCTGCTGGCCCTGGCCCTGGCCCTGGACCTGAGATCCTTTCCCCACCCACTCTAGCCTGGATCTTGTTCCTCCCACAGAACTCATCCCCCGGACATGGTCTAAAATATCCTGCTGCCTGGCCCCCAACTCCACTGCACAGTGATACACTCTTTCTTTTGCATGACCCTGGCTGGGGTTCCACCCCGGAGGGAACCAGCCTAACTGCTCAAGTGATTTCTCCTGCCTTGGCGTCATCTGGACATGACTCCCTCCGCCTTACAGCTCTCAGAAGCCGTGAAACTCCAAAGTAACTGGCAAGGCCAGCTTCATTGGCATGGAACTGACCTGGGCTGTCACCCAGGGCCTGCACTTGGTTTAATGTTCTGCTATCACCACCTTATGGTGATTATTTTTAAACATGAGTTCCCTCCCTGCAGGCCCTTCCAACCTGCCTTCTTTCCTCTACCTCTCCCACCACTCCCCGCCCCCTTCATTGCCCTGCCCTAAGAGCCCAATAGATGGTGACCCCTTAGCTAGGAAAGCGAGGTTGTCATGGTTCAAGAATGGCCTAGGTTGGGAACAAGCACAGTGGCTCACACCTTTAATCCCAGCACGTTGGGAGGCCAAGGCGGGTGGATCACCTGAGGTCAGGAATTTGAGGCCACCCTGGTCAACATCGTGAAATCCCGTCTCTACTAAAAATGCAAAAATCATTTGGGCATGGTGGCGGGCGCCTGTTAATCCCAGCTACTCAAGAGGCTGAGGTGGGAGTATTGCTTGAACCTGGGAGGCGGAGCTTGCGGTGAGCTGAGATTGCACCCCTCACTCCAGCCTGGGTGTCAGAGACTCCGTCTGAAAACAAAACAAAGCAAAAAAGTCCTTAGAGGCAGGGAGTCCTGTGTTCTACCCCTTGTCTGGCCGGGGCCCTGTGCCTGGGATTTATGTACTCTACACCTATGCCTGGTGTATTAATTTGTTTTCATACTGCTATAAAGAACTGCCTGAGACTGGGTAATTTATAAAGAAAAAAGGTTTAATTGACTCACAGTTGAGCACGGCTGGGGAGGCCTCAGGAAATTCACAATCATGGTAGAATGGGAACGGGAAAGCAAGGCACCTTCTTCACAAAGTGGCAGAAGGGAGAAGTGTTGGGTGAAGGGGGAAGAGCCCCTTATAAAACCGTCAGATCTCGTGAGAACTCACTCACTATCACAAGAACAGCATAAGGGAAACCGCCACCAGGATTCAATTACCTCCACCTGGCCTCTCCCTTGACACATGGGGATTATGGGGATTACAATTCAAGATGCGATTTGGGTGAGGACACAAAACCTAGCCATATCACCTGGGTAATCGGGTTAAGATGCAGGGACTCTGTCACCACCAAGAAAGGAAGTCTTGAGCAACCTGAGGTTCTCAGCCTTGTTTACAGCTGCCCTATGGTAGCCAGAGACAGAGTTCTCAGCCCTGGCTATAGAGAATCACCTGGGAGCTTTCAGTTTTCCTGATTCTATTGGTCTATGAGGAGGTCAAGGCACATAAAAGCTCCCCAAATGACTCTTACGTGCAGCCAAAGTTGAGCGGCACTGATCCAGGTGCTGTGTTGGAGGCAGAATGAGCATCCTGGTGCCCTGCTCTCCACCAGCACAACTGGACCCACTTAGCCACACAGTGAGACCAGGCCCCGCCCACCCTGCAGTAGAGGTGAAGCCCACCTGACCCCAAGGTCAGCAGCCCAGGGCACAGCCAGGGCCCTAGATGTTCTCCAGCCAGCTCCTCTGTTCTTCTCTCTGGCTCTTTTGGGATCCTGAGTCTTAACCTACCCTGCCCCCAGCTCTGGTCTCTGGATCCCCTGCCCCATCCACTTCCTTCTGGAGTAGCTACAGTGAGCAGAAGGAAGTGTTCATTATTTTGACACAAGTCAGGATGATCTCGTATAAAAATCAACTCAAACAGGAATGCACAAAGGCCTGATCCCACCACCCCAACCTCATCCCAACTGTTATCTCCACCTGGAAGTTAGTTCACTAGGTCTTTGAGGATTTCAGATCTCTACATAACCATGGATTGTGGACGGAAGACCCTAGAGGGTGGAGCAGAAGCTCTGAATTCAAGTCCTGGCTCTGTCACTTCCCAGCTGGCTTTTGTCAGTCACTTCCCAGCCATGCATGTAGACACCGATGATGGGTAAGAAGATGCTGTGAAGCAGCTGCTGCTTTTGCCTGTGTCATTCATTCCTCGCCCCCCGCATGTGGCTTTCACGGGGCTACAGGTCAAGGACTCCCCTCTCCCGGGTAGGAGGTGGACACCTGGCCCAAATGAGGCTGATCAGACCATCCCAGGAATTTCTATCTTGAACGGTGCAACCCAATAATTTAAAACAAACAAACCATTTAGCCCCTTCATCCCAACAGGGACAGCCTGAGTTCTGCTGGCTAAGTTCCCAGAGGGGCTGTGGTTTTGCCCTTTCCGGGAAATTGCTTCACTTTTTTGTTGTTGTTTTTGTGAGTTCTCCCACCTGTCTCCTCCCAACAAATTCCTTTTCAGCTTAAGTTAGCTACAGTCAGAATCTGCCACTTACAGCTAAAAAATCCTAACTAGCATAACATGTCTTAGCATCCTCACTTCACAGATGAAAGAATCGAGGCCCAAAAGAGGCCAGGATAGATGCAAGGCTCTATATCCACTTAGTGAGAGAGTCAGAGCTTTAATGAGATCTCCTAACCCACACCTGTGCATCAGACTTGTCTCAACAACAGACATTGGCAAGAAAGTGCTGGAGAAATCATTTCTCCACAGAGAAATAAATGCAAGAAGGGACCCAGACTAAAAGCACAAATACCATTTGTTTGGGTTCAACACAGAGTCCCAACCACCTCAACGAAGCAGTACAAAGACACCAACAGAATTTAAAAAAAAAAAAAAAAAAAAAAAACTTAAACCTCCGTGCTCAGGACTGAACTTTCAGACAACCTGGCCCATGACCCATAAAGAGGGAACCACAAAACTGGAGATGTTCCCTTTTTTTTATTTTTTAAGGAATATTTGTGACAATTATATATAGTTTTCAAGGTTAATGGCATCTTGATTCACAATAATGAAAGTTTCATTTACATATTAGTGTCCTGGAGCTAGCTTAATTTACATAATCATAAATTGCATTTCAACTGTCCTCAGCAGCTAGTTCCCCATTTGATGAAAACGTAAACGGTAATTTTATTTGGGCTCAATTGCGTAAATACTGCATTTATGCAGCATCAGGAAATAGCATTTTAATCTAACCAGCAAGTTGGGCTCATTAAAACAAAATTAGAATATTGGTTAAAACATCAAGTCGGTTCCCTGAATGTCTTTGAAGGCCCTGGTCATTGTTGTATTATTACCCAGTTGGTTTTAACTGTATTTGCTCAAAACTGGAAAAAGCTAAGTCCTCAGGATAAAAACATTCATTAGGCTCCAGGTAGCCTGGAAGGTACAGGTAGCCAGTGGGCCCCACGATTCCAAGATAGCACCAGGGAGGGGGACCAAGAGCTGGGAAGGAAACTTCATTATTTTGGTTTTGGTGGGTGTTTCTTTTTTTGAGACAGGGTCTGGCTCTGTTGCCCAGGGTGGAGTGCAGTGGCACGATTTTGGCTCACTGCAACCTCTACCTCCCAGGTTCAAGCTATCCTCCCACCTCAGCCTCCCAAGTAGCTGGGACTACAGGCGCACATCACCACACCCGGCTAATTTTTGTATTAACATTTTTGGTAGAGACGGGGTTTTGCTACGTTGCCCAGAGTGATCTCGAGCTCCTAGGCTCAAGTGATCCTCCTACCTTGGCCTCCCAAAGTGCTGGGATTACAGGCATGAGCACCACGTCCAGCCAATTTTGACACAAGACAGGATGGGTCCAGCATAAAAGTCTGTTCAGACAGGTGTGAACACAGGCTTGACCTCACCAACCTATCCCCACCCGACTCCTAACCCCACCTGGAAGTTAATTCATTGGGTCTTTGTGGGTTTGAACTCTCCTGTGGATCACCAGTTTCTTCTACAATGCCAGAATCTGAGCGAGGTGCAGTGAAGAATCCCAGATATAAACAAAATCTTGCCCTGTCCTCACTGGCAGGAAATAAGATGCACAAACTGCTTTGAGATAAGGAAGAGGGAGCAGAAAGACGCTTCCTCCACAAAGGCTCTGGGAGGTGGGCCAGCCTGGCCTGGCAGAGGGGGACACTGAGGCTCAGAAAGGTGAAGCCACGTGCTCAAGTTCACTAGCTAATGCAGGGGTCAAGATGCAAGTCAGGAGAGGCTAGAAGAGGTTCTTAAATGTTTACTGGGAATGTTGCACTCAGGTTCCCAGGGAGGCAAAGGGGTGCAAAGCTGCCATGGGATTCCTGGCGACATCACCCTCGGCCACAGCCGCTGCAGGAAGCACCAGCCCACAGGTCAGTACCTGCAGCTCCCACCACAGCTGAGGGCTTCTGTACTGCTCTCCCAAAGACATGTGAAAGGTAAAGTGAAAAAGGTACATCTCACCGGCAATATCTTCAGAGCCAGCTTCATTCATACCATCTCTGGGCTCCGTGGAAGCGCGACACGTTTCTTGCTAATCAAAACTCTGTCTGATGCCCACGTTCTGCACAATGGAGGTCACAGCTGTCTGACCCATAGCCGGGAGCAGACAGAGGCTGCACTACATAGAAAATGGGCAGATTGGGTTGTTAGGTGCAAGGAATGAATGAATGTTCTCAGCTGTTCCCAGCATTTGTTCACAGAGTGTAGAGCAGTGGGCAAGACAAGAGATTTGTCCCAGCGGAGAGCAGGCCAGGGTGGGAAGAGGTGATGCATTTATTTCCAGTGACTCCTGGCAGGGAGTTAAGCCCTTTAGAAGATGATTCTCAGACAGTACAGTTCTCTGTAAGCGAGAGAAGGGACAGAGGACCAGCGGATGCAACACAACCAATTTACAGGATGGAGTGATCCCACAATGGCCCGCACAGCTCCCCGGTTCCTCCACACACGTGTCACATGGGTGCAATTCTTTTCATCTTTCACAGTGCTTTTGTGACAGGGAGCACACCCAGGACAAACGTGCCTTGTTAAGACAGTGCTCTGAAAGGCAGCCTTTGTCAAACCTGGATCTCCCGGGGAACCTGTTAAAACTGCAGAGGCCAAACTCACCCAACCCCCCTGAATCTCCACTTGGTTAACAAGCATCCCAGGCAGTTCTGGGGGACCCTGATGAGAACACAGCTCTTTATCTTTTATGGTCTTCCCAGGAGCCAGGACTCTGGACCCCAACCAAATTCCTAGTCCCCTTCATCCAGGAATGCATCTGTAATAGCTCCCAAGAGCAGTTTAAACTCCCGACTTTAAGATAACAGCAAAAACATTTGACCGAGGCCACATTCTATGAGAACACTTTGCTATAATTTACTCTCTAGAACTTATAGGCAAATATTTGTTGAAGGAGTGATCCAGGGAACTCAGTGATTTCCAGTCTCCAGCTTTTCCATTCTGAGAACTGGCAATGACCTTAACCAGGATACCTGGGGAGACGCCCTCCAAGATACCCTGTCTGCACATCCCTGCGTGCACTGCATATTTCTTGGGACAAACCCCGCACTGGGATGTCTGTGTCTTGTTCCTGGACCCCTGGATCCTGAGCATTTGCATATCTGTTGCTTAAGGCAGGCTTCAGGGACCTCCCAGTCACTGTCAGGTAGCTTCAGGCCAGGCCACTTTCCTCTGCATGTGAATATGTGTTCTCTCTGGTACAACCAACAGCCTCCTGGGTACCATGGCCAAGGGCTGTGCCATCTTAACTCTGGAGCTCAAACTGAAGCACATGGAGGCTTCGATACCTCCCGTGTGACACTGTTCAACATGCCCCACTAGGAATAATTCAGGGCTGATGTTAAGGTAGTGAGTTTCCTGTCACTGGAGAGATCCAAGCAGAAGTTGATCTACCATATATCAGCAATGGCAGCAGTCTGTCACTAACAGCCATCAACAAAGGCATTGGTCCTCTGGACCACTGATGTCCTTCCACCTCCAGGTGTGTTTGATTCTGTGAATTTCTTTTTTTCTTCTTCTTCTTAGACAGAGTCTCCCTCTGTTTGCCCAGGCTGGAGTGCAGTGGTGCGATCTCAGTTCACTGCAACCTCCACCTCCCAGGTTCAAGTGATCCTCCCATCTCAGCCTCCCGAGTAGCTGGGATTACAGGTGTTGACCGCCACACCCGGCTAATTTTTGTGTTTTTTGTAGAGACGGGGTTTCGTCATATTGGCCAGGCTGGTCCTGAACTCCTGACCTCAGGTGATCCACCCACTTCAGCCTCCCAAAGTGCTGGGATTACAGGCGTGGGCCACCTCGCCCAGCCCGATTCTGTGAATTTCAAATATGACTTCCGCCACTGCGTCATTAAAAACATCTAAATTCTGCCCACACAGCTCTCTAACACTCGGACTGGTTTTGCACAAAGTTGTAAAATGCAATTTAAATATCTCCTAAGTGTCAGAACCATGAGAAAGAAAAACAAATTAATCAACAAAGAATCCCATTTCAACAGTTTTCAAGCCAGCTTGTGTCTGTCACCAAACCACAGGTGAAATGCTAATAAAATCCAGCTTACATCAACAGCATAATAATTTAAAGATGGCCTATTTTTCCGAAGAAACACATATATTATATATTTCCAGACATGGCCTTTTTAATGAGTGTGAACTTTTTTAGAAGAAAATTATTAGAAGATAGCAAAAGTCTGCTGGAGAATAAAACGTGGCAGAGTCGCTGTTGAATGGCAGAAAAAATGATCCGGGAGGCCCATCAGCGGGGGCAAAAGCTGTCTTTTTCGGGTAATCTAGCAAGACGAATGCAGCAGGAGGGATCCTCAGAGAAAAGGCAACCAGCAAGACAACAGTAATGAAGTCATTTCACCTTTCTATCCTAATTTGAAGAGACGAGGCAATGGGACCTTGCACCAGCTTTGCATGCTGAGTGTGAATTGCAGCAGGAGAACCAACGAGTGAGCTGAGCCCATCGTAGTGAGAACAAACGGAGCCCTGACAGCCTAGGAGCTGACTCCCACCTGCCCTTGAGCCTCAGCATTGCCCTGTACTACGTGACTTGCCTTTCTCAAGCCCAAAGCCTCTTTCTGCACGTCCATGCTTTTGCACATTTTCTTCTCTCTGCTCCTTCTCTCCTTACCCACCTGAACCTTATTCCAAACCCAGATTCAAAAACTACCTCCTCCAAGCTGTCTTCCCTGATCTGCTGTGTAATGTCGAATACTCTTTGCTGTGGGCCTGTGAGCCTTCAAACTCTGCACTCTGCCCACGATTACCCACCTTATTAGCACATTTCTCACTCTACAGTGTATTACCTGCCTCCTAGACAGACTCTCCTACTAGATTGGAAGCTCTCTGAGGACAGGGGCCATGTTGCAGACATCCTTGTCACCCTGGTGTAGACCACAGAATTCAGCAGCCTCTAGGTGTCAATAAATTCTTATGGAAGCAAGGTAAGAGCCAAGGTAGAAAGCATCACCTTAAAAAGCCATTGACCCAAATGTTTAGGCCACAAAGTCTCCTTGAAAAGTCTTTACTAGGGTGGAGATGTAAAAGGATATGACCAAACTGGTGATTGTGTGAAAATTCCAGAGATTTGGATATTATGCTCATGACCCGAACGGCATGATCCCCTCCGATGGGATCTGGGGTTAAGCTTTGAAGTCAGGCAGGATCAGACTCACGACCCAGCTAGCCACCTTGCTGGATGGTCTTAGGCAAGTTACACAACCTCTCTGAGCCTATTTCCTCAACCAACATGCAGAGATAACTGCCCTGTAGGGTTGTTGAAAGGTTGTAATGAAATAGTTAAGTGGAAATGCCAGACACCACGATTCTCAATAAACGTCATGCTCTTCCCCCACTATGGTCTGAATGTTTTTGTGCCCCCCAAAATTCATATGTTGAAAACTAGTCATCAGTGTGACGGTAGTGGGAGGTGGGGTTGTTTGGAGTTGATCAGGTCAAGGGCCGAGCCCTCATGAATGAGATTAGTGCCCATATAAAAGAAGCCCCAGGCCAGGCATGGTTGCCTGTAATCCCAACACTTTGGGAGGCTGAGGCAGGCGGATCACCTGAGGTCAGGTGTTCAAGACCACCCTGGCCAACATGGCAAAACCCCATCTCTATTAAAAATACAAAAATTAGCCCGGTGTGATGGCATGTGCCTGTAATCCCAGCTACTCAGGAGGCTGAGGCAGGAGAATCACTTGAACCTGGGAGGTGGAGGTTGCAGTGAGCTGATATCTTGCCACTGCACTCCAGCCTGGGCGAGAGAGTAAGACTCTGGGCGAGAGAGTAAGACTCTGTCTCAAAAAAAAAAAAAAAAAAAAGCCCCAAAGAGCTGCCTTCTCCCTTCACCATGTGAGGACACAGCAAGCAGACACCATCTATGAACCAGGAAGGGGGCCCTCACCAGACACTAAATCTGCCCGCACCTTGATCTTAGACTTCCCAGCCTCCAGAACTGTGAGAAATAAATTTCTAGCTACCTAGTTTTTGGTACGTTGTTATAACAGTCAGAACAGACTAAGACACCCTTTTTGTAGAAGTTCCTGCTGGGAGATTTTAGACCACATGGTACTTCGATCTTTCCACCTGTGGAATAGGCAGGCATGCTCTCAACTTCTTATTTCACTTCTCAAGGAACAAGCTTATGTAAAAAGATTATTAATATTTATAACAAACTCCATTTATTACAACTGTCGTGTAAGTGTGATATAGTCATCCTGTTCTTCCTAAACAATGTAGGAATTACCATCTGTCATTTCTAAGAGGATTAAGAGATTGTCATCGATTAGAGACATGCTATTAGCGGAGTGAATGGTTGCCCGTGGAAGAGGCATGTCTCCCCATCGAGGGGGGACGAGTCTGTACTCTGCTCTCTGTGGATCAGTGGTCCTCCTAGCTTTGTGTGTTCCTCCCGAGACGTGCTGGAAGAGGGTCTCATATAATCCCTACTGCAACATTTTGAGGCTGGTAGTATGACCCACATTTTACTGATGAGGAAACCAAGGCTCAGAAAGGCTTTCTGAGTCCAAATCCAGTGCTCTCTGCTCATCCTTACCCAAGATGCTGCACGAGGGATGGTTGCATTGCAGGGAAGATGGAGCCAGGTGACTGCTAAGGTGTCTTCCAGGTGCAAGTTTCTCCAGGGCTACAAAAAGAATAGCAGGGGCTGAGAATTACCAGAGCGGGCGTCCTTTTCACTTCTCAAGAGGGAAAAGAGGAGGTACCTGAAGTGGGAATTGTGGCTGTCGGAAATATAATAGCACTCAAAATCAAATTCATGACACACCCCCTATAGTTATCTGCAACGATGTAAAACTGTCAATGTTTTCATCCACAAAGGGGAAAAAAACTCAGCTATGATCATGTCCTTGGGAGACAATTCTCAGGGATCTCTTAGGGTTAGAGCTGGGTAGCCATGCATCCCAGGCTGCCTAGGACAGCACCAGTTATGCAAACTGTCCCAAAATAACGATTAATAGTGCCCCAACACACTCTCAAAAGTATCCCGATGTATGTGGTCATCCCATAATCAAAATATGGGTACACATTAAAATC
The DNA here is from genome assembly GCF_000001405.40 of Homo sapiens. Lineage (NCBI taxonomy): Eukaryota > Metazoa > Chordata > Mammalia > Primates > Hominidae > Homo > Homo sapiens. The sequence goes on from NC_000016.10 coordinate 66,236,252, forward strand.
ACACAGGAGCTTTGTAAGCAGCTTGAGTAAATCTGAATTCATGGGGGTGAGATCCAGGCATTGGTAGCGGCGATTTTTTTTTAAGCATGGTTTTAATGAGCAGCCAAGGTTGAAGGCAGCTGTCCTCGGTAGAAGACACGAGCCTCCTTGGTGAGCAAAGGGGCATGGGGTCCCTGGACAGCAGTTGGGCGGGGAGATGGGGGGACCCAGCTAGTCCTGCAGGGGACTTGGAGCAGCAGAGGAAGAAGCAGGAGGCTAGTCCAGCAGACGCCATCCGTGGCCCCGCCATGCTCACTGGTTCTTCTCCTGCTTGTGTTCACTTACCTGCACACTTCAGGAAGGGACTGCAGGCTCCTGACAGCTCATGCCGGGTGCCAGCTTGGCAGTGAGCGGGTAATTAGTGCTCATCGTGCTCCCAGAGAAAGGCAGTGAAGGAAGTCGCCTGTTTCACCTTGAAGCAAAGAAGGAGAATCCAGAAAAACAGATTTTTCCACACATTTTGGAGCGGTTCTGCCAGAGAATTCCATCGAGGTGTGTGGAGTTAGGCCACTGGCACATATCAGCCCCAGAGCCCAGGATGAAAACGTGTCCTGTGCAGGGTTTCTTGAACAGATTGTCCCCAAATGTTGCATCTCTCCTAATTAATGCTGCAAGATAAGTCTGTGGCCTCTCGTTGCACATCAGGGAGGTTCTTGGGAAGAGAAGGGCCTGCCATCTCCTTGTCCCAGCTACAGAGAGAACAGACTATCCCCAGGGAGTTCTCTTGGGTTTTGAATCACTTTTGCAGCTCTGGCATTTATGCTTCTGACCAAAAAGCATTTGCAAGAGGAGAAAATGAAGGTGGAGGTTTGTGAAAGGTTTCCCTTCCTAAGAGGGGCAGCAAACATCACTATAGCTAGACCTGAATGGTGTTGGTAGCTCCCAGATATATTCTAACTACTTCCTACATTATACCTGTCAGTATTTTTCAAACTATGCTCCTGAAAACCTCTTCAATGATGTATTAGGAAAACTTATTCTATAAAACACTACTTAAGAAACTTCAATATACATGGAAAAACATTATCATTTGTGGATTTAACAAGCACAGTTTTGACTTATGAGTAAGAAAGATATTGGCAGGATATTGGTAAGATATTGCCAAATTCCCCCCCAAGAGAGTTATAGCAATTTACGCTACCACCAATATCACACTCATACACACCTCTCGCTATCTTGGCATTTTCTAACTTTTTAATCTTTGCCACCCAGAAAAAACGAAAAAGATTATCTCCATGTTTTGCGGGGGTTTTCTGGCTTTTTTTGTTTTTGTTTTTTTGTGGTTTTTTTTTGAGAGGGAGTCTTGCTCTGTTGCCCAGGCTGGAGTACAGTGGCACAATCTTGGCTCACTTCAACCTCTGCCTCCCAGATTCAAGCAATTCTCCTGCCTCTGCCTCCCTAGTAGCTGGGATTACAGGCACCTGCCACCATGCCTGGTTAATTTTTGTATTTTTAGTAGAGATAGGGTTTCATCATGTTAGCCAGTCTGATTTCAAACTGACCTCAAATGATCCACCTGCAGCAGCCTCCCAAAGTGCTGGGATTACAGGCGTGGGCCATTGCACCCAGCCTATCTCCATGTTTTTTAAAATTTATGTTTCTTACTCGTGAGACTAAGTAAATTTTCATATGCTTAAGAAGCAGTTTTACTTCCTTTTCTATGGACTTTTTGTATTCTTTGTCCACTTTTCTTATCAGTTTGTTGGAACTTTTTATATATTAGAGAAACCATCCGTTCCTCTGTGACATAGCCTGCAAACATCTTTCCAGTTTGATGTTTTTTTTATCTTGTTTATGATGCATTTAGCTAAGTCAATTTTAACATTATTGGACTTATTAATATTTTCTCTTGTGGTTTCTGACTTATAAGTCATACTTTAGAAAGCCTTGTAAGGAAAAGATATTTCGTTATTTCTTTAGGATGACATGTTAAGGGGACTGAGCCAGGCCAGAAACCATTCAATAAGAAAATATTCAAAGACAACCACTACTTAACTTGTTCCTCTTTCTGCATGTGAAGACCACAGCACGCTAAGAGAAAGATGAGAAAACAGGTCATCTATTTTCAAGGAGGGTACACAATAGAGCTTTCCACTTGATAAACTTTTTTCCGTAAGATGTCTGTATTTGTCCATTCTTGCATTGCTATAAAGAAATACCTGAGACTAGGTAATTTATAAAGAAAAGAGGTTTTAATTGGCGCATGTTTCCACAGGCTATACAGGAAGCATGACTGGGAAGGCCTCAGGAAGCTTACAGTCATGGCAGATGGCGAAGGGGAAACAGGCATGTCTTCAACCATGGCTAGAATAGAAGGAAGAGAGAAAGTGGGAAGGTGCCAAACACTTTTAAACAACCTGACCTTATGATAATTCACTCACTATCATGAGAACAGCACCAAAAAGAAAATCCACCCACATGATCCAATCACCTCCCACCAGGCTCCACCGCCAACATTGGGGATTATAATTTGACATGTGATTTGGGTGGGGACACAGACCCAAACCATATAAATGTCATAATCTAGAAGTCCCAGCTCCTGTGTAATTAAATCCCTCTGCTTCTTGAGTTTCTATTTCTGAGCCATTCCAAGAATTCTTCTAAGATTAGAAGGATCTCTTCCCATCAATCCAGCAACTTCCAGGTCAGTTGGAATCTCCCAGCAAACTTCAATCTGGTGATAATTGCATGAAACAAATGAGACTGGCTGGGTCAAAACATAACATGTCAGGTTTCTTTAGGGAATTCAATGGGATTTCTTCTGTGGACTTTAGATTTTTTCTGTTCCAGGGATTTCATTACTCTCCTATGTTCACCAAATCCTACTTCACTAATTCCCGCCATGTTGGCCCTGTCCCTACAACAGGGCTTTTACCTCTATTTTCTGTTTGGTCTCCATATGTAGCTCTAGACATGGATGCCTGCTCTGAACCCCAGCATGGCAGCACAAAGTGCATTCACAGTACACTGGTACCACTTGAGCTCACTGCATCTTACATTGCATTTTTACTACTGTCCTGAGTCAGATGAGACAGAACACTCATACACACAAGTTATATGCAACAGGTTTATTCATTAGAAATACACAACAAGGGACAACTAAAGCCAAGGATTCATGACAAGCCAGTCCCCCAAGGCTCAGGAGAGCTTCCCAGGGTAGATGGAGTCTCATCTGTGCATGCCCCACTTGTACTGCAGCCGAAGGACCCCAGAAAGAAGCCCACCCTGGGTTTTATACCTGGGAGATCGATGAGTCACTGGGCTAAAGCACCAAAGGACATCTGAGGGACAGGTACAGAGCCCAGGCTGTTCCAGCCAACTCCTCCTTGTCAGAAGATATTGCATTCCCAGCAAAGTCTAAAGTTATTCTTGACAACTACAAGTGAGAATGGCAGAAGAGCCGCGTCAGTCCACAGCCACCCAGCAACCGTCCTGCAAGCAGCTGGTAATCTGACATCATTCCTGCTCCTGTCCACACCTCCCTGACAGCTCTGCTTTGTCCCCTGAGGTGGTCCAGACTCTAGATCAGAGAAAAGTGATCCTGGAGATGCATTAAAAGAAAGCCATATTCAGGAACAGGTCTTGGCCCAATTGACTTGGTCTATAAGGCAGAGGATTCAGAATTTGTTGAAAGCAAATGGGTATGGATTAGGGTGAGATGGGGTTAAGTACAAGTCTACCCTTGACCAGTTGTATGGTCTTGGGAAAGCCATTTGGCCTCTCTGGCCTCAGTTTCTGTAACTGCAAAATAGGGTTGAGAGTAGCACTGACTTCTTAGTATTGTGATAAAGATGGAAAGGCATGCAAGTGCAAGCACTGGGTACTGTGCTTGACACACAGTAAACTCCAGACTCCACACGTGTGGGATCAGAGCATGGGGCTGTATGGTCTTATCGCACACCCCTGTGTGGGCACATGTGCAGATGCTGCAGAAGCAGAAGAAACAGGACAGGCATGAGTCTGGCGGTGACAATTGAACCCAGCACCTCCCTTGGGCATCAGACCAGAGACTCACAGGAACTGAAGACGACTTTTCCCACATCACCAGCACCTGTCTTCCCCCTCTAGGTCCCCAAAGCCTTGGGCTCCACCCTGGAACCATGGCACAGTGGCTGGGCCTCCCGAACCTTTCGTACATCCTGCAGACAGAGCTAGTCCCATTTTCCAGTCTTCTTCACTTGGTCTCCAGGGCACTTCCTTGCTTTTCTGTCCCTGCCCCTCAAAACACTCTAGCCATTCCTAAAGTTTGCATGGAGGATACAAACACCTCCCCAAGTCGATCTTGTGTTTAAGACCACATCATTCCTAAATCAGGGTACTTACGGTCTGAGAGATCGTTTATTTGTGCAGGAGGAAGTCAAAGCTCAGAGAGAGAATCACTCGCCGAAGGTCAACTGCTAGTTGGCTGTCAAGCCAAAACCAGAGCATCCAAATGCTGACCGCCTGCCCAGTACTCCCCGCCAACCTGCTGTGGCTCCCAGACCAACTGCCTCCCACTTTTTTGGGAGAGTCTCCTGATGAGAACACTGCTTTTTCACTCTATCTGGGATGAAAATAGAACAAACTGACTTTGTAATGTCATGAAATATTAAGCTTGATTTTCCCAGCTGCTGACATCCAAAATTGCCAGCAAGCTTGAAAGCCCCAGTGGAGCCCATTGGCTGTGCTAAAAGAATCAGGGGCTTGCCGCTTGGGAAAGAGAACAGCCCCTCTCAATGGCAGGAGGAGACGGGCTGGGGGAAGGGGGGCCCGCAGAGCTCAGTGACCACCAGGAAGCCAGGGACAGGGCAACAGCGAATCAAGACAGATGGGGGTAAGGGTCTTCCATTAAAATTTTAAACCACAGGCACTCCATGACCAGGCATACTTGAAATGCCATCCCTGGGAGATGGAAGCCAAGAGGCTGTTAAGGTTATTGTGTGAAGTTGCCAAAAATGGAAGACATAATGCATCACTTGTCCTTTGGAAATTTTTTGAAAGGAAAGTTCTCCATGACATAGAACCCATTGTGCAAATGGGGGCAGGGAAATCAAGCAACATTTTCTCAGCAGTTTTCCTGAGAGTACCACCAAAGTCTCATCATATTTGAGAGGGTAGAGTTAGAAAAATCTCTAGAGTTAGAAACATGGGTGCTGGAGTTAGAAAATTCTGGATTTGGTCTCTGGCTTCATAAACTTTTTCACTGGGCAGGTCCATTAACCTCTCTGAACCTTGGTTGCCCCATTTGTAAAATGAGGCTAATAACACCACCCTCAAAGGGCTGTTTTGAGGATTAAATGGAGTGCATGACTGGGACTGTTGGCTCGTGCCTATAATCCCAGCACTTTGGGAGGCCGAGGCAGGAGGATCAGTTGAGGCCAGGAGTTCGAGACCAGCCTGGGCAACACAGGGAGACCCCATCTCTATGGAAAAAAAAATAGCTGGGCATGGTACATGCCCATAGTCCCAGCTATTCTGGAGGCTAAGGTGGGAGGGTTGCTTGAGCCCCGGAGTTCAAGGCTGCAGTGAGCTAAGATGGTGCCACTGCACTCCAGTTTGGGCAACAAGGGCAAGATTCTATCTCAAATAAATAAAAGGGGTACGTTATAAAGAACCTTGATGGGACCTCACCCTAAGTAAGGTCTTAGAAAAGGAGAGGGAGGGTCTCTCTATTTTGGAGTTTAAAATGGACTTTATGGTTTACTTATTTTCATGACAATTTTTCATATGGGGAAACTGAGTCCCAGATGATAAAGTGACTTCCCCATGACCCCTGACAGCAGAATTGAATTCAAGTCTTCTGATTCTCTGGAAATGGGCTTTCTCATATCAAGGAACACCTCCTCCCCAACATCTCCTCCCTTCTTTTCCCCAAAGCTCAATACCTCTTAAATATTCAGTATGAGGTGTGGGAGGGTGGGAGTATGGGAGAGAAAACAGACTGTGTGTTACTGTTTATGATGCTCAGCCTTTCAAGGCAAGGCTGATATCTAACCCTGCAAAGTAGATGATTCCTGTGCAACTTTCCCAAGAAATCTGAGTCCCGTGAGGGTTAGCATAGCAGGAAGAGAGAAAAAAGGGCAGAAAGACTCTTAGAACCAATCGCAGCAATGGCCAGGCACTGTGGCTCATGTCTGTAATCCCGGCACTTTGGGAGGCCAAGGTGGGCGGATCACTTGAGGTCAGGAGTTCAAGAGCAGCCTGGCCAACATGGTGAAACCCTGTCTCTACTAAAAATACAAAAAATTAGCCAGGCGTGGTAGTGCATGCCTATAATCCCAGTTACTCGGGAGGCTGAGACAGGAGAATCACTTGAACCCAGGAGGCAAAGGTTGCAGTGAGCTGAGATCGTGCCACTGCACTCTAGCCTGGGCAACACAGCAAGACTCCATCTCAAAAAAATAAATAAATAAATAAAGCAATCACAGCAAGATAAAGGAGCCATGCTCTGACACTGTTTTCAAACAATTGCAGAAGGAGAGAAGTCACAAACAGCTATGGCTGAATGTGTGGAACCAATGAGGGAGAGGAGGAATGCTGTGAACCCAGCGATGCAAAGCTGTAGAAGAGTCCGTGTGAACACACACCACGCATGTGCAAAAGGGAGCGGGGACCCTCGCGAGACTACAGACCACGGGATGATGGAGGTGTCATCTTGAGTTAAATTAAAGCAAAGTGCTCATGCTTTTTTTCTTCGTATCATCTATCTTGATGGGAGTTTTCTGATCTTTGCAGTGCCAAGTGCACGTAGAATTTAAGTGGCTGTTTTCATGCCCTTTTGTGTAGATCCAGGTTGTTTCCAACCATTAAAATATTTTCTCCTCTAAGAAGCTGGAGGATGGGGTGAAACCCCTCACCCCCACCTGCAGGTAATGCTAATTTTACTGCTATGCAACCACAGGCTCTGATCCCACATGTGTGAGGCACTTACTAGGGAGCACTCGGGGAAGATGCTTGGCCTCAGAAACATGCATTCTAGCTAGAAGGCAGAGGTGAGATTGTGTGCGAGTAAGAAATAAAGAGATGGTACTTAGAAAACCATGGAAGGAGGTGAAAGGGAAAGATCCTAGAGACAGATAAATTCAATTCTCCAGTATGTCAAATGGAGACACTGAGTGGACCAGAGAAGAGAAATGACTTGCCCAAGATCACACAGCCAGTTCATGGTGTGGTGAGGACTAGAACCTGTCCTTTTGACCAGTGTTCCGTGTGCTTATGCTACACTCTGTTTCTTCTTGTTGGTGTCAGGAAGGAACTGAGAAAGTTTCATCCATCTTCTTATGCAGACAAGACCCTCCTCCTGAGCCCAGACAGACTCCTCAATCAGAAAGAACCAGATCACACCTGTAATCCCAACATGTTGGTAGGCCGAGGCAGGTGTATCGCTTGAGGCCAGGAGTTTGAGACCAGCCTGGGCAATATGGTGGAACCCCGTCTCTACTAAAAATACAAAAATTAGCTGGGCGTGGTGGCCCCAGCCGGTAGTCACAGCTACTCGGGAGGCTAAGGTGGGAGAATCACCTGAACCTGGGGAGGAGGTTGAGGCTGCAGTGAGCCATGATCACGCCACTCCACTCCCAGGAACAGTGTGACCTGCTCTCACCATGTCTAATAAATTGCCGCATTAAGGATACTGCCCCAGGGGGTTGCCTTTCAGCCCTATAAGGCTGATGCTGCCCAAGTCGCCTTATATATCCATGAGCTAAGGCTCTCCAATGTCCCAGTAAACACAGATGTTCTTGTAACTTGGCTTCATGGCTCTTACCTTTTACCTTCAAACAATTGATCACCCCATATCTGGTCTGCTGGACATTGACCATGATAATGTCTGTTGGTAGATATGAGAAAAAATAAACCTTGCACATTGAATCAAAATGGTATGGTGAACCTGGAAGGCATTTCTGGCACACTGTGTCCAAGGAACCACAAAGAACACCCCTCATCCACAGGGCCATGCGGGAGGGTGTTTTCAACAGCTGGCATTAACACATGGGCTGACGGGGGACTGGTGGCCACCTCCCCTGGTGGGGGATTTCAGCAGCCCCCACTGGACTCCCACAAATGGCAGAAATCATGCTGGTGTGACCACGGCAGGCTAAAATCCTCCAAAAAAGGCTGTCTGCCAGGGGACTCCGATGATTTGTAATCAAATTGTGTTTCATTAAAGAGAAAGCATCCAGAGGTTTCCTGTTGGCTGCGTTCTTGCAAATTAAAGATAATGGAGTTAACAGAAAACAATTGTAAGTCAGATACCAACAGGTGAAATGAGCCCAAGGAAACTTCATCTCTTTGGATGCATGTATGTGGCGTGTGGGTCCTGCTTGAGCTGGTGGGAGGTGAGCTGGATTCTGTCTTTGCCCAGAAAGCATGGTTCACATCAAAAACAGGTCAGGTGGTCCCTAACCATGTAACTTTGGGCCAGATAGTCTCTGCCCCAACTCTAGTCTTTAAAACAAGAAAGATTTATAGGATGACCAGCAAAGTGACCACTTTGCCAAGAAATGGGAAGTTTCCCAGGTCATGGTACTTACAGTGCTATTAATTATTATTATTAATAAAATCAGGAAAATTCTGGACAAACTGGGATGAGTTGATCACCTGACTGGGTTTCCCAAGATTCCCTGAGTTGCAAGAACCCATAAGCCTGTAACGAATGTGTTGTAAGCCTAACAGGGTTTCAGGCACACAGAAGGGACTCCGCAAGTGCCTCCCCTTTCCTGTGATCCTGGCCAAGCACTGTCCCCTCAGCCTGTTCTGAGATCTCGGAGTTCCATGGTGGTGAAGCCTCCAGAAACGTTATCACCTGCCACCTTCACCACATATTTGCGCCCTTCATTATGTAGAGAATGCAGTTTGTAAAACAACAACCTGAAAAGGTTGGCAAACGTCTCTCTTCCAGCTGAAAATATGGAGGCGGAGGCCCAAAGCAGTTTTGTGATTTTTCTCGAGGCCACAAGGAGCTAGGATTCCACCACATGTCTGTGGACTCCAAGCCCAATGACTCATTGACCACGCCAGGCTGCTGTGTCTCCCCCCACATATACCCAGGCACCCCTATGGGTTCAGACACGTGAGCACGGGGCTCTAAAGTGCTGTATTCCCCTGACCATGAAACACCTGCTCACTGCCTGCTCCTTTTGTCCAGAGCTCCTCACTTCCTGGGTACCCACTCATAACTAGGCACCTCATTTACGTCACACCAGCACAATTTCTGCCCTTTGTGGGAGTCTGGTGGAGGCTACTAAAGTCTGCCACCAGCCCCTGGCCAGCTGATATGTTAATGCCCAGTGGAGGGAGGGGTGATCGGTGTCCCAGCAACCCCTCATCCAGGGGTCAACCACACTCCACATCATGCAACACAGGACCTTCCTGAATCATCGGGGTCTCAGTCCTTGCTCCCTCCTCACCCCCACAACTGCCCGGGAGTAAGGGAAGTACCTCAAAGGGAAGACAGGTAGAAGACGAGCAGGCTGCCCCACCCTGCCATGGCCAGAGGTTCCCGGGAGCAGAAACCCTTGAAGCCTGGTGTCCCCCGAGGCCCAAACTGGGCCAGAGAAACCCAAAACTCCAGCCAAGAGGGACAGAAACCCAGGAGGAAATGGGGCCTGTGAGGAAGCGGCAGCATGTGATTTTTAATTTACTTTTTCTTGCCCTGAGACAAAAATTAATTTGACTTGGGAAAAAAAAAAAGTAACTTTTTACTTGACTTTTAAAAGTAAAATTTCTGCAACTCTTTTTCCACTTAACAGAACATTTCCTCGACTTCTAAGGCATAATGTTAATATGCGCCAAAGATGGGGAATTCCCTGGGCTCAGCGCACATATCATTAAACTGATTTTTTCCTAATTTCCTAGTAATACTGGCTGGGTTATGCTAACAGGAGAGTTAACAGCTCATTTTGCTATAGGGAAGATAATAACAGGAAATGATCTTTAATAATGAATTAAACAGACTCCTTGGTTCCTGATTCTTTTTATTAGGTAAGGTCAATGGCATCTTAAATGAGCAAATCTCTCCTAGGCCAGCAACAAGATACGGGGAAAATTGGCAAGCCGAATCACAGGATAAGGCATGAGTGCTGAAGATCAGAATGCAGATGGCAAAGGGTCTGACACAGTGCAAAGTTCATGAGCTTTGGACTCACACCTGGACACCAACCCACCCTCACTGTGAGACCTTGAGCAAGACCTCACCTCTTCAAAGCTGCCTCCTGAGCTGTTCACAGGATAATAATTCCTACCTTGTGGAGCCTTGGAATCCATCACATTTGCCCCTTCAGTTTGTAGAGAATGCAGTTTATAAAACATCTGCCCATGCATATGTCAATCAGCTCTCAGAATAACCTTAAAACAGAACATCCAGACAAGATTAACCCCATTTTAGGACAAGGAAGGTCAAACATTGCCTAGGCCTGGCACTTGGCAGGAGGAACGACTAGGACCCTAAGGCCAGTCTTCTCACTCCAGTTTATTTCATCTATATTGTCCTTGTGGCCGGGCACAGTGTCTCATGCCTATAATCCCAGCACTTTGAGAGGCCGAGGTGGCTGGATCACCTGAGGTCAGGAGTTCCAGACCAGCCTGGCCAATTTGGTGAAACCCCATCTCTGCTAAAAATAAAAAATTACCCAGGTGTGGTGGTGGGTGCCTGTAATCCCAGCTACTCAGGAGGCTGAGGCAGGAGAATTGTTTGAACTTGGGAGACAGAGGTTGCAGTGAGCCAAGATCGCACCACTCCACTCCAGCCCGGGCAAGAAGAGCAAAACTCCATCTTAAAAAATAATAATAATAAATAAATATATAGAGAGCCCTTGTTCTGTAAACTAGTTGTCTCTTTTTTAATCACACAGATTTTTTTTTTTTTTTCTGAGACTGGGTCTCACCCTGTCACCCAGGCTGGAGTGCAGTGGCCTGATCTCGGCTCACTGCAACCTTCACCTTCCAGGTTCAAGTGGTTCTCCTGCCTCAGCCTCCTGAATAGCTGGGATTACAGGTGTGTGCCACCACACTCAACTAATTTTTGTATTTTTAGTAGAGACCAGGCTGGTCTCAAACTCCTGACATCAAATGATCTACCCACCTCTGCCTCCCAAAGTGCTGAGATTACAGGCGTGAACCACCATATCCGGCCTTAAATAACACAGATTTTTTAATAAAAAGTTTTTTCAGGAGACATCACTAACGTATGTATTTCTTTGTCAAATACGTGTTCTCTATTCCTAGCATAGATTTACATACATTAAATATATACAAAAATAGAAGAAGTCAATATAAACTAAATATCAACTGAAGTTCTAATGTTTTCTTGCAGGAAGAGGGAAATATGGATAAGTTGGAAGGATGGGGAGAGCCAGTTGTTGGCCATGGAAATCATGATTGCCTCATGGCTGGGAGCAGCTAGAACTGCTTTCTTTCACCAAAGAGGAAACAGAGGCGTGGAGGGGTTAGAGGTTGTCTCAAGATCATGCAGAACTCACCTCTCCCTGCCCAGTTCCCTTGCACTGTATGAAGTGGAATTGGTGTTGATGTCACAGCCTTAGGGAGCCACAGTGGGAGTTTGAGTGACGGCAGGGTGAGACACAACCTGCTTCTGAATGTTTAGCCCAGTAACTTACACAGGCATGGAGTTTCATCCCAGCCAAAGTGCTGGCTCACGTCGTCCTAGCTAAAGCCCATGTGTGGAGGTTCCGGTTCCCAGAAGTTTCCAAAGCGGAGGATGTAATTACAATGTTTTAAAGCAAACAAACACACACCCAAGTGGGAGGACTGCATATTTATTTGACTAATTAGAGGGAATTCACTGAGAGGATGTACAATAACATCAGCCTCTCTTTTTTTTTTCTTTTTGGTAATACTAATTGACATTTTCTTTTGACATTTTATTAGTAGCTCATCTTTATTTTTATTGTGCTCTCAATAAAGTACCAAGGCAAAGCATCGTACTCTCTGGCAATAAATGAGTGTGAATCATGCATCACGTAAATAGCAGTGTCTCGGGAAGCCGGAGGGGCAGAGCGCCAGTTATCAGCCTGATGCCGGGAGGGGAGGGGAAACCCACCCACGGGCATTTATCAGGCACAGACTGAGGCTTTCCAATTTGTTGCCTGGCTGCTGAGAGCACTGGCTGTGCTCAACCCAGTTCCCAAAGAGGCTGCTCTCAGCACTCCTGGGCCTAAGCTGATATTGCATCCTGATGACCAAGAAAAACACACATGTCAGTAGACATCCCAGCCCCTTCTGCCGCCTCCACGCGTCTGCTGTTCATCCCAAGAAAGAGGCAAGAAACTGTTGTCTCAGTCAGGACATTTAATACATGTTTTCTGAGAATCCAAACCTGTCCGGGCTCAGCACAACGTCGCTAAAAGAGCAACTTAGAGTCCCACAGATCTGGATTCAACTTCAGCTCTCTTAGCCTCCATTTTCCATTTGTAAAATGGAAATTAAATACCTACCTCATGGAGTTGTACTGATAATTTAATTAGAAAATTACACAAAGCTGCCGGGCGTGGTGGCTAACACCTGTAATCCCAGCATTTTGGGAGGCCAAGGTGGGCAGATCACTTGAGGTCAGGTATTCAAGACCAGCCTGGCAACATAGTTGAAAACTCATTTCTGCGAAAAAAAAAAAAAAAAAGAAAAGAAAAAAGAAAAATTTGCCCGACATGGTGGCACACACCTGTAATCCCAGCTACTAGGGAGGCTGACATAGGAGAATCTCTTGAACCCAGGATTGCAGTGAGCCAAGATCACGCCACTACACTCCAGCCTGAGCAACAGAGAGAGACTCCATCTCAAAAAAAGGAAAATTACTTAAAGCACCTAACGCAATGTCTTATGCAGGCATGTGTCGCAGTAAGATTTATTGTGGAAAACACAATTAGTCAAGGGACTTAAAACTAGGACATAGTAGTAAAGGAGTGTGAAGAGTTTCACCCCAAAATACTGCTCCCTGGGATAATGCGTGTTTTGTACTGAAGGTCCTTAGAAGGCCTTCAGATGCTAGAACAGACTTTTGCTAAAAGAGACAGATGCTAGAAGAGACTTTTCCTGATCTGCATAAAGACAGGATGGACCCACGAAGGACAGCAATTGTTTTTCCTCCCCAACCTTCCTGTCTCTAAATTCTCTACCTCTCCCACAGCACAGGCTGAAGCTCCCTTATTTGCCCAAAGAAGAAAACAATTACCTCTGATCCCTTCCCTGAAATTTCACTAACTGAACCCATATCACAGGAAGGAAAACCAAAGACTGTCTACACACCTACTAGACAGACTTTGGTCACAAACCATTGTTTGCTCTGCGGACCCAACCGATTTTGTCGCAGGCTATTGTATGTTCTTCAAGCCCACTGAATTCTCAGAAAAATCACTTACTATCCCCCTAAAATCACCCACACTTCCCCATCTCCCTTTCCCCTAAGAAAGCAGGGTATATAAGCATCTGTATCCCACTGATCAATCACTGGGATTCTCACTGTGTGCACAGTAGTCATAAATTTGTTTGCCTTTTCTCTTAGTAATCTGCCTTTTTGTGAGTTGATTTTTCAGCAAATCTTCTGAGGGCAAAGCCGGAAAGCCTTCCCTTTGCACCCACAGTAGATACATAATAAATGCCCCTAATAGACACCATAATAAAAACTCTTTTTCTTCCTTAAAGGTACCCACCTTTCTTGGTGGTGGAGAGAGAGGAAGTCCGAAACACAAATCACTGCAGTATATGACTGACTCCAACAGGTTAGGCAAGTCGGGAGCCACAGAAGGTCTTTGAGCAGCAGAGAGGGATGGCAAGAGCTGCACCACAGGCAGAGAAGCAATACCACCTGTAGCACTGAGCACTTGAAATGTGGCTAGTCCACACTGAAACATGCTGTAGGTATAAAATGCACACTGGATGTCCAAGATTGAGTGCCATAAAAAGAATATAAAATACTCATTAATAGCTTTACAGGCCAGGCACAGTGGTTCATGCCTGTAATCCCAGCACTTTGGAAGGCCAAGGCAGGAGGATTACTTGAGGCCAGGAGTTTGAGACCAGCCTGGGCAACACAGTGAGACTCTGTCTCCACAAAAAATAAAAAAAATTAAAAATTAGCCAGGTATGGTGGCTTGAGCCTGTAGTCCCAGCTATTCAGGAGGCTGAGGTGGGAGGATCGCTTGAGCCCGGGAGTTGGAGGCTGCAGTGAGCTGAGATCACGCCACTGCCCTCCAGCCTGGGTGACAGAGCAAGATCCCATCTCAAAAAAAAAAAAAATAGTTTTTATACTGATTACATGTTGAAATGATACTATTTTGAATATATTACATGAAATGAAATATATTTTTAAATGAATTCTACCAGTTTCCTTCTCTTTTTTAATGTGGCTGCTAAAAAATTCAAAATTATATACATGGCTCACATTATGTTTCCATTGGACAGCACTGGCCCTGGAATGTTTGCCGGATGTATCAGAGCACGGCTGGGGGCAGCAACAACATCTGGGCCATTTCATTCCAGCCAGACTGCTGATGTCCCCTTAGCCCCACCCTGCCTCTCCCACTGCACTGCTAGTTCACTGAGTAATTAACATGCCTTGAAGCAAAAAGCCCCGGCTCCTGAATGTGCTTGACAATGCTCAGAGAGTTTTACAAAGTTGTGTCAACAGGAAACATCCAGACAGTGTTCTCAAACACCCCATGTTATCCAGAGGAGGGATCCAGCGCCAAAGTGCCTGGCTCTTAGCCCCGTGATCTCGTGGCCACAGCTCCGTCCCAGCAGCAGCTATTTCACAAGGTAAATTAAAAAGCAACCAGCATTTTCCTCTCCAACTGGCACCAAATGGATTGTTTTTCTGTAACTATTTCCCTGGTGGAGAGCTCCCTAAAGCCTGCAGGATCTATCCCAACGGACTGCATGCCTGATGCTTCCAGGGATGGAGAATGCACAAAGCAGATATTGTTCCCCTGCACTTGGCTTTGGTCTGCATGCCCCAGGCTCAGACTTGAAATTCAAACCAACAATGCCGCTGACCTTCTGGGTGGGGACCTTGAAACTATGCCTCTCCTTTTCTCTGTCAGCAAAATGGCAATGCTGGGTTGCACGGTCTGGAATATTCTGGGAGAAGGCATGCTACCAGGGCAGTTAAGTGGATGTGTTCTGCAGTCAGAAGGGCCAGGGTTCAAGTCCCGGTTCTGCCACCAACAGGCCAGGCGGCCTGGGGCAAATTACTTTGCCTGTGTGAGCCTGTTTTTTCATTTGTAAAATGGGAATGCAGAGAGGGATGATCTCATGGATTGCTGGGTGGTAGGATTAGATAATGGGGGAAAGATATGTAGTGAGATATTTGGCACCTAGGAAGCACCAAATAAAGTCATCCAATAAATAAAGACTTCACAGTTTGTTTTGGAAGCATTTGTCCAAGCCTCAGAAGGCCTTGGTCCATGCTGGGGTCTCATATCTCTTCCAGCTGCTGCTAAGCAACTCGGGATGCTCAGATTCTGATGCTGCTTCCAGATCCAGAGGATCTGCACCCAGCAAAGGCAGGGACAGGGAGGGGCGAGGGAGAGGGCTCTCTCTGGGGATGCTTTCAAACTAGAAGGAAGCAAAGCTGCGACTGGCGGGTTGGGAGGGGGTCACAAATCTAGACAGGAACAATGCTGTCATTTCGTTTTAGAAATTCCTTAATCTTACTATTTTTTATTTACATTTCAGTAGTCACATTTTGAACATTCAATGTCTTCGGGCAGAAACAAAAATTTCTCAGAACTGTCAGTGACTGGGTGGCCCTATGGCCTCTTAGCTAAATTTGTGTTTGTTTTTTGGTGGTGGTGGTGGTTTTTTTGTGTGTGTTTGTTTTTTAACAGAGTTTCACTCTGTTGCCCAGGCTGGAGAGCAGTGGCACAATCTTGGCTCACTGCAAACTCCACCTCCCGGGTTCAAGTGGTTCTCTTGCCTCAGCCTCTCGAGTAGCTGGACTATTAGCACCCATCACCACATCTGGCTAATTTTTGTATTTTTAGCAGAGATAGGGTTTCACCATGCTGGCCAAGCTGGTCTCGAACTCCTGACCTCAAGTGATCAGCCCCTCTCGGCCTCCCAAAGCGCTGGGATTACAGGCATGAGCCACTGTACCTGGCCAAATTTGTGATGTTAAATAAATGCTCTCTCTCTCTACTGAAGTCAAGAGAAAAGCAAGATATTTGAGGCTTGCTTCATCTTTCTCTAGGATTTTCTTTTTTTCCTTATACCTATATTCTTATATTACATCTGAATCAGTTTTATCATGAACATCATACATAACTTCAGAATTTTTCCTCCTATTTTGAGGTAGCAAAGGTGACATTCCATTTCTAATTCATTCTCTCAGTATATAAAAAAAAACTCTAATATTTTCTTGAAATCCTCATGACCTAGATAGAATTCCTAGATAGAATTATACAACTAAAAATTAAAAGCAGTTATTAAAGTTTATTTTGTTGAATATTATGAATGCAGGTTCTACAAATATTGTAATTGTGATATAATCTAATTTCTATTATTCTGTTCTGTATTATTATTTAAATTTTATAAGCATTGCTTGGCTCAGAAAGGAAATAATATTCTTCCTAAAGCTATCTAGCTAATACTCTCAATATTTATATTAATTGTAACTCTGTCCCCCTATTTATTTGTCAATTGAAAAAATTTAAGATGATTTAGTAAATCGAATTAACTCTCATAATCAAAATTAATTATTGCAACACTTGACTCTCACAACAATTTATACTTCCAACAATTGATAAAATTTTAAAACAAAAAAAAAATCGACTGGGCACAGTGGCTCACACCTGAAATCCCAGCATTTCTGGAGGCTGAAGTGGGAGGATCACTGACGCCAGGAGTTGAGGACCAGCTTGGGCAACATGGCAAGACCCTGTTTCTACCCCCTCTCCCCCAAAAAAATCACTCTAGAATACTTTCAGAAAGCTTACCTATATTTGAAAGTGGATATTTAGATAGTAACAATGAATCCAAAAATATACCATCTCATATCATTACTTATTGTTATATAAATGATCACTCAATCATTGATGACTCACAACCTTACAGATCCCGGAAATGACACCGAACTAGGCGTTTGGCTGTTCAGCCATTCAAAGCTGAATACCAAGGTCAAAACCAAACCTTTTTTCATCTCTGTATCAGTTAAGGCCCAACCAGGGAAACAGAAATCACTTAAATTGAATTAATGTAGAGAACTGGTTATACAAGTAAAATGGCTAATTTTGTGCCAACTTGACTGAGCCACAGGGTGCCCAGATATTTGGTTAAAAGCTATTCTGGGTGTGTCTGTGAGGGTGTTTCTGGATGAGTTTAGCACTTGAATCCATAGACTGGGTAAAGCAAATTGCCCTCCCCCATGTGAGTAGTTCCCATCCAACCCATTGAAGGCCTGACTAGAACAAAAAGGTGGCATGAGGGAGAATTTGCTGTCTCTGCCTAACGTTTTCTAGCTGGAACACCAGCCTCCTGCCTCTGGACTTGGACTCAGGCTGTAACTGACACCATTAGTAATCCTGGTTCTCAAGCCTTGGGACTCAACCAGGGAATACACCACAAGCTCTCTTGGGTTTCCAGTTTGGCAACCACAGATCCTGGGTCTTCTCAGCATCCATAATTGTGTGAGCCAACTCTATGTTTGCATGTGTGTGTGTACCTATGTGTGTGTGTATCTCCTATTGGTTCTGTTTCTTTGGAGAACCCAGACTAATTGAACAAGTAATAGAAGAGTACCAGGGGACAGCGATGCAATCCAAAAGTTGGAAATAGCAGGAAACTCCCACCTCTAGGATGGAGGCACAGAGGGAAGAAG
This sequence comes from Homo sapiens, assembly GCF_000001405.40. Classification (NCBI taxonomy): domain Eukaryota; kingdom Metazoa; phylum Chordata; class Mammalia; order Primates; family Hominidae; genus Homo; species Homo sapiens. The sequence continues at coordinate 66,254,097 of NC_000016.10, forward strand.
TGGGGTTACTGGAGCCCAGAGCTGGGATCACCCAATGGAGGCTGGAACCTGAGAGGACTTCCATGGCAGGAGCTGAAAACACAAAACCACAGAGGAGATACAACCACTGCCTGAGAACACACTGGAGGCAGAGACAGGGGGAGGAAAATGCTGGCTTCTCTCTTCCTCCTACCCGGCAATCTCCTAAGAGTGCTTCCCACTGGCTGAGCCCAGCTGGAAGCCAGCTGACACAGGAGCCTCTGGGGATCATCCCATTCCCCTGTCCTACAGACCAGAGTCAGGGAAAGGCAAGAAATAGACCTAACCACAAACATGCTCAGGACCATCCCTATAGAGTTTCTTATCCTCACAACAATCCTAAAAACTAGGTGGTTCCCAATTACCAGCTAAGTAAGTGTAGTTCGGAGAGGTAAAGTAACTCTCCTAAGGTCACACAGGTAGTAGACAGTGAAGTTCAACATCTCAGCAACTGTAAGACCTCCCCCCTTCACTTTCTCTATTTTTATTATAAAGCTAATACAGCAATTGTTGTAAAGAACCTAGAAAATCCAAAAATAGAGGAGAACTACTCCTAATCCTACCACTCAGAGCTACCAACATCGCAGATGTTTTCCTCTCCAGTCTTTCTTCTAAGCATAATAAACATCTTTCCCAGCAAAACTGGGATAACCTGGACATGCAGTTTCATGTCTTTGATTTTTCCATCTCTGTGGTCACAGTGAGAGGCAGAGTGGTAAACAGTTAGGAAACACTCAATGCCATGTGGGCTATAAGTCCTGGCTCATTGCCTTACTGGCTGCTGCTTCTCCATCTGTAACTTGGGGATTATTCTGATATTGCATCTGCACCACAAGGTTGCTGGGAGGAATAACTGAGTTATTCCTTGTGAAGTCTTAGAGCAGTGTCTGGCACATTATAAACACTATTACCATGATTATTATGTTTCCATGGCAGCAAAAATGCACACGAGCACCATTTTAAATGGCTGCATACCATTCCATTGAACGAATGGATGGACAGAAGTTATTTAACCACTTCCCAATGGTTGGACACTAGGAGTCTTTCCAAAGTTTTGCTACTATATCCAATGATAAATAACCTCAGCATAAATCTTTTCACATCTGTGATTTAACTGACTTTCATCCTAGAAAAGCAATTGCTAGATCTAACGATAGGAGCTTGTTTAAAGCTCAATGAATGGTGCTAAATTGCTCTTTGGAACAATCTGCACCGTTTCTATATCACTGGATGGGGAGAGACCCTGCAGCCTGGGCATTATCAAGTAGTTGTTTCAATGTTATTATTATTTTTGCATACATGCCAAGCAGATGGGCAGTAATGATAGCTGTCATTTTAGTCAACTTGTCTTCTCTTTAGCTACTCCAGTGAAACTCTTCCACCCCGTCTCTCTGCACTCCGCACCAACAACCATGTCTTTTCTGCCCACACCTCCTGACACAGACAAACCATCCATTTCCCAACCATCAGCTGAGATGCAGGGGAATAACTTCTCCCAGGGGACTGAGGTCGCTGAAGACACCAAAACATGGCCATCCCAAATTGCTCTTGGGACTTGTCAGCAGCAATGACAATGGCAAAAGGCAGAAAAAAAAAAAAGAGAGAGAGAAAGAGACAGAAACAGCTCTGCAAAGTATCTGGAAGAAAGGCTTCTGGGACCAAACCTCGAGAGACACCAGGACCAGTGGCACATTCTGGAGGCCAGGAGGTGCATTGCAGGTTTTCACCCAGCGGGAGGGGCAGGCAACACTTGGGAGATCCCAGTTGCCCAAAAGCCCTGCAGAGCCAAAGGCTCCAAGGCCACAAGTGAACAGGGATCAACCTGTGACTTCCAGTCAGGAGGCCAGGTTTCCAGCTGCCGCTACTTGGCTCCCTTGAGGGCAGCCACAGACTACTTAGGGTATTTTATCCAAATACCAATGAAAATAATCGCTTTTCAAAACTGTAGCTATAATTCATCTATTCAGGATAGAACCAAGACACTAACCCTGCAGCATGTTCCAGGTGCTCAGGGACTCTCCACAAATGTTTACAGAATAAATAAATCAACGTAGTAGGGAAAATTGGTTTGGGATTTGTCAAAAGTTCTGATTGAACTGAACTCTCTTGTCAAGACTTAAGAGATCATTAACAGAAGAAAAAAATCAATATGTTTTAGCTGACTGTGATGTGCAAGACGTTTTGCTAGATGCATGGAGACATTAGAGGAAAAAAAAAGAAAGGATGGTCCCTGACCTCAAGCTGCTCCGGTTAAGAGTGAGCCCTTGGATGCAAAGAGATTTGGGGTTAAGTCTCAAAAACCCAATTCAATAGCTGAGTGTGTGTAGGCAGTTGTCATCGCTTAGTCTTCAACCCTCAATTTTCTCATCTGTGAAATGGAACACTAACAATAATCACCTCCCAGAGCTGTGTGAGAATAAATGAGACAATGCTTGCAACATGCCAGGCAATGAATGAACAAAAAATGGCAGCTGCTCCTGTTTATTTTATTTGTATCAACAAGGATGGGAAGAGGCTGTGCTGATCACTTTGGCAGCCCCAGGTGAACGGTTTGTCTGCTCTATAGCAGGAAGACCAACTCCAGGCTTTATTAATAATTGGATTTAGGCGTCATCCTATCACCTTATATCTTAATTATAGCTGCAAAGAACTTGTATCTTTTTTTATTTTATTTTTCTTTAGAGTCAGAATCTGGCTCTCTCACCCAGGCTAAAGTGCAGTGGCACGATCTCAGCTCACTGCAGCCTCAAACTCCTGGGCTCAAGTGATTTTCAAGCCTCAGCCTCCTGATTACCAGGGACTACAGGCATGAGTCACTGCACCTGGCTAAAGACCCTATTTCTAATAGGATCATGTTCACAGGCCCAGGAATTAGGACTTAAGCATATCTTTATGGGGGACACAATTCAATCCACACTGGCCACGCCCTTCCAGCTGGCTGGCTCCTCCCTTTGCTCAATGTCAGGCCCTGCCCAAACATCACCTTCCCAAGAGGCTTCCAGACCCACCCTATCCCAGGCAGCCCTCACCACACCTCTTGCCCTCCTTTTGCTTTACTTGACTTTTCTCCAAAGAACTTGTCAGCACCTGCAATATTATGTATTTCATGTTTGTTATCTGCCTCCCTAACCAGTGCATAAACTTCCTGAGGGCAGGGATTAGTCTGGGATACAGCTGGCACTCAATAGATGTTTGTGGAATGACTGAGACAGTGGGTGATGACTGGATAGTTGCTCTGCTGGGACGCTGGGGACACCTGCACTACCTTTCTCCTCCCCGCCAGTTGCAAAGCTTCTTCTCATTTTGGGGACACTGTGGTAGTGGGGAGTAGTGGCCTCCTAAAGACATCTTCATCCCGGGAACCTGTTAATGTGACTGATAGAGTTTGCATATTTGTCTCTTCCCAAATCTTATGTTAATCGTAATCCTTAGTGTTGGAGGTGGGAGGTGGTGGGAGGTGACTGGATCATGGGAGTGGACCCCTCATGGCTTGATGCTGTCCTTGCCATAGTGAGTGAGTTCTCATCAGATCTGGTCATTTAAAAGTATGTGGCACCAGCTGGGCCCAGTGCCTCACGCCTGTAATCCCAGCACTTTGGGAGGTCAAGATGGGCAAATCACCTGAGGTCAGGAGTTTGAGACCAGCCTGGCCAACATGGCGAAACCCCACCTCTACTAAAAATACAAAAATTAGCCAGGCATGGTGGCACATGCCTGTAGTCCCAGCTACTCGAGAGGCTAAGGCAGGTGAATTGCTTGAACCTGCGAGATGGAGGTTGCAGTGAGCCGAGAATGTACCACTGCACTCCAGCCTGGGTGACAGAGCAAGACTCCGTCTCAAAAAAAAAGTATGTGGCACCTCCCTGGCACCACCACCAGCCCCTACTTGCTCCTGCCCCTGCCCTTCACCTTTTCCATGATTGTAAGCTTTCTGAGGCCTCCCCCGAAGCAGAGGTCAGCACCATGCTTCCTGTTCAGCCTGTAGAACAATGAGCCAATTAAACTTATTTTCTTATAAATTACCCAGTCTCAGGTATTTCTTTATAGCAATGCAAGAACGGCCGAACTGGTGACCTTACATGGTAAAAAGGAACTCTGCAATGTGATTAAGTTAAGGATCTCAGCCTAGCACAGTGGCTCACGCCTATAATCCCAGCACTTTGGGAGGCCAAGGCGGGTGGGTCACCTTAGTTCAGGAGTTCAAGACCACCCTGGCCAACATGGCAAACCCCCGTCTCTACTAAAAATACAAAAATTAGCTGGGCATGGTGGTGGGTGCCTGTAATCCCAGCTACTCAGGGGGCTGAGGCAGGAGAATTATTGAACTCGGGAGGCGGAGGTTGCAGTGAGCCGAGATGGCGCCACTGCACTCCAGCCTGGGAGACAGAGTGAGACTCCATCTCAAAAAAAAAAAAAAAAAAAAAAAAGTTAAGGATCTCCAGATGAGAGATTATCTGGGATTGTCCATGTGGGTCCCATGTGATCACAAGCACCCTTAGAAGAAGAAGGCAGGAAGGCCAGCGTCAGAAAAGGAGATATGATGGAAGAACCAGAGGTAGTGGTGATGCACTTTGAAAAGAGAAGGGATCCGAAGTCAAGGAGCATGGGCAGCCTAGAGCAGATGGAAAAACTAGGAAAACAGTGTTCCCCCAGAGCTTCCAGAAAGGAACGCAGCCGACCGATGCAATTTTAGGCCGGGGAGGCCCATGTCAGACTTCTGACCTCCAGATCTGTAAGATAAGAAGTCGGTGCTGTTTTAAGCCACAGCAGCCATAGGAAATGAATACAGAGTCCTTAAAGCTCTCTCTGAAGCAGCTTCCCCTGAGCCAGGCAGGTCAGCAAGGCAGTGAGTATTTGCAGGTGAGGAACCAGGGCCCAGAAAGGTCAAGCAGCTTGCCCCAGGTCACACAGCTGGGAAGTGGCCAAGCCAAGAGTTCAATCTGGTTTCTCTGGCTCTGGAGTCCTTGCTTTGGCCACAACACCAGATAGAGGGTCATTAAGCAGCTTTGCATGGCCTGTGAGACAGTCTCAGCCCTGCCAGAGCTCTCAACAGCCACCTGTCCCCGGGACCCACACCAAGATGGCTGTTTGAGGAAGGTTCTGTTTCTAACGGCTTGTCCTGGTAGAAGTGCACTTTGAGTGATATTCGTGGACACATCTGGGCCCCATGGGGTCCAAGCCATAGCCTGACTGTTTGGGTAGAAGAGTTGATGTGCTCCCCAGATGTCTTCACACTGACATTCTACAGGGCCCAACCTCCATGGGCAGCCCCAGAGCCCAGGAGCAGCTGCCCCGCCCCAGCTAGAGCAGGGAAGGAGGGATGGAAGCCCCCAGTGCTCGAGTGCCAGAGCATTCTCCTACCCAGGTCTCCTCTGGGTCTCCCAACAACCTATGGGGGCTTCTCATTACATCATTTCACAGGGCAGGAAACAGAAGCTTGGGGAGGATGCTAATTTACCCCAGGGCCCCACAGGGAGAAGGAAGAGCTAGAATTTGCATCCAGGCCCTGAGGAACTCAAAGACTGTCCATCCACACTGGCCCCAAGAACCCCACACCATGACTGTGCCAGCAGAGGCGAGAGGGTGGAGTGTTCACAAGATGAGCTACCCAGTCACCCACTCATGGTCAGGGCCATGGGCCTGGGGGTTCCTCAACACCATTCTATGGCTCTTCTGGAGACCCCATGTGTCTCTAAGGGCTATAGCATGTTTTTTAACAGTCTTCTTTTTTTTTTTTTTTTTTGAGACAAAGTCTTGCTCTGTCACCCAGGCTAGAGTGCAGTGGCGTCATTTCAGCTCACTGCAACCTCCACCTCCCAGGTTCAAGTGATTCTCCTGCTCAGTCTCCCAAGTAGCTGGGATTACAGGCAGGCACCACCATGCCTGGCTAATTTTTGTATTTTTAGTAGAGATGGGGTTTCACCATGTTGGCCATGCTGGTCTCAAATTCCTGACCTCAAGCAATCCGCCCACCTCAGCCTCCCAAAGTGCTGTCTAGGATTCCAGGCATGAGCTGCAGTGCCCAGCCTCTAACAGTCTTTTTGTTAATTTTTTTTTATTTTTAATTCCTGTGGGTACATAGTAGGTGTATATATTTATAAGTTACATGAGATATTTTGATACAGGCATACAATGCGTAATAATCACATCAGGGTAAATGGGGTATCCATCACCTCAAGCATTTATTCTAAGAGTCTTGAAAAGAACCTGGATCCCAGCTTCATTCTCTCTCTCTTTTCTGTACACACACACTTATATACACACATATATACACCCTTTCCCATGCATATTTACACCCACACACACAGAAACACACCCACTCACACAGGTATGCTCATACACATACTCACTGAGATACACATGTGCACACACATGTACATGTACACCTGTAAACATACAAATGTTCATGCACACACCCAAAACCACTCACAAGCACGCATATACACACGCACGGCCACACACATGCACACAGCACACGCATAAGTGTTCACACATTTGCACACACCTTTACACAGACTTACAGACATACATACATGCACATCCACCTACATGTGCACACACACCTTCCCCAAAACAAGCACACATACACACACTCACAGTTGGGCCGTGGCTGCTGTTTCTGAAACCCACCTGCTTGCTTATTCAGGAAGATGAAACAACCCCGGCCTATTGTTGACTCTCCTAGAAGAAAAACAGACTATAAAATCCTCAGCTTAACATCATCTAATCCTAGCTCCCCGCACATCGATTCCCTTCTGATGCTGCCATCGAGCACATCTATTTCCACGGAATGTGCATCTGATCTTGGAGAAATCACAGGATTAGTCACTTGACCTTACACATCTCCTGATCACCTCAAATGGGTCCCCAGGCTCCCCAGCCGCAGCCTGACACCATCTCTCTGAGCATTTCTCTAGCATGGCAGAGTCTCACCTCCTGCAGGAGGAGGAAGGCATGCACGAGCCATGAGCACAGAGGCCAGGAAGAGCTGCATCACCCTCACCTGCCACCACGGGCAAGGATGCCCCAGGATGACCCTGCAGTCCTTGGTTTCCTTCTGCAGTAGGAGGATAAAGGTCCTTGCCCTGCCCTCCGCACAGAGTGGAGGGATGATGTGGAGATGTACTTGAGTCCAAAGAGAAGGACAGGTGAAGGTAAAAAGCAGGATAGAAGATTCTAGAAAAGGTGTGGACGCTGGGGAGGAGTGAAAGGAGAATACATGGGGACTGGATTTAATGCTGCTTCTGGCCAGCTTTTATATGGCTGAGCATTTGTCATCCACTTCTGAGATTGCTTATGAAAGACCCCGTTCAATATCCGGGTTTCAGCAACCCTGGGGTTAACTGTCAGTCTCTTTGAGCCACTTGCTCTCAGGACTCACCCATGGGAATTCTGCATATGCACAGGGGCTAAGATTCAAGTCAAACCATGCAAGACCTCTCTACCAACTAGGCAGAACTCTGTGGCTATGTGTTCTCATGAGATGCAGTTGCCTAATTAAGCTTAAAATAAATGTTCAATGACCAGTCCCTGGGGCACTAAGAAGACAGCCTTGACCTCTGAAAGGGGCCAGCAGGTGGAAGCAGAAGGGTCTGAGCCCAGATCCCAGCTCTGGCACCTACCTACTAGTTGGGTGGCCAGGAACAAGTTTCTTAAGCTCTAGAAGTGTCTGTTTTCTCATCTTTTGAATGGGAACAATGCCAGTTCCACTTCACAAGGTTTTGAGAGGATTTAGTGACTTGCTATTCACAAAGTGCCTAGCACAGCGCTCGCACACCATAAATGCTCATAAATGTGAGACCCACTCCTCCCCTCTGAACACTTACCAGCCCATCCTGGGACAAAGTCATAGTGAAAGCCAGCTCTGAAATCAGACTCCATCTGGGCTGGGAGCCTGGTTTGTGACCTTGGGCAAGTCACTTGGTCTTGGAGTATCTGGGTAACCCCCTCTGCAAAATGGAAATAACAGAAGTACCAACCCCATGGGCTGTTAAAGAAAGTGGCACACAATTGCATGGGAAGGGGGTGCCTTGTGAATGCATGGGCATTGCAAGCTCTTGATTTAGTTTCAGTTTCACGAAAAGCAGCCCCTGAGACAAAGATTTGGTGCAAGTAGTTAATTGAGAGGTGATGCCAGAATATGGTGAGGGAGCGAGGAAGTGATCAGGGAAGTGAAGAAAGCTAATGAGGTGGGGGGTGTTCCTGTAGGAGTCATCACAGTGGGCAACTGGGCTCACTCCTGCTGGGGATGTTCAAGACACAGTGTCACACAAAGCTCTGGACTGCCCCATGAAGGGACACTCCCACCTGTGAAGGGTCGCTTGCTCCTGGGACAGTGACCCCCAGTACCCTCAGCCTTCTCCCCTGTATGGGCTAAGCTGCTCTAACAGGTAGAGGACACCCTACCTGAGAGAGCGGGTGCCCCGGATGGGAAGTCATCAGTGTTCTGGAACTTTCCACAGCAACTGCAGGTAGCATCAGGTGGGCCTAGGGGATGAGGGCACAGCCTCCTAGCACCTGCCTCAGCTGTTATGGTTGCTGTTTTCACCACAAAATCCCTGGGCCTGTGCTCAAGGCCCTCTCCTGGGGACTTGAACACATGGTGCTGGGCACTCCCCAGCCCTTAAATGTACTCTGGATGGCACCCTTCCCCATCAGCCTGGCTCCTGGCACACCTGGATAGGGTGACTGGGGAGAGTTCAATGGAGGGACCTGTCTGTATCTGTTTCTGGAGATGTCATAAAAAATCACCACACACTTAGTGGCTTAAAACAACAGAAATGTATGAGCTCACAGTTCTAGAGGCCAAATGTCTGAAATCCATGTGTGGGGCAGGACCCTGATCGCCAGCCAGGAAGCCTCCAGGGGAGAATCCCTCCTCGCCTCTTCCAGCTTCAGGCGGCTCCAGGCGTTCTGTGGCTCGTGGCTGCCTCCCTCCAATCTCTGCCTCTGTCTCCACATGGTGGCCTCCCCTGTGTCTCTGTGTCTTCTCATCTGTCTCTTACACGGACATTTGTCTTATAACTTAGGGCCCGCCTAGATAATCCAGGATGATCTCATCTTCAGATCTCTAAACTTAATTACAAATGCAAAGATTCTCTGGCTAAATAAGGTCACATTCACAGGTTCTGGGGCTTAGAATGTTGGCATACTTTCTGGAGGTCACTATTCAACCCACTGAAGAGTGTTTACAGAAGGCTTAAAGCAAACCCACAAGGGGAGGTAGATCTCCAAAGGCCAAAAGCAGTTTCCACCCCTCAGCCTCCAGAGATGGGGGGGAATAGGACCTTGGAGGGAGCTGGAGCTATCTCAGGAGGCACTGTTAACCCACAGTTCAGCATGAAGGGGCAGGGAAGAAACCTCCTGCTGCCACCCCCCACCCATGAAACTGACACAGAGACCAGAGGATGAGAACCCAGGTGTCGCAGACAATGGCCTGCAGCTCCCGGCACACAGTGGCATGGAGAATGATCTGGAAGGGCAAACCTGAATATCCTGTATGCCCCTAGTTTCTTGCTTCAATGCCTCTGGCGCAAACATTTGCCTTGTGAATGAGCATCTCATTAAAGGAGAAACAGATAAAAACCCCGTGTCTATTGAGCTGGGATTTCCTTCAAGGGGCTCCAGACTTCTTTAGCCTCTGGTACTAAACTCTTAAGCCCCAGGCCTCTTTCTCATGCCTGTCCTAAGTCCATGATGTCCCCAGATTCCTGACATGACACCTTGTGGAACCAGGCCAGACTGCCCGGCTTCCCTGCCATACCAGAGAGGAAGAGACCAGGGGCAGTATTATAAGGGAGTGGGACGGGAGAGTCTGCAGTCCTAGAACAGAGGTGGGATGGCCCCACCTCTATGCTTCCCATTATAAACAGAGTAAGGAACCTGGAGCCAAAACGCAGCCCAGCCCAATTTCACTGCCAATGCCACATGCCCAGCCCAGCCCTGCCCAGCACTCTGGAGCTGGGCATCAACAGGTGCTAGGGGAGAAGCCAGTGGCCTGGGATTCTCTGGGCAGAGGGGTCCCACCCTCACCAGCCCCAGCATTCCACCCACAAGTGTCACCTCACCACAACCAAAGCCCAGAATCCCACCCCATGGGCCACTCTACCCTGCCACACAGAAAGCAAACCTGCAAATCACTCCAATTGCTGTTCATCAAGTGCCACAGAACAAAATATACTGCAGAAATCACCCAGCTGCTCCATAGAGGGGCTGAGCCCCCTCCAATTACTGTCATGTAACCTTCTCTAACTTGATTCCCCTTATCTTATCTATAATAGATAAATGTCCAGTCCAGGGAGGGGAAAATTTTCCAAAAACCTAGTATAATAAACCACAAAAATGCCAGCTGTCACCAGCAGGAAGCAGTCCCCATTAGTGGGCACAGAGCAATCCTCACAGCTCCCACCAAGCTCCCTGTCCAGGGAAGAGTGTTCCTGAAGTCCCCCCACCTTCCCCGCTCACTCAGTCAGTGACATTTATGAAGTGCTCACTCTGAGCCAGCCTGGAGGACAGCATGGTGCCTGCCAGCCTCCAGCTACTCCCAGTATGGGGGAGCAAGCAGCCAGCCCAGAGACGATGTCCTTGTTGTCCGGAATGTCGTGGACACCGGCCATGGGTTCCCTCTCCTCGACCTCCTGTCAGCCACTTGGAAGGGCCCGGGCAGGACAGCCAGCGGGAGCCTTGGTTAAATCCGCCCTCTCTGCAGGAGCTACGCATCCTAATTCTGCCTTGGCAGAGACATGAGCGGTTGGCGGTCCAGGCCATGGTAGGGGATGGCAGAACACGGGATAAGACTGCCCGTGGGCCTCACTGCTTCCTGACTGGGCGCTAAAGTATCCACACTGCAAGGCTCTGGAATGCTGATGGGCTCCGGAAAGCACGAGGGGCCAGGCCAGCTGCAGAGGCCATGGGACTCCAGGGGAGAAGGGAGGGCTTATGGAGGAAGCACAAAGAGAGGGAATTTCTACCCAGGGTCATCTGTGCCCCTGTCACTACCAGGCCCCACTGGTTGTTGGAAGAGGGAGCACAGGCCTTTTCATCTTGTCCATCCAAGGACTCCATGAGCCTTCCCCTCAAGCCTGTGGGGTCTACCCCAGGTCATCTGCGCCCCAATCACTACCAGGCCCCACTGTTCGAACGGGGAGCACAGGCCTTTTCATCTTGTCCATCAAAGGTCTCCATGAGCCTTCACCTCAAGCCTGTGGGGCAGGGGGCATAGCACTCAGTGAGAAGGGTAGAAGCCTGGGTTCAACCACAGCCTCCCTGTCTTAGACAAGCCACTTAAACTGCCTGAGCCTCAGTTGCTTCGTCTGCAGAGTCAAGCTAATATAGCTGTACCCACCTGAAAGGGTTGTGAGGTCAGCTGGGATGAAATGGGAGAAGTGCACATAGTAAGTGCTCATTCAATGACAAATGTTAATATCATTACTACTATTATTACTTCCAAATGGGGAGCTGAGGGGCCAGGTGAGTTATCCCCAACAACACATAGCAGGAAAGGAAGTTGCGAGGCCCTGTCCTGGAGTGCTGAGCCAGGCCTGCTCTCTGCCAGCCGCACAGGGTACGTCCCACTGTAATGCCTCCGAGTTCCTCCATCACAAATCAGACATGTTTCTGATGTGGAAGTAAGTTGTAGAGGTTGTAACACAAACTACTGGACACAGCTGAGCCCAGAGCCCACTGCACTGGGTCACTTCGGGGTGAATCTTGGCTGAGTATCTTGAGGCAGGTCACCAGTCCTATCTGGGCTAATTTTCTCCAGCTATAAGATGAGGTGGGGCCGGGTGCAGTGTCTCACACCTATAATCCCAGCACTTAGGGCGGCCGAGGCCGGTGGATCACTTGAGGTCACAATTTGAGACTAGCCTGGACAACATGGTCAAACCCCGTCTCTACTAAAAATACAAAAAATAGCCGGGTGTGGTTGCAGGTGTCTGTAATCCCAGCTACTCGGGAGGCTAGGCAGGAAAATCACTTGAACCCAGGAGGCGGAGTTTGCAGTGAGCCAAGATCCCACCACTGCACGCCAGCCTGAATGACAGAGGGAGACACCATCTCAAAAAAAAAAAAAAAAAAAAAGAAGGGGTGGAATTGGATGGTTCTGCCATCCTCTGTGACCAGAGAACAATCCATTTCACCCCACAGACCCCCTGTCCTCTCCCCTGCTGGACCCCCCACCAGCCTTCAATGAATTTGAACACTGACACTATCAGATAAAGCCTGTTGCTGCTTGAGGTCAGAGCAAGGGATGTCAAAAATTGCCGGAAATTTTTCAGTCGTGAAAAAAAAAAAAAGCACAGGAGAGGCTGGAATACGAGCAGTTTTCAGTATGTATTTTTAGGACCCTGTACAGGCCTGAAGTTCCTTTGATGAGTTTAGAAACAAAAACATGTGTGTGTGGTATGTTTGCTTGATTTAGACATGGGTGTGACTGGAGTTAAAACAGCTTCCCCGTTTGGATTTTGTGATTTGTTGGGAAAAGCCAGAATGTTCTTCAGAACAAAAAGACATTCCTGGCCCCCATCACCACCGCCCCATCCATCTTCCTTTCTTTTGTTTCTCCTTGGTCTTCCTTCCCTGTTCTGAGTAGGCGGCTCAGTCTCTGAGCAATCAGACCCCACCCCCACCCCGTGAGGTCCCTCCAAGTGTAGCATCCAGCCCCGACCGCAGCCTACGCCTCGCCCCAGCAGCTGCAGACAATTGCATCCAGATGTGCATGCAGTGGGCCGGCCAGGAACTGCCCTGGCGGCCACCACTGGAGAGCCCAGCAGTGACAGCTCAGCCTCGGGGCCAGCAGGCTCCCAGGACCCCCACTCACCTCCCAGCAGACGTTCCTCGCAAACCCCATCAGGAAACGCTCCAGAAAGATCGGGCTATTCGTTCGGGGCTCTGCGGGGCTGACCCTGAGCACTCACACCCCATCCCACATGCTGTCCAGGCATGCTCACTGGCTCTGATCCCCACAGGAAGAACTCGCCCAGCTTAGGGACCGGGTTTTCCTGGACTGTGGGGGAGCGTATGTGTCCACGTTGCAGCCAGGCATGGACCGTGGGTCTGAACAGGCAGAGACCTCTGAGACCACAGGGCTGTGGTTTCTTCCCTGCATCTGGATCCTCGTAAGGTGGCCAGGCAGAAACCACAAGCCACATACCTTCCTACACACCTTCTCTCCTAGGACCCCTGCAAGGGTCCTGTTGAGCAGATGTTACCAGCCCACTTCTGGATAAGCCCAACGAGCTCAGAAATCTTCAAGAAGCAACTGGACCAGTGGGAAATGCAGGTCTGGGTGATTCCAGCCTGAGGCCTGAGACTGAGCCCAGTTTCCTCAGGCTCCAGACAACTGGGTGGCCAGGACCCGGCCGGTCAGCCCCATCTGGGGTGGTCAGGGTGGGGCACAGATGCTGAAAGTCGCTCCCACTGTGCACAGGTGGGGCCCTGGCTGAGGCAGGTCAGGACCTCGTGACCTGTTACCCCCCCCCCACACACACACAACCACACACACAACCATTCATACCCATGGAGAAACTGGGCACAATCGTAGACACACAAGTCTCACACAAGCTGACATATATGCGGGTTGACCCACAAACACACACACACACACACACACTGCCTGCTGGGCTGGTCTGGCAGGGCCTGGGGTAGGTCAGTCCTTTGAGGGGAAGGGCAGCTGCTCTTGTATTTCTGCCTGGGTCCCCCCGAAGGCAACAAGATATCAGCCCTTGAGTCTGGACTCTGGCCAAGGGGAGAGGGGACAGAAGGAATGAGAGTTAGAAGAGAGCAACGCAGCAGAAGAGGAGAGGGAGAAGAGAACAAAAGGAAAAGGAGGGAAGGAGGAGGGGGAAGAGATGAGGAAGAGCAGAGAAGGAAGGGTGCATGAGGAAGAGGGAAGCGGGGAAAGGAGGACAGGGAATGGGACAGGGGAAGGAGAGAGTGCAGGAGTAGGCCCTCTCGTAAGCCCCAGCGAGGGCAAAAAACATAATCTCCAGGTCTGGAATCAGACACATAATACATTGGACTTCTATGAGCACGTGTGACCTTATGCAAGTTACTCAACATCTCTCAGCCTCAGTTTCTTTTTCTCTAAAATGGAGATAATACAGTAGCCCCTTTCATAGAGAGGCATAGAACATATTGAACAGTCCCAGGTACATGGGAGAGCTTGATAAGGTTGCAAGAAAGATGGAACAGGTACTGGAGGCCCGAGCAAAGTCATATGCTTCCCGTATCCGGCCCGTGGTGAGTGCTTGGAGGATTTAACTGCTGTTATTTCTAATACTGCCGTCATCTTCCTCACATGCCAGGCACTGCTCCAAGTGTCTTTGTATCTATTACCTCATCTGACCTGCCAACAACCTTACAAGTGATTAGACTCATGATCCCTATTTTATAGATGGGTTAGGCAGAGGCCCAGAGAGGTTGAAAAACGACTTGTTCAAAGACACACAGCTGGCAAGTGGTGAAGCCAGCATACAGGATGGTCTCCAAAGCTTACATTTGCAACTGTCACTACAGGGCACAGTATTTCCTGTTTAAATCATGATTTTTAAAAATTAAAGTAAATGGCAGAGCATGGTGGCTCATGCCTGTAATCCCAGCACCTTGGGAGGCTGAGGCAGGCAGATCACCTAAGGTGAGGAGTTCGAGGCCAACCTGACCAATATGGTGAAACCCCGTCTCTACTAAAAATACAAAAATTAGCCGGGCATGGTGGTGGGTGTCTGTAATCCCAGCTACTTGGGAGGCTGAGGCAGGAGAATCACTTCAGCTGGGGAGGCGGAGGTTGCAGTGAGCCGAGATCACACCACTGCACTCCAGCCTGGGCAACAAGAGCGAGACTCCGTCTCAAAACAAAAAGAAAAAATAAAGTAAACAAGGTGGGATCCTAATAACCAACATTTATTGAGCATGTGCCATGTGCCAGGCCCTGTGCAGAATGTTTATGTCCTTGAATGCTCACAATGACCTCAAGAAATACATAGTATTAATATTTTTAATGAGGAAACAGAAGCACAGAAGGGTTAGGTAATTTGCTCAGGGTCACCAGCCAGGAAGAGAAGGACCCAAGTTCAAGCTCAGGTAGTGCTCCCAGAGACATCCTCTTCACCACTCAGCTAGAGATAGATCAACCTCATATTGTGATATTGAACAGTCTCTAAGATACATTTTTAAAATATATTTTAAGTCAAAAGCAAGGTATAGAGCAGCCTGTCTACGGTGCTATATTTTCTAAAGGAGACATATGGCCTGACACGTTTTTCTCTGCACAGAGTATCTGGAAAGCTATGTAGGAAGCTTGTACCAATTGCTGCCTGCAGGAAGAGGAACTGGGAGGCTGGGGTCAAGGAGGCAGAGAGATGCAGCACTTTTAGACCCTTTCCATATTTTATCCCTGCCTTTAAAAGGATGAATGTGTAGCGTCCCTTTCAGAAAGAAATGATTTTCACTCCTTGGTCAGTTTCATGGAGACATGGTGTTAGCTGGTATTTCCAGAGGGTACTCCCTGCTCAGGACTCGGGTTACGGGGAGGCCCGAATTTCTGTGTGATCTGTCACCCTCCAGTTGGAAATGACCCTCTCATTGTTGACAGCACACTAGAACAAGTTTGTCCAACTTGCGGCCTGCGGCCCAAGGTGAGTTCAGGGTTCCAACAATCAAGTCAAAGATGCCTGGAGGGAGGGAGGGAGGGAGGGAGGGGGCTGGGGGCAGCAGGATAGACCCTGCACTGCACAGGAAAGCAGGTCCCCTCTGCGGAGGGGAGACCCGGAATCAAACCAAGAGTCCTCTGCTGAACCAGCAGTTAGAGAGAGGGAGGGAGGGGAGACAGGGAGGGAGGGAGAGAAGAGGAAGGGAGGGAGACAGGGAAGCAGGGGGAGGGAGAGCCCCAGGAAGAACGGAAAGCAGGAAGGAGGGAGGGAGGGAAGAAGAGAGACGAGGAGGGAGGGGAGGGAGAGAGAGAGGGAGGGGGGAGGTAAGGCCCCAGGAAGGAGGGAGGGAGGGAGAAAGGAAGAAAAGAAGGAAGGGAGGACGGGAGGGAGGGAGGGAGAAGCAGAGGAGAGGGAAACGAAGAGAGAAAGGAGAGGGTGGAAGAAAGGAAAAATGGAGGGAGAGGAAGGGGAGAAAATGAAGGAGGGAGGGAGGAAAGCAGCCTTCTCTGGTGCTGAGATCAGAGGGATCTCAGCCGGGATCTGGCTGAGTGCGGCACCGAGTTCAGGGCCCAGTGACTGAGAAGAGAAACCTGAAGGCCTCGAGCTGAGGAGCTGCCACGCGGGCGGCAGGCGGTGCCACTTTGCAGAAGCGCAAACTGAGGCCAGAGGGGCAGCGGATCTCAGCTGGGTCCCCACGCTCGGCAGGAGACCGGGTGCTCCCCGCGGGGCCTGTGAGCGGGCCGCCAGGGCTGGGCTGGGGGTGGCAGCGCCGAACCGGGAGCGCAGCGCAGGGTCCGGGTTCGCTGGGAGGCCGGCGGCGGCCGCGTGGCCACAGCGCCCCCTGGCGGCTACGGGAGTCCTGCACGCAGCGGCCGCGTCTCCACGCCTTCCTGGAGCAGAAGGTTGCCTGCCCGCTGCGTGGCCCCCGGGTTCCCAGACAGCCCGCCCCGTCCCTAGCGCTCCGAAATGGCTGCCACCTGGCGTCTGGCCTGGGCAAACGAGGTATCCCATCTGTATGTATTTAAAAGCGGACAGCAGGGTGCCCGCTGCTGTCACCCCACCGCCTAAAGAGGATAGACACTTATCTTCCCCTAAATGTGTAATTAGCAATTCCAGTGTGACCCCTCTCCTCATCGGACTTTAGTTCAAACTCAGGCAGCGGAAGCCATGTCCTTTTTCTGTGTGAAATTTAGGATTCCAAAAGGACAGCCCCTGCCGTCTGCACTGCCCACCCTAGTAACAGCTCACACCTTCCCATCCTGGCTTCCCTGGATCTAAGCACTTCTCAGGCGTTAGTCCTCACCTCAGACCGATTATTATCCCCTCCTGGGCGAGGTAACTGAGACACAGAGAGAGATTAAGGAACTCACCCAAAACCACACAGGTAGAGGGGAAGCTAGGATTTTAACCCAGGCAGCCTTGATTGCAAAAGAGAAAAGGGGAGAAAAGGAATGAGAGGGGGCAGAAAGAGAAAATTTACTTCTAAGACAAGGCAGTGCTGGAGCGCGTCTGCCTCCATTTTGTGTGAGGGGTCTAGGAAGCCTTATTAGAAGTCTCCCAGCTCCTTTCCAGAGCCTGGCATCAGGATGAGGCAGTGAGGCGGGGAGCCCCAGACTGGGCTCACACACAGGGAGCTGCCCAGGCCAAGGTTTGGGCAGCTGAATGGAGGGAGAGGAGTTCTGCCCGCCCCACCCCATCCCATGCACCCAGGCCTCTCTATCTCTGCTGGCCTGGGGATGGGTCCACCAGGGTAGAGGTAAGCAGGTTTTGGAGAAGAATGCATCATGGAGCTTATGCCTGTCTAGGTGACTTCTCCAAGCCTCAGAAGATGCCCGTGGCACAGTGACTCACTGTGGCTTCAGATTCAGCTCTGGCCCTCCCTTCTCTCGAGCCCCACCCTTGGAAGAAATGCAAGGACAGAAACTTCACTGAACTCCTGATTTTTGTGCCTGGCCCCAAAGACAAGGGGGCTAGGGTCTGTGCATTCCAGAGACTTCCTCTTAGCTGAGATCTGAAATCCCCAAGTTTTCCAGTCAAGCTGTTGTAAACCCGTCCAGATCTCTGCGCACCTCCTCCCGGTGGCCTGCAGACTGCAGAGCTGAGCCCAGAGGCCCAGTTCAGTGGGCAGGCTACAGGGGAGGGAGGGGAACCAGAGCCAGAAGGAGAGGGGCGTCTCTGAGACTGGGCTCCCACATTCACCTGGAATCATCTTTGAAGTGGAAAGATTAACACGGGATTCAGTTTCCCCTTTGTGAATGAGTGGTGTTGGAAACTACACAGAGATTCCTCTGTGCCGGTCAGGCCCTGCAACCCCAGGACCAAGAGAGGGATGAATCTTGATAAAACCTTGGGATGGAGAAAGGCAAGAAGGGTGCCATTCACACACACCCCATCAGTCTCATTGTTCCCTGCCATTACCACTACCCTGGAGAAGGACACCAAACAGCTGCTTATTAAAACACATTACCTGAGGCCAGGCTTGGTGACTCACATGTCCAATCCATGACAGGCAGGTTGCTTGAGGCCAGGAGTTCGAGACCAGCCTGGCCAACACGGCAAAACCTCATCTCTACTAAAAATACAAAAATTAGCCGGACGTGGTGGTGCATGCCTGTAGTCCCAGCTTTCTGGGAGGCTTAGGCATGAGAATTGCTTCAACCCGGGAGGCGGAGGTTGCAGTGAGCCAACATGGTGCTACTGCATTCCAGCCTGGGTGATAAAGCAAGACTCTGTCTCAAAAATAAAAATAAAAATAAACACATTACCTGAGCCGCTGAATGTGTCAACACTCAGATGGACTCGCTCTTTCTTTGTAAATGGCTGGACCTTGGTGCAAGGCATGCTGGGAACTTGGATCTGTGGGGACGGGGGTCTGGGGAGCCCCTGACACCTTCCTGGAACAGGCCATGCTCCTCCCACCAGCCTCAGGCCCTTTGCATGTGTGGCTCGCTCTGCCTCGACTGCTCTCCCCCTACCCCTTTCACCCATGACACAATGAGTCTTTCTTCAGCAGCAAGAAAAATGGTTTCTTCTCCAGGAAGCTTTTCCCGAGCCTAGTGTAAAGCTCTAAGGCAGCAGGGGTCAGGTGGCTTATGTGGGGTTCCCAGAAGGCACAGCCTGAGATAAGACTGGAGTGCAGGTTGTTTATTTGGGAGAGGTTCCCAGACAGCAAGAGTGAAGGATTGAGGGAAAATGGCATAGGGAGGAGTAAGATCATTAAAAGTTGTGTTGCGGTCATCAATGCTTTGGGCAACAGAGGCTCAGTGCAGCTGGGACCTCCTGACAAGCAGCATGAAGTCCCCAGAATCAGTCCCCTAAAGGCCAAGAGCCTGGAGCATTCATCCACCAGCTCCCAGCCCTCATTGGCTGAGAGCTTCCCCGGACAAGATTCATGCCCTGTATTGACTGCATTTTCTTATTTTCTGTATTCCTGATGCTCCGGCATTTGGGGCCTTGATCCTGGAGAGACTGCCCCTCCCAGAGCTAGCTAATTCCTAGAGACAGCAAAGGACTCCCCTGTGACTGCACCTTTGATGTACAAAGCAATCGTTCCAGAGCCCACACCCCCAACCGTCCAACTGCCAAGTCAATATTCTCTCTGCCCTAAATCACTACAGGGCCAAGAACCAGACAACTAGGAATGACCTTGAAAGCCCAGAGCCCTCCACAGTGATTCACACTATCCATCCTAAGCTAACTCAGTCTACCTACCCTGCCTTGCCCACACCTTCCCAAGAAATCCTCAACAAAGGCTCTGAGCCTTGCTCTCCCCTCTCCCTCTTCTGCCTTCTGACCCTGGCGCTTCCCATGTGTTCCAGGTAGCAGTGTGCAGTGCCTCCCATTTCTAGAGTACTTAGTATAAACTTCTTCCTTTATGACAATCATCTCCCTGCCTGCGTGTCTGACCATACTGATTAAAACAAATCCTGGGTACATTTTAACTCGTGCCTTCACACCGCCAGGCTTGCATGGGCTAAGAGTGTTCCCACAACGCTGGAGAAGACCCTGAGGCAGAAAACCAACAGGCATCTGTCCCATACATGAAGTGGATGCTGTAAGAGCAAGGCAAGCTTTCTGAGCTGTCAGGGAAACGGCCACCGGCCACTGTCGCTGGCACTGAAATCACAGCTGGCCAAGGAATGTGATGAGCAGGGTGCCAGAGGTGTCTGCTGCATCCCATGTGCTTGTTTGCTTGTTTTTCTCACCATTGATCCCCCAGTGCCTAGCACAGTACTGGCATGGTGTGGGGACTTAGTCATTACCTGCTGAACTCATGAATTGAATTAGTGAGTGACTGAGTGAGTGAACCTTGTAAGCCCCAAAGGAGAATGACTAACAGTCCAATAGAAGACATTCAAAGGTTCCCAGCCAGTGAGGTCCAGTGGTCAAGTTTATCCCAGCAATAACCCAGCTAATAGCACCCTCCAGTGGCCAAGGTCCCAGGGCTGGTCAAAGCTAGGTCAGGTGGCGGAGCTGTCAGCCCAGCAAGGAAACTGAGGCAGAAAACTAAAGGAGTTCATGGGATGTTAAGCCTTCACTCCTGCAATGGCTTGCATTTAAACAAGACTCCTTACAGGCCCCAGGGCAAGATCAGGTATGGGCGGGCGTAGTGAACACGAAGAAGCCCAGAGATTTACAATGGGCAGGACCAGGGTAACAAATCCAAACAGAAAAATAGAATCCATAAACCTCTTCTCCTAGGCTTCAGAAGGTTCCAGATTCATCTCCCTGAATGGCCACCACAGAGAAGTGGCACAAGAGTGTCACACCTAGGGTGCAAAGGACTGCCTGCTATCCATCATAATCATAAATGTGTATACTGTCATAAACTTCCAGAAGATGGCAGTAAAGAGACTCATGCTAAGAAAATCAGTACATTACAATAATTTTCCATATATGGAAGTGTCTTGAGAAAGGGAGAGGTTTTGCCTAATCTGTTTAAATGTGCTGTGTGACCTGGTGAGCAGATTTTTTTCCCTTCCTCAGTGAGTTTTGCCCAGGCTCAGAAACCCCGCAGGCCCCTAGAGCATAAACCAAGGGAAAGCAAAAGTCAACAGACATACAGGCAAGGAAGCGGGGGCAGGTGGCGGGGCAAGGCTGGTTTCCTCTGCGTCTCCTTGGTTGCATCTCTAGCCTCATTCGTGCAATAAACACTTGCTGAACTCTGTTGGGCACATTGGGGGTGGGTGAGGGACACATATGACCAAGATTGGGTCCTTTTGCTCAGTGTCATGGAAAAAAGACTGATATGGTTTGGATCTGTGTCCCTGGCCAAAGTTCATGTCAAATTGTAATCCCCTGTGTTGGAGGCGGGGTCTGGTGGGAGGTGACTGCATCATGGTAGTGGGTTTCTCATGAATGGTGCAGCACCACCCTCTTGGTGCGGTTCTCATGATAGTAAGTGAGTTCTCATGAGATCTGGTTATTTAAGTGTGTGGCACCTCCCCTTTCACTGTCTCTCTCTCTTGCTCCTGCCCCTGCTATGTAGGACACCTGCTCCCCCTTTGCCTTCTGCCATGATTGGAAGCTTCCTGAGGCCTCCTCAAAAGCAGAAGCCACTATGCTTCCTGTAGAGTCTGCAGAACCATAAGCCAATTAAAACTCTTTTCTTTATAAACTACCCAGTCTCAGGTATTTTACCAACTTTGCTGTTAGGCAGACCTGGGTTCAAATCCAGCTTCTACAGCTCAGAACATAGAAAGTCACATACCCTCCCCAGCCCTCAGGCTCCTCATCTGCATAATGGGGATAACACCACCTGCTTTACAAGATGTAAAAAAGACCACGTGAGTAAAGTGCCTGGTGCAGAGACTGAAACAGACGGAGCTGGAGTTGGAAAAGAATTGCTATTTCCTTCTTCCTCCCTTGATATCATTGGAACCTCCTTCTTTAGAGGTTACAATCCAGCTGCTGAAGCAGCATATATTTGGTTGACTTTTGACTAAAGAAAAATACTGCCACTATTTTATGATGTCACAAAGTGGTAAGGGATTTGATAAGAGATTCCTGGGCCCAGTATAATGTGGCACAACCATGAGAAAACCTCCCATACCAGAACTACTCCCTCGGGTTGAAAACCAAACATTGACTTGTGCAGCCAATGTTCTGGCTTGTCTGGGGGCTGCCTGAGAGACTGACTTCTGTCTTGCCTGACTCAGAGCACAGACAGGAATGGCAGCACAGAAGCCACTGGAAACAGGCAAGCTCCAAGGAACGTTACAGCTGCAGAGATTATGCAGTTCCACAGGAAGACAGCAGGAGGAGCAAGAGATTATGTCTCTTGAGAAGAAATAGACTAGGGAATTCGAGACGGTTAAACAGGCATGCACAAGGCCAGAGAAGACACATCCCCAGAAAAGATTTGAGAGGTCCCAGAACCTTTTGCCAGGCTGATTGGTAAAAGTCTCCCCGTGCGTGAGGCCAATTCATAAAGACTGGGAGAGGTGGTTGTTTTTTCAAATGCCAAAATCTCAACAAAAGATCACAAGGCATACAAATAAACAGGTAAACATGGCCCAATCAAATGAACAAAATAAAACTCCAGTAACCAAGCCTAAAGAAATGCAAATTGCTGAACTTTCTCACAAAGAATTCAAAACAACTGTGTTGAAGATGCTCAGTGAGCTAAAAGAGAACACAGATAGACAACTAAGTGAAATCAGGAAAATGCTGGATGAGTCCAGTGAGAATGTCAACAGAAATAAACTAAAGAAACAGAAATTCTAGAGCTAAAAAATACAATAACTAAGTTGAAAAATTCACTACAGCTGTTCAAAGCAGACTTAGGCAGAAGAAAGAACTCGCAAATTTGCAGATCGTTCATTTGAATCAAGTCAGAGGAGCACAAAGAAAAAATAATTAAGAAAACTGAAAAGGCCCTAAGGGACTTATGGGACGTCATCAAGCAGACCCTTTTATACACTATGGAAATCCTAGAAGTAGGAGAGAAAGGGGCAGAGACCTTATTTGAGGAAATGGCCAAAAACTTCCCAAATCAGAGGAAACAAATGAAAATAGAAGTCCAAGTTCAATGAATTCCAACTGGTATAAAATCAAAGAGGCCCAAACTGTGACACATTATAATCAAACTGTCAAAAGACAAAGAGAAAGCCTTGAAAGTAGTAAAAGTGCTTCATCACAGACAAAGAGGCTTCTATAAGATTATCAGGAGGTTTCTCAGCAAAAACCTTTTAGCCATAAGGCAGTGGAATGATGTACTCAGAGTGCTGAAGGAAAAAAGCTATCAATCAAGAATACTAAAACTGGAAAAACTATCCTTTAAAAATGAGACAGTTTTGTTTTTTTTTTTTCTTGAATTAATGCTCAGAGTTGGTCTTTATGTAGTATTTTGCTATTTCCAAGTTTTTGAAGCACACTGAAAGCCTCTAGTTTTGCCTTTTCAAGGTGATGAAGTAGAGGCTTTCAGTATGCTTCAAAAACTTGGAAATAGCAAAATACTACATAAAGATCAACTCTGAGCTTTAATTCAAGAAAAAAAAAACCTGGGAATCCACTGGAATCATGAAGGACACCCTAAATCCTGGGGACGAGAAGGTGGGCAAACAGCCCCTGTGATTGCGTCTCAATGATGAAAGTGAGTAAAGCCCCAGTGCATGAGTGGGGCAGGGAGCCTCCTTTTGTGATTCACTTTTCCTCTGGGGAACACAGCAATCCAAGCCAAGGGAAAGCGCTTTGTTTCTCCCAAGCCCTGGAGCCAACTCAGGGAGAGGCTTGGAGATGCTGAGAGAGAAAGGTACCTGGAAAAGCTGCAGGCATTTTCCCAGACCTGGAACTGAGAGCAGGGTGCCATTTTCAATATGAGTGTATACAAAGTCAGTTACTCTTTGGCAACCTGGCAGTGTGGCTGCACAGGCATTTTAGTCTCAGGCCAGAGATTGGAGCACTTGCTCTGGACCAGGGTACAGGCCTCCATGGCCAGAACTGTGGAAAGCACCTCAACAGTAAGCATTGGAATTGTGCTTTTCTCCATTGCAGACCTGGGGAGGGAGGAGAGCTACTACAGCATGGTTTCTTCTGGGTGATGAGAACTGCAGCCAGGGCCAGCTTGGCAACCTGGAACCAGTCTGGTCTGCATGTGTCACTTCTGGGTGCCGCAGCCTGCTCCCTGGGATCATGGTGCAGTGGGGCCCTCTCTGCTCTACCTCCCGGTAGAGCGCCAGGCATTAAGAGCACCCACTTGCCTGGACCAGCAGCCTGAGCTGCCCCACCCTTCTTGGGAATGGACTGTGTGCAGTAGGACCCTCTCTTCTCCACACCCAGGCTGTTCTCTAGGCATTCAGAGCATCTGCTCCCACAGATTAGCCGCCCGAGTTACCCCATCCTTCCTGTGCAGAGATCCTGGTACCAGGAGGCCCTCTCTGCTTCACGACTGGGCAGATCTCCAGGCATTCAGAGCACTCGTTCACCTGGCTCAGCAGCCTGAGTTGCCCCACCCTTCCTATGCAGAGATTGTGGTGCAGCTTGACCCTCTATACTCCAAACCCAGTCAGATCTGCAGGCATTTGGAGCACCTGTTTATCTGGATTGGCAACCTGAGCTGCCCCACCCTTCTTGCACAAGGCCCTCTCCACTCCACACCCAGGCAGAAGAACCCCAGGCATTCAGAGCACTCAGTCACATGGACCAGCAGCCTGAACTGCCCCCACCCTTCCTGTGCAGAGATTGTGGCAGAGCAGGGCCTTCTCCCCTCCATGCCAAGGCAGATTTCCAGGCATCTGGGCACCCACTGTCCTGGATTAGAAGTGTAGGCTGCTCCCCTTCCCATACAGAGAATTGGGGCTGAGGAAGTTTCCCAGATGCATGCCTAGTCATACCTTAGGGTGCTTGGTGGGCACTCACTGGATTTTCCCTCAGCACTTGTGCTTATGCTTGCCACTTGGGGACCTGTAGATGGACCTGCCCAGTCTGACGCTCATCATCTTGGCCCCAACCTCTAGGCCTGAGCAGGGAGCTCAGGCCATTGTGCACTCCATGAATCAGCCCATTACCTGAGGCAACAGAGAGCTTCTCACAGTAAACAAGGATCAGGTATACACCTGGCTGCACTGGCCACAGCCAGCTCTTACCCATAAGCTCCATCTACTGGTTTGTAAGTCAAACCACACAGCCCAATATAAAACCTGCTAGCAGAAGTGCTTATAGTTATAGAAGCAAAGCCAAAAGACCCTACTCAACATTCTCTACAGTCACACCCCCTAGGGAGGTGGAAAAGGGAAAAGAAAAAAAAAATTGTAAGGAAAGAAAGAAAAAAGTTTTATCCACATGAAAATAACTACAAAAATTAGAAGTGCCAATGCCTCCAGATGAGAAGGAGCCAGTACTAGAATTCTGGCACCATAAAAATTCTGAATGTAGTGATATCACCATCACACTAGCTCTCCAGCAATGGTTCCTAACCAAAATGGAAACTCAGAAATGACAGATAAAGAATTTAAAGCATGGATTGCAAGGAAGCTCAATGAGATCCAAGACAGGGTTGAAAATCAACACAAATAAGCTTCTAGAACAATCCAGGAAATGAAGGAAGATTTAAATGCTTTAAAAAGAAATCAGAGGTTCTAGAATTGAAAAACTCATGTAAAGAATTTGAAAATACAGTTGAAAACTTTATCAATAGAATAGACCAAGCAGAAGAAAGAATTTCAGAGCTTGAAGACCAGTCTTTTGAATTAACTCAGCCAGACAAAAATAAGGAAAAAAGAATTTTAAAAGTCGTTGATAAATATAAGATCATGTAAAGCCATCAAATCTATAAATTACTGGCATTCCTGAGAGAGAAGGAGAAAAGTAAACAACCTGGAAAAATTATTTGAGGGAATAACTAAAGAAAATTTCCCTAGTCTTGCTAGAGAGGTGGATATCCAGTTACAAGAAATCCAAAGAACACATGTGAGATATTATACAAAACAAATATCACCAAGGCATATATCACTAGGCTGTCAAGGTCAAGGCTAAACAAAAAGTCTTAAAGGCAGCTAAAGAAAAAGGTCAGATCACATACAAAGGGATCCCCATCAGGCTAACATCAGACTTTTCAGCAGAAACCTTACAAGCCAGGAAAGATTGGGGGCCTGTTTTCAGTATTCTTAAACAAAAGAAATTTCAACCAAGAATTTCATATCCTGCCAAACTTAGCATCACAAGTGAAGGACAAATAAAATCCTTTGCAGACAAGCAAGTGCTAATGTAATTCATTACCATTAGACCAGCCTTACAAGAGATCCTTAAGAGAGTTCTAAACATGGAAACGAAATGTTTTTGTGCTACCCCAAAAATACACTTAAGTATACACCCCACAGACCCTACAAAGCAACCACACAATAGAAACTACAAAGCAACCAGCTAACAACTTCACAATAGGATCAAAACTTCACATATCAATATTAACTTTGAATGTAAATGGTCTAAATCCCCCCACTTAAAAGGCACGGAGTGAAAAGCTGGATAAAAAAAAAAAAAAAGACCCATCTGTCTACTGTCTTCAAGAGACCCACCTCACATGGAATGACACCTATAGGTTCAAAGTAAAGGATCAGAGAAAGATCTATCATACAAATGGAAAATTTAAAAAAAAGCAGGGGTTGCTATTTTTATATCAGATAAAATAGACTTTAAGCCAATAATAGTAAAAAAACAAAAAAAAGGGACAAACAAGGAGCATTACATGTTGATAAAGGGCTCAGTTCAACAAGAAGACTTAACTATCCTAAATATACATACACCCAACATTGCAGCACTCAGATTCATAAAAAAAGTACTGCTAGACCTACAAAAAGACTTAAATGGCCACACAATAATAGTGAGAAATTTCAACAGCCTATTGACCATGTTAGACAGACCACTGAGACAGAAAACTAACAAAGAAATTCTGGACTTAAATTTGACACTTGACCAATTGTACTTAATAGACATCTAAAGGCTACTCCACCCGTCAACCACATAATGCACATTCTTCTCATCTGCACACGGAAAATACTGTAAAATCAACCACTGTAAGAAAATACTGTATGATCTCCCGAGATTGAATCAGGAAGAAATTGAAACCCTGAACAGATCAATATCAAGGTCCAAAATTCAACCTGTGATAATAATTTTTTTAAACTTACCAACTGAAATAAGTCCCGAACCAGATGTATTCACAGACAAATTCTGCCAGACATAAAAAGAATTCTTGGTATCAATTTTGCTGAAACTATCCCAAAAAATCAAGGAGGAGGGACTCCTCCCTAACTCATTTTCCAAAGCCAGCATCACCCTGATATCAAAACCTGGCAAAGACACAATGAACAAAGAAAACTACAGGCCAATATCCCTGATGAAGATAGATGCAAAAATCCTCAACAAAATACTAACAAATCAAATCCAGCAGCACATCAAAAAGTTAACTCACCACAATCAACTAGGCTTTATTCCTGGGATGCATATAGTGCATATATATATATATATATATAACATATATTGCATCCCAGGAATAAAGCCTTTGAATCAGCCTTTGAAAAAACCTTTGAACCAATAGTTGGTTCAACATATGCAAATCAATAAATGTGATTCACAGCATAATTAAAAATGAAAACCATATGATCATCTCAATAGATGTGGAAAAAAGCTTTCAATAAAATCCCTAGTTTGCTGCTTAGTTTGTTGATAAAAACCTTCGACAAACTAGTTATCAAAGGAACAAATCTCAAAATAGTAAGAGCCATCAATGACCAACAAACATCATACTGAACAGGCAAAAGCTGGAAACACTTCCCTTGAGAACAGGAACAAGACAAGGATGCCCACTCTCACTATTCCTGTTCAACATAGTACTGGAAGGCCTAGCCAGTACTCCACTTTTCAGGCAAGAGAAAAAAAATTTAAAAGGCATCCAAATAGGAAAAGAAGAAGTCAAATTATTTCTCCTTGCTGATGATATGATTCTATATATAGAAAACTAAAGACTCTGCTGACAGTCTCCTAAAACTGATCAACAACTTCAGTAAAATTTCAGAATGGGAAATCAATATATAAAAATAAGTAGCATTTCTATACACTAATAACATTCAAACTGAGAGCAAAATCAAGGATGCAGTTCCATTTACAATAGCCACACAAAAAATTACCTAGAAATACATCGAACCAAGGAGGTGAAAGATCCCTACAAGGAGAACTATCAAACACTGCTAAAAGAAATCACAGATGACACAAACAAATGGAAAAACATTCTAGGCTCACGGAGTGGAAGAAACAATATTATTAAAATGGCCATACTGCCCAAAGCAATCTACAGATTCAATGCTATTCCTATCAAATTACTGACGCCATTCTTTACAGAATTAGAAAAACTATTGTAAAGTTCATATGGAACCAAAAAGGAGCCCAAATAGCCAAAGCAATCCTAAGCAGAAAGAACAAAGTCAGAGGCATCAGATTACCTGACTTCAAACTATACTATACGGCTACAGTCACCAAAACTGCATGGTACTGGTATAAAAACAGACACATAGACCAATGGACCAGAATAAAGAACCCAGAAATAAAACCACACACCTACAGCCATCTGATCTTTGACAAAAGTGATAAAAAATAAGCAATGGAGAAAGGACTCCCTATTCAATAAATAGTGCTAAGATAGCTGACTAGCCATATGCAGAAAAATGAAACTGGATCCCTACCTTTCACCATATACAAAAATTAACTCAAAATGGATTAAAGATTTGAATGTAAGACCTCAAATTATAAGACTCCTAGAAGAAAATCTAGGAAATGCCATTCTGGACATCAGCCTTGGGAAAGAATTTATGAGTAAGCCTTCAAAAGCAATTGCAACAAAAACAAAAATTGGCAAGTGAGACCTAATCAAACTAAAGAGCTTCTGCACAGCAAAAGAAACTATGAACAGAGGAAACAGACAACCTACAGAATGGGAGACAATATTCATAAGCTACACATCTGACAAAGGTCTAATATGCAGAATCTATAAGGAACTCAAAAAATTCAATAAGCAAAAAACAACCCCATTAGAAAGTAGGCAGAGGACATGAACAGACACTTCTCAAAAGAAAACATACAAGCAGCAAACAAACATAAGAAAAAATGCTCAACATCACTGACAAATGCTCATCATCTCTTAAGATTATCAGAGAAACGCAAATCAAAACCATAATTAGATACTATCTCACACAAGTCAGAATGGCTATTATTAAAGATATGATAATGTCCAGGCTGCAGATAAAAGGGGACACTTTATGCAATGTTAGTGGGAATATAAATTAGTTCAGCCACTGTGGAAAGCAGTTTGGAGATTTCTCAAAGAATTTAAAACAGAACTACCATTTGATCCAGCAATCCCATTACTGGATATACACCCAAGGAAAACAAATAGTTCTACCAAAAAGACACATGCACTTACATGTTTATTGCAGCACTATTCACAATAGAAAAGACATGCAATCGACCTAGGTGCCCACCCTTCACTATATACAAAAATTAACTCAAAATGGATTAAAGATTTGAATGTAAGACCTCAAACTATAATGGTGGATTAGATAATCCTTTAGATATCTAACGGTGAATTAGATAAAGAAAATTGGGTAACACTAAAGAACTTACTCATGTAACCAAATGCCACCTGTTCCTCAAAAACCTATGGAAATAAAAAATTAATTTAAAAATTTTTTTTAAAAAAATTGCGATACATATACACCACAGAATACCACATAGCCATTAAAAGGAACAAAATCATGTCCTTTCCAGCAATACAGATGCAGCTGGAGGATCTTATTCTAAGTGAATTAACACAGGAACAGAAAACCAAATACTGCATGTTCTCACTTATAAGTTGGAGCTAAGCATTAGGTACACATGGCCATAAAGATGAGAACAATAGATACTGGAGGCTACTAGAGCAGGGAGGGAGGGTGTGGGGAAAGGGCTGAAAAACTACCTGTTGGGTACTATGCTCACCACCTGGGTGACAGAATCAGTCACACCCCAAACCTCAGCATCACGCAATATATCCTTGTCACAAACCTGCACATGTACCCCCTGAATCTAAAATAAAAATTGAAATTATAAAAAAAGAGAAATTAAGACTGTCCCAGATAAACAAAAACTGGAAGCATTCATTACCATTAGACCTGTCCTAGGAGAAACGCTAAAGGGAGTTCCTCAACTTGAAAGAAAGGACACCAGACAGCGGCATGAAGCCATATGAAAATATAAAGACATCCCATGTTAGTGGATTGAAAGACTTAGTATTATTATGATATCAGAACTACCCAAAGTGATTTAAAGACTCAACACAATCCTTATCAAAATCTCAATGGCATTTTAAAGAATACAAAATTCATGTGGACTCTCAAGAACTCTGAATAGCCAAAATAATCTTGGGGAAAAAAAAAACAGAGTAAAGTTGGAGATCTCACACTTCCTGACTTCAAAACTTATTAGAGAGCTAATCAAAACAGCTTGGTACTGGCATAAAGACAGATATAAAGACTAATGGAACAGAATAAAGAGATAAGAAATAACCCCTCACATATATGGTTAAACGATCTTTGATAAGGGTACCAAGACCACTCAAAGGGGCAGTCTCTTCAACAAATGGTGTTGGGTAAACTGGATATCCACATGCAAAAGAATAAAATTGGAGCATTAATATTATGGACTGAATTGTGTCCCCCCCAAATTCATATGTTAAGGCCCTAATTCCAAATATGATTATGTCTGGAGATAGGGCCTTGTATTAGTCCATTTTCACCCTGCTGATAAAGACATACCCAAGACTGGGCAGTTTATAAAGAAAAAGAGGTTTAATGGACTCACAGTTCCACTTGGCTGGGGAGGCCTCACAATCATGGCGGAAGGCGAAAGGTGAAAGACACATCTTACATGGCATCAAACAAAAGAGAATGAGAGCCAGAAGAAAAGGGAAACTCCTTATAAACCCTTCAGATCTTGTGAGATTTATTCACTACCATGAGAAGAATATGGGGGAAACCACTCCCATGATTCAATTATCGCCCACCGGGTCCCTCCCACAACATGTCAGGATTATGGGAGCTACAATTCAAGATGAGATTTGGGTGGGGACACAGCCAAACCATATCAGGCCTCTAAAGAAGTAGATAAGGTTAAATTAGGGCCTTAGTCTAATAGGACTGGTGTCTTATAAGACTTATAAGAAGAGGAAAAGACAACAGGATATCCCCCCACCTCAATCTCTCTCTGCCCCCCTCTCTCTCTCTCTCTCTCTCCTCTCTCTCTCTCTCTCTCCCCATGAGGACAGAGAAAATGCCACATAAGGGCATAGCAAAGAGGAGAATATCTGCAAGCCAGGAAGAGAAGTCTCAACAGAAACCAACCCTACTGGCATCTTAATTTGGACTCCTAGCCTTCAGAACGGTGAGAAAATAATTGTCTCTTATTTAGTCATCCCGTCTGTGGTATTCCGTCATGGCAGCCTGAGCAGGCTAATAACATACTTATCTTACACTATATACAAAAATTAATTCAAATGGATTGAAGACCTGAACCTGGGACCCAAAACTATCAAACTCCTAGAGGAAAGCGTTGGGGAAAAGCTTCTTGACATTGGATTTGGCAGTGATTCTTGGATATGACATCAAAAAGCACAAAAGGCAACAAAAGTAAAAATAGATAAATGGGACTACACCAAACTTTAAAAGTTTCATCCATCAAATAACACAATCAGAATGAAAAGACAAATAATGAAATGGGAGAAAATATTCACAAATCACGTATATTATAAGGTCTTGATACCCAGAATATGTGAAAAAATTATATGACTCAGCAACAAAAAATAAAATAACTTGATTTTAAAATAAAAAAGGGACTTCAGTTAACATTTCTCCAAAGATGATATGCAAGTGATCAATAAGCATATAAAAATGCTCAAAATCACAGTAATTATTAGAGAAATGCATATCAAAACCACAATGAAATATCACTTCATACCCCTTAGGATGGCTACAAAAGAAAAACAAACAGCAAAAAGTAGTGCTGGCAAGGCTGTAGATCAAATGGAACCCCAGTGCATTGTTGGTGGGATTGTAAAATGGCGCAACCACTAGGGAAAATAGTATGTTGGTTTGTCAAAAAATTAAAAATAAAACTACCATATGTCCCAGCAATTCCATTTCTGGATATCCAAAAGAATTGAAAGCAGGCTCTCAAAGAGATATTTGCACACCCACGTTCATAGTAGCACTATTCACAATAGCCAAGAGGTAGAAGCAATTCAAATGTCCATTGACAGAAGAATGGGTAAACAAAATGTGGTATACACACATACAATGGAATAGTATTCATTCTTAAAAAGGAAGGAAATCCTATCACATGCTACACCATGGGTGAACCTTGATGATATTATGTTAAGTGAAATAAGCCAGACGCACAAGAACAAATATTACCTGATACTATTTATATGATGAATCTAAGATAGTCAAACTCATAGAAACAGAGAGTGGAATGGTGGATGCCAGGACTGAGTAGAAGGAGGAAGTGGGGAGTTCTTGTTTAATGAGTATAGAGTTTCAGTTTCCCAAGATTGAAAAGTTCTGGAGATTTGCTGTATAACAATGTGAATATACTTAACACTACTGAACCATACACTTAACAGTGATTAAAAGAGTACATTTTCTGTTACGTGTTTTGGGTTTTTTTCTTACTACAATTTTAAAGAGAAAGAGAGAAATCCCTGGACTATCCTTAGATCCAGGTGAGAGAGGCTCCTGCCTGGGACTGGTGTGAGGGGGGTATGGGGAGGGTGTGAGGAGGGCATGGGGACAGCATCAGGTGGCCGCAGGGTGGGTGTGGAGAGGGTGTGGGGGGCGTGTGGGATGTCTCAGGGTGAGGACCGAGCAGATGCTGAGTAAAGGTGCTGAGGTGGGTAAGCACACGATGTGTTCAGGCAACAGGTAGTCTGTCCGTACCGCAGAACCTCAGGGCCATGAGGGGAGATGCTGCTGGGAAGGAGAGCTAGGGTCAGGTGGAGAAAGGTGTGAATGTTGGCTGGTTCAGGAGTGGCCGAGGGCGGCCACAGAAGGTTTCTAAACTAGCAGGTGAAACAAAGAAATGTGTGCTCCGGGGACATCACCCCTGGCAGGCAATGGGAAGTAGAGGAAGGCACAGAAGCTCAACTTTGGCTCCCTTGCATCGCTAGCAATACCAGTCACTCTAGTCCTGCCCACAACATGGTGAGTGGAGGGTGGAAGACCCAATCAAATCCTGACTTCCTATCTGTGCCTCTCCTTCTAACCCTGCTGTTCCCAACATCCCAGCATCACTCACTTCACTGTGTGTAATGAGCATGAAAGGTTATACTATCAACCCGCAGATGCCATGGTATAGGGGATATTTAATGGTGTTACCCGGGAACCATCAGGGAATCAAGGACTTCTGCATAGCAGGGAACTCTTTTCCAGGCAGCAAGCAACTCTAGAAGTTATTTTTCCCTGTCAGAGAGAGAGAAAGAGAAAAGGGAGCTTATGAAAACATCTCTCATTATTAGAACACAGAACAATGATCATGCGGATGGAACAGAAAGAAACAGCACAGAGATGCAGAGGAGTGAAGCCATCCCCCTGACAAAACAGCCAGTAGGCAACTTCCAAAGTGTGCACTGATAATTGCAGTAACCAATTAGGAACAGCAGTAGCCAAATCTGTAAGAATGCTATTGCCAGAGGTTCTGTACTTGGGGGATTTTCCATCAACAAATTGCAGGTGAAGAGATTGAGAATGCCCTGCCTGTACTTGGTCTAAAAGGCCCAGATTCAGGGAAGCTAGCCTTGCAATGCACCCACGTGTGGGAAGTGGAGGCCACCTGACAGCTTGACTTCATCTAAGGCTTTGCCCACCAACACTCAGCACAGCACCCCTCCCTCCATGCCTCTGCTGTGCTCCCAGGACCTGCCCCTGCATCCCCCTCGGCCCCATGACTGCCCCTTCACTCTGTGACATTTCCTGTCTCCACTGACCCCAAGTAATTCAAAATACAGTCACCAGAGCTTTTCTTCTATGACTCAACAACAAAAATTAAAATAACTTGATTTTAAAATGAACAAGGGACTTCAGTTGACAGTTCTCCAAAGATGATATGCAAGTGATCAATAACCATATAAAAATGCTCAAAATCACACTAATTACATGCCCTCAGTATCAAATCACTAATCACACTAATTTCATCCCCTCAGGATGAAATCCAAAGCTGCAGTCATCTGAAGGTTTCACTGGAGCTTGAGCGTCAGCTTCGAGGGTGCCTCATTCCCACACTTGTCAGGTCAGTGCTGGCCATTGGTGGGAGGCCTCAGTTCCCTGCCATGTGGGCCTCTCCACAGGGCTGCCTGGGTATCCCCACCATGTGGCTTCCCCCTAAGGGAGTCTGGCATGCCCCCACCCCCAAGCAAGCCATCTAAGAGGAGGAAGTAAATGCTGAAATGCCCTTTCTGGCCTAGTGTCAGATTTCTGTGAGCCCACATGTGGCCCCAGCCTGACTCCTAAGACAGGAGTGTAGGTTACATTTCCAGGCTCTCTGCACATCTAGGAGGTAAGGGCAGGAAAGTGGTATGAGAAAGCAAAAGAAATCTCTCCCTCAGCCTCAGCACCAGGTCCTTAAGAGGGGTGACAATGTCCAGGCCTGGTGGCTCACGCCTGTAATCCCAGCACTTTGGGAGGCCGAGGCAGGTGGATCACCTGAGATCAGGAGTTCAAGACCAGCCTGACCAGTATGGTGAAAACCCATCTCTACTAAAAATACAAAAATTAGCCAGGCATGGTGGCGGGTGCCTGTAGTCCCAGCTACTCTGGAGGCTGAGACAGGAGAATTGCTAGAACCCAGGAGGCAGAGGTTGCAGTGGGCCGAGATCGTGCCACTGTACTCCAGTCTGGGCAACAGAGCAAGACTCCGTCTCAAAAAAAAAAAGAAAGAGGGGTGACAAGGGGCAAACCTCAGAACTGAAGGACATATTCACTATTCTCAGTCCCCAGGAGCTCATGTGGGTTCAGTTGTTACTAATTAATCTTTCCATCGTCTTCATCAGAACCTGAGTTCCAAGGGCCCTTTGGACATTGTGATGATGGTGTGGGATGGGGGATATTTGATGGTGTTACACAGGAACCATCAGGGAGTTGAGGACTTCCACATAGCAGGGAAGTCTTTCCCAGGTAGCAAGCAGTTCCAAGGGCCCTTTGGACATTGTGATGATGGCAGTTGAACTCATTACTCAATGCTGCATATAAAATTCCTGCCCCAAAACTTAGTGGCTTCACATAACAGTAAACGATTATCTCTCACAGTTTGTGGGTCATGAACGCAGAAGTGACTTAGCTGGGAGTCCTGGCTTAGAGTCTCTTGTGAGGCTGCCCCCAGGATGAAATCCAGACCTGCAGTCATCTGAAGGCTTCACGGGGCTCGAAGGTCCACTTCCAGGGTGCCTCATTCCCACGCTTGTCAGGTCAGTGCTGGCCATTGGTGGGAGGCCTCAGTTCCCTGCCACGCGGGCCTCTCCACAGGGCTGCCTGGGTATCCCCATCGCGTGGCTTCTCCCTGGGGGGGGGGGGGTCTCCCCACCCCCAAGCAAGTGATCTAAGAGGAGGAAGCAGATGCCGCAATGCCCTTTCTGGCCTAGTGTCAGATTTCATGCATCACTCCTGCCACCACCCTGTTGCTCACGCAGACCAGCCCTGGTTCAATGCGGAGGAGACCACACAGGATGGCGGTATCAGGAGGCACCAGGGCCATCATGGAGACCAGCTGCCCCAGCAACCGGCCCAGAGCGAGAAGACAGCCCCACTCCCAGGCCTGCCTGTCTGACTTGGGTTGCCAGCATGGGTCCCCAGCAGGAAGTCTTCCCAGGGCCCATCATGTTGCTGAGGCTTGTGTCTTCTCTGGGAAGCTGCCTGGTGCCTGTGGGTTGGTGGGAGGAACAAAGAAGAGACCACAGGCCAGTAGCCCTCAAGACAAGGAGACTGAGCTCCTGAACCAACCCATTTCTCATGCTGCAGTAGAGCAGAAACACAGTTCACAGCTCACAGACTGTTCTTTGGACTCCTGTTGACATCTCGCAGGACACAGCATGTGGGACCACTCAGGGAGCAGACACTACACCCTGAAGTCTCTTTATTCCTCTGACCCAGTGGTTCTCAACTGGAAACAGTTTTACTCCCCAGGGGTTATTTAGCAATGTCTGGAGACATTTTTGTTTGTCACAACTGGGGATGGGGGAGATGTCTGTTGGCATTTAGTGAGTAGGGGCCAGGGTGCCATGAAATATCCTGCAATGCACAAGGCAACCTCCACAACAAAGAATGATCTGGCCCAAGATGAGCTGAGGTGGAGAAACCCTGTGCTAACCGTTTCCAAAATAAGCGGGGGCCAGGGGTGGGAGAAAGGCTGCAGGGAGGGTAAGAAGTGATGTCCCAGGGGTCGTCTAAACGCCACCAAAGCTGCCATGAGGCTCAGCTGCCCACCTCGTGGAGCGGGAAGTTTCTGTGACCAGAGCCCCCAAACACAGCTTTCTTGGAGTGAACAGGACCTCAGAAATGAGGAGAATGACCCTGTGCTGTCTTCAAGCAGAGAATTTCCTGCCCTGGCCTGATGAAGCCAGAGAGAGGCCACCCACATTCTGCCAGGAGGTGAAGCCAGCTCTAGGGAGGAGTTATTGGGGTGGCTGACCTTGACCAAAGGCCCCCCAAATCCACAATGCAGGGGCCCATCTCCCCTCAGGACCCCAAAATGTGATGCTCTAAAGAGCCAAAATACTCAAACCCATGAGTCTTTTATCTGGAGAAAATCTGCCTTCCTGTCCATCCACCTGCAGGACGCATGCACACAGGTGCACACACAGACCCACACACTGCCTCCCAGACCAGCCAGCCACTCCCTGCACTGCTTTTACTAAGGGAACAGACATTCAAAGGTATTACACTCCTGCCAACATTCTGAGCCACGAAGTTTGTCCGATGGGAAAATGGATCCCGGAAGCAAGTTTTGGTGGACCAATCCCCTCTCCCTAAGATGAGGGCTCTGTCTGGGAAAAGCACCATCTTCTGGCCAAGGCAGGCAGAGGGCAGCAAAGGAAATGTCCAGGGCTCTTATTCATTCATTTGTTCTTTCGTTCAAGAAATACCAAAATAGAACTACTGTAAGATCCAACAATTCCACTACTGGGTAGACATCCAAAAGAAAGGAAATCAGTATACTGAAGCTATAGCTGCATTCCTGCATTAATTGTAGTGCATTCACAATAGCCAAAATATGGAATCAACCTAACTGTCCATCAATGGATGGATGGATGGATGGATGGATGGATGGATGGATGAATGGATGGATGAATAAAATGTAATTATATATATACACACACACACACTATGGGATATTATTCAGCCATAAAAATAATGAAATCCTGTCATTTGCTGCAATGTGAATGGAAATGGAGGTCATTACGGTAAGTGAAATAGGCCAAGCACAGACAGACAAATACTGCATGTTCTCACTCATATGTGGGAGCTACAGAGTGGATCTCATGAACGTAGAGAGTAGACTGGTGGTTATCAGAGGCCAAGAAATATAGCAGGGGAGGGGAATGAAGAGATACTGATTAATGGGTACAAATATACAGCTGGAAGGAATAAGACCTGGCGTTCAGTAGATCAGCAGGATGACTATGGCTAGAATTAATTGATTGTACATTTCAAAATAACTAGAAGAGAATAGTTCAAACGTTCCTGGCCTAAAGATGAATATTTATGGTAGTGGATATCCCAATTACCCTAATTTGATGATACAAAGGTATCAAATTTTCACATGTACCCTGAAAATATACACATCTATTATATATCAATTTTTAACAAAATAAAACAAGAAAAACCAAAAAGCAATGGTCTAGCTCTATACTAGACACAATCAAGTAGAATTTGAAATAAAAAGACAATCCACTTAGAATAATATAAAAACTTTAAAATATTTTGAAATAAATGTAGTGAAAAGATACCTGGGCTATATGATGAGAACCATAAAACCTTGTGAAGGGTTACATGAAAACTCAACAAGTGGAAAAACATACCAGTTCCTGCATGGAAAGACTTAATATGACAAATACGTCAGTTCTGTCCAACTTGCGATACACAGTTAATGAAATTCCAATTTTAAAAAAATACTTACTGAGCCCCTGCCTCACGTGGAGCACAGGGCAATGGACAAGGTAGATACAGTCCCTGCCCTTGGGGAGCTCATGCCTCGTGATGGGGACAGAGCTCCACAATTAGTCACACACTCATCTAGTTAGTCACCACTCTCTACTAGTTAGGAAATGTAGTTCTCATTTTTCTTTTCTTTTCTTTTCTTTCTTTTTTTTTTTTCTTCTGGAGACAGAGTTTTGCTGGAGTGCAATGGCACGATCTCGGCTCACTTCAACCTCCATCCCCCAGGTTCCAGTGATTCTCCTGCTTCAGCTGCCCAAGTAGCTGGAACTATAGGCATGTGCCACCATGCCGGGCTAATTTTTGTATTTTTAGTAGAGACAGGGCTTCACCATGCTGGTCCCCAACTCCTGGCCTCAAGTGATCCGCCCGCCTCGGCCTCTCAAAGTGCTGGGATTACAGACGTGAGCCACCGCACCCGACCGACCTCGTTTAATCCTCTTGATAATCCATCTAGACCCGGCGGCATCCCTAGCTTCTTCTTCTCCATCTCCCCCCTCCTCCTCTCAATCATCCTGCCCATTCAGCTCCCTGTCTCTCCCTTGACCATTCTCACCTCCCTTCCCCAGGGTCATAAATCAGGATTCCTTATCCTATCAGAATGTTGCCTCAGTCTCCTCCCAGGCCTCCTGTCTCCAGCCCCATCGCTCTAATCCAATATCCATGCTGCAACCAGAGGAGCCTTGGACCTGAAGGCTCACATCACTGTCCCACATGACCCGTGAGTGGCTCCCCACTGCCTTCCTGCTGAAACTCAGACTGATCAAATGGCCCGTCGGGTCCTGTATGTGTGGGTTCTTTCCAGCCTCCACTTGCACCTTACTGCACAGCTCATCCTCTCCTGCAGCCACACTGAACTCCTGCTGCAAAACTCTTGCAAGCAAAAACTGATTTTGAAGGAATTCAAATCTTTACTTGCACCTCTCACAGACTCTTAAGAGGTTTGTAATCATAACTGCCCCTGCTCTGATGTTTCCTAATATCCCCTTTCTGCTCTCCTCCCATTCTCTCCAACCCTGGAGCTGCTCGGGACTTTATAGTTCCTGACCCTCAACTCTCTCCCTGGTTCCCTGATACCCCCTAACCATGCCAAATCCTGTCATTACCTCCCTATGCACACATTTTTTTCCTCTCTCCCTCCACTTCTGCCTCTCTTTCCCATCTTGTTCTTCATAAATAAAGCAGAGAAGCCAACTGGAAAGGCCCATCTCTCCTTAGAGCACACCAGACAGGCAGCACCACAGGGTGAAAGCTGTCTCCTTAACAGGGATGAGAGCAGCTCACACAGATACACCTTGCTGTGCTTCACCACCTTCTTCACCTTGAACGCCCTCAAAGCTCCTTCCCGCTCAGGCTGTCCCTCCTCTGAACTACCCTTAGAGGCAAGGTCAGTGCCCCTCCTCTGGGTCCCCCTGAGTTTCCCTGCATTACAGGACTTGTCACCTCACTGACATTGCCTACCAGTTGTCCCTGGAGATGGGAGAGGTCTTAGGGCTGGGGCAGCACCCTGTTCTTGCCCCATCACCACCCCCACCCCCAGTGGATTGGACGGAGAGTGGCTTGGACTGAAATGAGCAAAGCCCCCACCCGGATCCATGAAAGCAGAGGAAGATGGGGGAGGGGAGGAAGTTCTCCGTGGATGTGGACAGGATGTGGATGCAGCAGTGGCTTGCAATGAAACCACTGCCTTGTCAACTCCCACTCCAGGGACTGCCTTCCCAGGATGGAGGCAAGGAAGAGTAATGTCCTGACTGGGTGTAGAAGGAGTTTTCAAATAGACACTTGGCACCAACAAGTGAAAAACGATCATACTGATCCATTTCTCCCCATTTTATCTGATCTGATAGGGAAATACCTTCCCGTCTCTTCTGGGTTTGAATCAGGACACTTGGGAAACAGTTTAAAAGAAAAAGAAAAAGGAAGGAAGACCCTTTCTAATGAAATGGAGCTGTCTTTCCTTCCCTCCTCCACGCTAGCCTCCCTCCTGGGATATGAACCTTCCAAAGGCTGCAGTGACAGGAGGACGCATTTGTTCAAGGCAGCAAAGGGGACAGATACCCTTTCAGCATCACAGATACGATAAGACAAGGCCAGTGTTTGTCGAGTCAAAGAGCCAACCAACCCAGAGTCCCTCCGCCCCACTCTCTGTCCTGCAGAGAGGAGCCAGAGGGGACTGCGTGCTTCAGACCTACACCAGGCTGGCCTGATTAAGACAGGAACCCACAGGGACAGGCTACCAAGGAGCCTTGGGGCAGGGGAGACAAGAAACAGAATTCAAAATTCATGTCCAAGTGACCACAGGAGCCACAGTCACACGGGAACATTGCCCCAAGAGCCAAAATCAAAAGACCCATGCTGGAAGACATTGCTTGAACACGAAGGACAGGACTATTCTGTATTCCTCTGAGCTCCGTGTGAAAGCCTGACCTGCTGGCAGAAAGGACAATTAATATTGGAGCGTTCCACCCTTCCTATCCCCTGATCGGACTACGTTACTAGGGCTGCATTTATATTGATAAAGTGTGGCCCATTTACAGAACCTATTTATGGGCAGTGGATTGATTCATTTTCACAACATGGGTCTTAACAGAGTGGCAGATTGTGTTTCCCAACAACCATAACTGTATTCTCGTCTCCCAAATTCTCTTCTACAATGTGGCCTTGAACTCCCCCCAGCAAGGGGTGGGGTCCACATCACCTTGCCTTGGATCTAAGTTGGCATGTGACTGCCTCAGCAATAGAATATAGCCGAAGTGACACCATGCAACTTCCAAGAATGGATCGTTAAAGGCTGTGCAACTTTCTTTCACCTTATTCTCCAGAATACCCAGCTTGTTGGAGCTCAGAGCTGCCCTATAAAAGGTTCAACTACTCCAGAGACTGCTTGACTGGGAGTAAACCAAGCGCATGGAGAAGCCATGGGCATGTGGTTCTCTTGGCAACTGTAGTCTTCCAGGCACCCCAGCTCAGATATCAAACATATGAATGAATGAATGAATGAATGAATGCGCCTCCAGGTGATTCTGAACCCCAGACATCACAGAACAGAGACCAGTGATCCCTGCTGTGCTTCTGAAGAATTCCTGACCACAGAATTTAGGAGCCAAATTAAATGATTATTTGAAGCTGCTATGTGTGGCTGCAATTTGTTATACTGCAATACTGACTGGAACAGGTAGAGTGGAGGTAGGTGCTACATAAATCAAAAGGCTGGAAAAACACCTTGCTATTATTGTTAAAACAAACAGACCTAAGCTCAAGCTCAAATTCACTCAGACCAGTTGCTAAACCTCTCTGAGCCTTGGTTTTGTCATCTGTGAAGTGGGAATAGCACCTCCCTGGTCGTGAGGACATCATTAACTATCAGAATCATCATCATGAACCCTGAGGGCGCTGGGGCTGGGGCTGGCGTGACAACTGTTTGACTATGACACCTAACATGAACTTGCAGGTGATGAGAACTGTTCTGACATTTATAGCACGTTGACCCAGTTCTGTGGGTAATCAAGATTCCGTGTCTTTCCAGACTGAATGAGGAATCTGAGGCATTGCCCTGATGACAGAAATCGGTGAAATTTAATTTCTCTTCTATATATTTTTGCTTGAGTTGGTAATTTCTTTAAATGCACAGAGAAATTCACTGTCAAAATACAGAAAAATTGTTCACAGATAAGCGGAAGAGGCAAACATGATATAAAGTTTCTAATATGATTTTTCTGAAATGGAAATTGAACTCTTACCTCAGTTCAGCACAGAGGATGCTGCCAGTAGAGTGTGGAAACTTTGAAGACAATGCCATGAGTGTGTTTCAAACTGGAGGGTGAGGGGGTCCCAAGGACATCCCAAGGAAGGGCCATGAGACAGGAGGGAGCTGCAGCCTTGCAGAGAAGAGGGGAGGAATGGGAGACTCAGCCATCCCACTCAGCTGACATGGCCTGGCTGAGACCAGGTCAAGTTTGCACTGGGCATAAGGGCTCAGGCAGCACATCCAGTAATGTGGGAGGCCGCAATGAGGGTGGACAGTACAGGGCTCAGAAATAGACTCACCACCAAACCCTGAACCATTTATGGAGCATTAGAGGTTGCAATGGAGGAGCAGACAGGTCCTAGAATGAGAGCTGGAGCTCAGAAGCAGGGGCCTCTGGTGAATTTCTGCTTCCTTGCTCCTTCCCTGTCTTGAGGCCCATTCATTCTTTCATTCATTCATACATCTTCTGTCCATGGCTGCTCTTTGGGCCTCAGGCCATCTGACCTCCTGCCTGAGAGGAGGAGGCAGGAGAGCCTGGACAGACTGGCTGATCCGGTCCCTAGGAACTCAGTCCATGCCTGGCTTCGGGCCCCTACAGCCCACCTTCTCCCTAAGGCAGGGCCTCTTGGCCTCCACCTGCAGGCTCAGCACAGGTCTCCCATTCTTGGGACCCTCCTGGCCTGAGAAACCTCCAGCCTCATCTTGAGGGTGCTCAGCTTCCAGCCTCCCAGACCAATAAAGTCCAGTTAAGAGAGGAGAAGGGAAGGGGGAGGGAAAACTAACACTTACCGAGCCCTGAATGAACCAGACAGCATGTTTGGAGCCTGCCTTCCTTCCTGCTGAAGGAGTTCCCCAGTGGGAACCCTAGGCTCAGGTGGTGCAAGTGAGCCTGGACCCGAGCCCAGTTGACAAATCCTAACACCAAACAGCAACAAGGCATTCTGATTTCAGCGTGTTACATGGCATAGTTAGGGTGCATATAAGACTCAGAGGCTGGGGTCTTCACGGTGAGCACCCGGGTAAACACTTGGTGAGAGCTCCAAGTGTGGCCACCACATTCCTGGGTGACCCCCTGGGATGTTGCAACCCGTGGACACCAACCAGGGGAGTAGGAGCAGGAGAAGGTGGAGGATGCCATGAGAGGGCAAAGGGGGGCTCCCCTGGGGTGCTCTCAGGACTCCAGAAACCCCCAGGTAAGACCTGAAGCTCTTACAATAGCAGGTGAAGCCAAAAAGCCAGAGAAATCAGGGGATAGCTGCAAGCATGCAAATGGATGTACCTGGGAGGCTGGGATGGCAGGAGAAAGTCGAGGATTTTACCAAAGGGGGATATTCATACCTACTAGAGAAGGCTGCTAGGGGATTGAATGAGATCATTCATTCATCTATTTACAGAGCACTTACTGAGCACCTGCAAAGTGCCAGGCACAGAGAACAGCACATCTGGGGCCTGGCCCTCGGAGAATGGGAGGGTCTAAGCATCAGGAATGGAATGGAGGCTCCACACTCCTCAGTTTCCTCCCTCTTCCTCCTGCACCCTTCTAGACAGCATCCTCCTCTCCTGGGACTCAGTCATTCTTTGGGATATCTGCCCCTGAAGCCAAGTAACAGGTAGAAAACCTGTT
Source organism: Homo sapiens (assembly GCF_000001405.40). Lineage (NCBI taxonomy): Eukaryota > Metazoa > Chordata > Mammalia > Primates > Hominidae > Homo > Homo sapiens. The sequence continues at coordinate 66,297,363 of NC_000016.10, forward strand.
TCCTTCTACAAATAAAATAAAATCTCCTCGGGTTCACCCTTGCCTCCAGGCTGATTCTGGTTATACAGAGTCAAGCAGGTTTTGCTGCGTGTGTATGTTTTAATAAACAAGATCCATTTCCCCAGCCTCATGTTAAACAGAAATCTGTTCTTCAGGATGACTCTACGGTGTGTTTTGAAAACAAAAACCTGCAAACTAAAATGGCCTCTGACATCACCCAGAGGATGAGAACGGTTCCTCCCGATGCAGGGCTTGTAGAATGGGTGGGGTAAAGTCCCTCCTACCCCACCCCATCCCCAGGTGCTCCTAAGACCCCCCAGGTGATCCCAGACTCATTTCTGATGGCTAATGTCCAGAGTGGCTTCCCCCAGCCACATCATAGCCCCATTCAAAACTGATCACCATGAGTCCAGTTCTCTTCTATGCCCTCATGTTCCAAAACCTCTAAGCTGATCCATCTGTAACTTGCAAGGGACAAAACCAGGACTGTACCCAGCATTTGTTGTGACTGTTTTTTAACAAAGTAAATAATATCTCAAAGGCAGACATCTATAAAATGAGCTGTTCCACCTCAGCGAGGCTTGTCACAAATATGAGGGCTTGCTCTTTTCAAAATACTCCAACATCCCATGGCTATGAAAAAAAAAAAAAATCCCCTCTCAACTGATTGACTCAGAGTGGTTTTGAGGAAGAGCTACAGCAGCTGACTAGCCAAACATTTCTTAAATAGCATGGTCCCAGCACTGCTCCTCTGAACGGCCTCATGCAGGGCTCCCACCCACCCAGGATCAATAGCCTAATTCATTCCCAGGAGGAAGTGCTCAGGTGGAGTGGTATCCAGGGCCTCAGCTCCAGACAGTGAGTGGGACTGGTTTGGGGACCCACGTCTGGGGTGGGTTTAACCTCCTGATAGCAGCCCAAGAGAGCCTTTTATCCCAAGCTCTCCAGCACCCTCATTAGAGAGGATTAGGAGACTGTTTGGCAGAAGAAAAGGCTTTCCTCACTGGCAGGCATGGCAGCAGGGAAGGCCTATGCCTAGGGAATGGCCCGATAGCCAAGATGTAACTCTACAAAACAGCAGAGCAAAAGCCAAGAATCTCAAGAAGCAGAGACACCCAGGAGCAAATCCTAGCTCATTGCACAACCTCAAGCAAATCATTCTCTCTTTTGCTCTCCTCTGTAAATGGAGATAATAATAAACACCTTTGTGGATGATTGAACTACTGGCTCCAACTCTTAGTGGGCCTCTCCCATCATTGCCATGGCCTCACAGTGGGTCATGTGACTTGCTTTGGCCAAGGGAATATTAGTGGAAATGATACCAGCAGAAGCTTGAAATGTGCTTATGGGTGTGGGCTTGCCTTCTCAGGCTTTTATGATTGCCACAAAGAGGACATACCCTGGAAAGCCACTGCCCCGCCTAGCAGGGCCCCAGGATGAGATGTGTTGAACAGAGACCTCAGCAGACCTACTGACCTATACCCAGAAGCAGAGCTGCCCCAGGCAGTCTACAGGTGTGTGAGCTAGAAATTAATGCTGACTGTTGTAGGAATTATGTAGTTGTTTGTTATACAGCATTATTGTGCAAATAGCTGACTGGTACATCTTTCTTATAAGACAGGTTGTAACATTAAGATAATGTATGTAAATCACTTGGGCAAAATTTAAGTGCTCAAGTAATATTAGCCAAGTAATTATCATCATCAGTAAACAATTCTCTCCTTTTCCAATCTCTGTTGAAACTGCTAATCGAATTGCATCTTCCCCTGCTTAACGACTTTTAGAGGCTTCCTATTGTTTTCAGAATAAAAATCAAACTCCATATGGCTGATAAGGTCATGCCTAAGTTGTCCTCTGACTACTCATCTAGCCCCATTGATCATTGCTTCCCCCAACCCACAATCCTCTGCCACCATGTACATTTCTGGCATGCAAACTATGCACTATTCTCTCAATATGCCAAACTCTCTCACACCTCCATGTATTGCACATACTGTTCCCTCTGCCCAGAACTCCTTCTTCCCTGTTTTCTGCCTGCTGAACCCATGCTCCTTCTTTAAGAGCTTGCTCAGCTCTTGAGCAAAGGAAACATGTCACCACCATTGTGCATGCAGCCAACCTCCCCTAGCCCCAATCCTAGGATTAAACCAGGGGCTAGACCAGAGCCACCAGGGAGGAAGGGAGAGGAAGTGGGTATAGCGTGAGACTTCCTGTTACAGGAGTGATGTGGCTGGTTGATATGCAGCACTGCCCTTCACCACCCCAGCCTGCTCTCATCCAATCCTGTCCTCCAACTCACTGCAGAAACAGGATCAAATGGAAGATCCCAAAACTCACCTCTCAAATAGGAAGCTCTTCTACCTGAAAGTTTCCCCTTGTCTTAGTCCATCCTCTGTTGCTACTACTGAATACCTGAGACTTGGTCATTTATTAAAAAAAGGAATTTGTTTCTTACAGTCTGGAGGCTGGAAAGTCCAAGGTTGAAGGGGTAAATCTGTTGAGAGCCTTCTTGCTGGTGGGGACCCTCGGCAGAGTCCTGAAGCAGTACAGGATATCACATTGCAAGGGGGCTGGACATGTCAGCTCAGGTCTCTCTTCTTATAAAGCCACCAGTCCCACTCCCATGATAACACATTAATCCGCAAGTGGCATTAATCTATTCCTGAGGGCAGATGCTTCGAGACCCGATCACCTCTTAAAGACCCCATCTCTCAATGCTGCCACATTGGGGATTAAGTTTCAACATGAGTTTTGAAGAGGGCAAACATTCAAACCATAGCACCCCTGAAACAGTCACCAGGGGCCACCCATGCCTCTTCTTGAGAGGTATCTGGAGCCTTTGATTTTACCATGGCCTCCAGCACTAGACACTGTGGCCTGGTGTCTGGCCCCTCCATGGCTGCTCCAGGCCCAGGAGTCCCCAACAAGGGTGGAGGATGGAGGGTATCAGTCCCATCAGGGAGTCTTCGTTTAAGGGTTCCCCCTTCATATTGATGAGCCACACCTATCCACCATCAAATACACATGTCTAGTTTTTCTGAAGCCCCACACAAACCATCCCCATTGCCTTTGCTCCAGCCACAACCAACAGGGTACATCTGAAGGCTCGCCTCCTCTTCACCCACCTTTACTCATTATCTACCTTGCTCCTGGCCTGCAGAGCCAAGCCAGCCCAGGCATCTGTCCCACTTCAGAAACAGTGGCCATTCCAACCAAGCCCCTCCAGTATCACTGCACTACCTTCCCAGCTCAGGATTTGTGGTGCTGTGGCATCAAATACAAGCCCAGCCCTGTCCCCAGGCCTTCATCCTGGCCTCCCCACTTCCCTTCTCCTCACCTACCCTCACCATCTCCTGTGTCCCAACCCACCACATCTCACACTGACACCTATCCCTTGCCTGGTGCCCACCCAGCCAGCCAGTCCCCTACCCATAAGCAGATGAGGGGAGACTTAGGTGACAGAACCCAATGTGTAAAATAGGTGCTTTGTTTTCTGTCTTCTGGATTAAGAGGAAAAAAGTGGTGAGCCTTTCAGCGACTTACCTGGTTTAAAAACTGGCCGTGGCATGTCCTCAGGCTGGCAAAAGTGAAAAAGTCAGATGCTATCAAGTGCTGGTGACAATGTAGGGAAAACATGATTCTCACAGACTGCTGTTGAGGGTGTAATTGGCACAGTCATGTTGAATAGTGGCTTCCACTGAAGCTGAAAATGCTATCGCCTGGCCATGGTCTTGTGCTTTCCCTGGAAGGGGTCTTTCCTACAGACCCCTGCACATGTGTGCATAAGGACCTATGTATAAGGATGACATTGCAACATTGTTTTCTGCAGCAGAAAGAAATTGGAAGTAAACTACATGTCCATGAATAGGACAGATTTTTTTTTTTAATATGAAACAAAGCAGTTAAAAGAAATGAACCAAAATGGCCAGTTTGGACACAGGCCTAAAAATCACATTGTTCAGTGAAATAAAGCAAGTTGCAGAATGATATAAATAGCATAATACCATTTATGAAAGTTAAAATACACATAGGGATACTATTATTTCCTATGGATATGTGAAAGGCTTTTATTTTTTGAAGAACAGAATACACCCAACTCATTATAGAGGATACCACTGGGAAGAAAGGAAGAGGATTAGGATTTAGAGAGAGATGGAGACCTGAAATTTATCTACTGTATTCTGAATTTTGTCTTGGGCAATGGAGCACTGTAGTCACATAATATCTGAGCAGTTCAGGGCAAATATGATAAATTTTAACATATTTTTCAGTGGATATATGAGAGTTGCTATTTTTGACTTGTTGCTCTTATGCATACTCTAGATTTTATTTTTAAATGGTCAGAAGGAATTTTCTAATCAGCTATTGAGTGTCCACTGGGTGCCTGGCCATAGCAAGGGCTGTGATCATGGAAAAGTCTTTTGAAGACAGAAAAGGAGAGGTCCTGTCTACAGCCATACCACCCTGAATGTGCCCGATCTCGTCTGATCTCAGAAGCTAAGCAGGGTCGGGCCTGGTTAGTACTTGGATGGGAGAAAAGGAGAGGTCCTGATGGGAAGGTTCAGAATGGTGTGCTCCAAGTTCAGTGTTCGTTGTCAAGCAGGCCATGATTGAGGAAAATCCCCACCCAATGGGAAGCATATTTTCCATTTTACTAGTGATGGAAACTAATCAAAACCAGCTTTAATTCTGAAAGATCCAATAAATAACTTTGATTCAAGCAATTACTTAAAATTGAAATTTGCTAAGTGAGGAGAATGAGTCATTCATTTGTGCTGTGACACCTGTTACCTGGCAGAGGCAGAGAGTCCTGGGGGTAGAGAGAGGCATAGGAGTGGAGATTAGCTGTTGCCTCCACCTTGTTGCATCCATCTGCAAGATGGAGAGACTGCTCACAGCCCACAGGACACCAGCAGAGGCCATGTCCAAGGTCTCGCTCTGTCACCCAGGCTGGAGTGCAGTGGTATGATCATAGCTCACTGTAACCTCAGACTCCTGAGCTCAAGTGAGCCTCTCAAGTAGCTGGGACTACAAATGCTCACCACCACTCCAGCTAATTTTTTACTTTTTGTAGAGATAGGGGTCTTGCTATGTTGCCCAGGCTGGCCTCCAACTTCTGGCCTTGAGTGATTCTCCAGCCTCAGCCTCTCTAAGCACTAAGATTGCAGGCATGGCCACCACATCTGCCCCTCACTGCATCACCAAACTCATCTTCCTCTGTACCATATCACCAAAACTCATCACTTTCAGTCTTGAGTCTCTGCAGCCCAGGTTGACTTTACCTTTGCCCTGTGTCTTTAATTTTAAAGGATTGCTGAACACATTGGTTTCGATTCCCCCCAGAAGAAGACCCTGAGACAATGACTAAAGTACAAGGAGTTCACTTAGGAGATTCAGGAACTACCAGCAGGGAACTGGGGAAGGGACACGGTGAAAGGGGAGGCAGCCACAAAGGTGAGCTGTTAAACCACCTGGATGATGCAGTAGGCAGAGCAAGGCCCCCAGAGATAGCTGTGAATCCCCAGGACCTATGAATATATTACATTACACAGCAAAGGGGAATTAAGACTGAAGATGAAATGAAGGTTGCTAATCAGCTGATCTCCAGATGGGGAAATTATCCTGCATCATCCAGATAGGACCAAGCTAATCACAAGGCTCCTTCCATGTGGAAGAAGAAGAGTTTGAGTGCTGTGATGTGAGAAAGACTCAATGGCCATTGCTGGCTTTGAAGATGGAAGTAGAGGCCACAAGCCAAGGAATGAAGGCAGCCTCAGAAGCTAAAGAAGGCAAGGAAATGGATTCTGCCCTGGAGCCTCCCAAAGACCTATTTCAGGGCCGGGCATGGTGGCTCACACCAGTAATCCCAGCATACTGGGAGGCCGATGAGGGAGGCTCACTTGAGGCCAGGAGTTGGAGACCAGCCTGGCCAACATGGTGAAACACTGTCTCTACTAAAAATACAAAAGTTAGCCGGATGTGGTGGTGTGTGCCTGTAATCCCAGCTTCTTGGGAGGCTGAGGCAGAAGAATCGCTTGAACCGGGAAGCGGAGGTTGCAGTGAGCTGAGATCGTACCACGGCACTCCAGCCTGGGTGACAGATCAAGACTCTTGTCTCAAAAAAAAAAAAAGAAGTCTGTTTTAGACTTCTGACATCAACAACTGCAAGGTAGTAAATGTGTATTGTTTTAAGTCACCACGTTTGTCATAATATGTTACAGCAGCAATAGAAAATGAATACAGATTATTTCAGGAAACTCTGGAAATGGTGCAAAACCTACCTCAGAATGACCGCATTATTGAAGAGACGGAACGAAGGAATTTATACACCACAGTCTCTGGTTGGGGATGCTCCCCTGTAAGGCTGGGAAAGGTGATGAGGGGGCCTTCCGTGGTTCCAGAAAAGCCATCAGGCTCAGGGATGCAGTTGCCATCGGAGGTTAGCAAGAGCTCACTATACAGCAGGGTCTGTGGGTGTGGCACTTGCCTGAAGGCAGGAAATCCATTGCTGAAAATCTGCTCTGTCTCAGGCACCATGCTAAGTCCTCCTCTGTGCACTGTTTCACATAAGCCTCACAGTGACTTCTGTGCCCAAGCAGGAGTACCTCCAGTTTTACCAGATGATGAAAGTAAGGCCCAGAGAGATGCCATGACTTCCCAAAGTCACACAGCTTGCAAGGGACAGAGCCAGGCTTGGAGCCACGACCACCTGATCATGGAGGCTGTCCCCTTTCCACTCTACCGTGACGAGGATGCTCATTTTGGGGTGTCTTGCTGTTTGCTAGCCCTCAGGTCAGACACATAATGCAGTTCAGAGGTCTCCAGAGGATGCCACACCAAGCTATGCTGCAAAGAAACTGAAAGTGCTGCTGACTCTCCCTGGGAGCAACTCACAGGGGCACTGGGCCGAGATCAGGAGTCCCCAGTTACTGGCTCCAGAAACGAATCCACACAGCCAGTGGTGGCTCCAAGTCCCCCGCTTCCCACTTCTGCTCAGCCTCTGGCACCACTCCCAGATTCCCATCAGGGGAAAAGGATGGGAAACAGCCCAGCCCCGAGCAGGAGCTGACTACATGGAAATGCTGATCAATAATGAATGAATTGCCCTCTCCAGAAAGCTCCAACTTCATCTCCCTGGATCTCGCCAGAAATCCCGGCGTGTGGCTCTGCCTCTCTTCACTGGCTATGCGGTCCCATATGGCTATGGGAACTGGGAGTGTGGGGCTCCAAGCTCCATGGGGACCCCAGGCCAGGATGGTAGAGAACTGCAGGAGGGAGAATTTGCTCATTCCTAAAATGAAGGCGGTCATAACACACACCGCACAGCAGATCACAGTGAAGATGAGACAGGAGTGATGCACCAAACGCAGCATGGAGCACATTTCAGACCCTCGGTAAATCTCTGCGATGCTCATTTTCATGCAAATGGAGGCTGAGAGACCCTCTCCTGAGGTTTGGGTCCTGACTCCCCATTTGGCAACTGTTGAATTTCAAATCTGCTGAGATGTGTGAAGGGAAGAGCAGGACTGCAAGTCAGGGGTCTGGATTTTAACCCTGGCTCTGCCCTGCACCCCCTAGGACACTGGGCATGTTATTCAAACCTTCTGTCCCTCATTTCTTCATCTGTAAATCGGGCATGATCAGCACCTCCCAGAGCACTGTGGAGAGGGTGCAGGGACTTCATGTGCAAAGCCCAGTGCGATGCTAACGAGCAGGCAGAGCTGGCACATGTCCATCACCCTCCCTTCTACCAGGTGCCACAAATTGCCAGGGCTCTGCCCTGGCTGGGTGGGGAAAGGATGGCCCCAGTGGAGGGTCTCCAAGTTGGGTAACAGGTGGCCCTTCCTCTGCCCCCACTGCTGGTCAGCCAGGTATGGCAGTAGAGAGAGGAGGCTCATCTTCATCTGCAGAGTCAAGGGCATGTGTTGGGAGGAGCCCCACTCCCCATGTTTCTGCCCTCCACCCACCTCCATGCCCTCACAGTTGCTCCACCAGGGAAGGAGGGCATGGCCATGTGAGCGATCAACCCTGAGATGTTGCCAGCAGCAGGGTCACTCTGTGATATGGCTTGGCTCTGTGTTCCCACCCAAATCTCAAGTCAAATTGTAGTTCCCAGCCAGGCATGGTGGCTCACGCCTGTAATCCCTGCACTTTGGGAGGCTGAGGCGGGTGGATCACTTGAGGTCAGGAGTTCAAGCCCAGCCTGGCCAACATGGTGAAACCCCGTCTCTACTAAAAATACAAAAATTAGCCAGGTATGATTGCACACACCTGTAATCTCAGCTGCTCTGAAGGCTAAGGCACGAGAATCGCTTGAACTCAGGAGGCGGAGGTTGCAGTGAGATTGCGCCACTGCACTCCAGCCTAAGTGACAGAGCGAGGCTCCATCTCAAAAAAAAAAAGAAAAATTGTAATTCCCAAGGTTGGGGTACAGACCTGATGGGAGGTGATGGGATCACAGGGGTGGATTTTCCCCTTGCTGTTCTTGTGACAGTGAGTGAGTTACTGAGTTCTCATGGGATCTGGTTGTTTACAAGTGTGTAACATTCCCCCTTCTCTCCCTCTCTCTCCTGCTCCACCATGTGAAGAAAGTGCTTGCTTCCCCTTCACTCTTCTGCCATGACTATAAGTTTCCTGAGGCCTCCCCAGTCATGCTTCCTGTATAGCCTGCAGAACTGTGAGCCAATTAAACCTCTTTCCTTATAAATTACCCAGTCTCAGGTAGTTCTTTATAGCCATGCGAGAATGGACCAATACACTTTGTGTCATACAAGGCTCACTCTCCTGTGCTCCCTATGTCCAGGCGTGAATGAGAAGAGGCAGGTTGGCCACACTCATTCATGTGACTCTTGGGGCCCTTTCTACAGATGTGGCCATCCTGGATTCATCAATGGGATATAGAAAGCTTCCTTTAGGCCTGGCAGCCATGCTGCCTCCCAAATCCAGCCTATACCCAATGCCCGTCCCAGGCCTGCCCAAGCCTGTCTGACTTCCCTTTGGCTACTGTTTCTTGTGTGTGTTCCTTTCTCAGGCAAAATCCCAGGACTCTGGGGACTCCTACTAGTGGTGGTCTTGAAGAAGGATCAGCCTGTGCCCCAGGCTGCAATGGAAATGCACCCCAGGCCCTGCAGGAACTAGGACAGGGATGGAGAGCCTCGTGTAGAATGTTCATTGCCACTGCATGGTCCCGGGAGATGTACCCTGAAAAGGAGGGAGGCCAGTGGGGCTGGGCAAAGGTGACCACAATGTGCTGGTTCTGAAGGCTTCAGCTGATCCCAGGAGAGCTCTGTATCCAAGCTGATCCCTCAGAGTTGTCTGAAATTGAGGCCAGGGGGCCCAAGTCTTTATAACTGCCCCACTCCATCAGCCAGTCATCAGCTATGGGAAAGGACTTCACCTTGGATGAAGCCGTTTCCTTCCGCCAAGGGCAATTTCCAGTGAAGGATGAAGGTATTCCCAGCACCTGGGGAATGGGTGCTAAGGCCTCGAAGATGGGGTCTATGCAGAAACCACAATATTCACTCCTGAGTGGAGACCCTGCTGGCCAAGGCAGGCAGGGGAGGGAGCCTGGGTGCGGGGACATCACCTTGTCAGTTCCAGTTCCAGCCGATGGACCCACTGCCCTCCATGCCTTTTCAGAAACCCACAGGGCATTCTCTCCCCATCCTCAGGCTCCTGGTGGTCTCAGTGAGCCAGCCTGTACCCCTGCAGAGAAGCTAACAGAGACATCAAAGCCGCAGCCTCTTGCTTTCAAGCAGCTTTGAAATACGTTTCTGAAATGGCTATGCCCAGGAAGATTAAAAGTCCTCCTTTTGATGAATCCAAGGGTCTTGAGCATCAGAAACAGAGTGGGTGGGCTCAGAAATATAGAAAAGTGGAGTACCTTTGTGCACCGGGTGGCGGAATAGAAAGGCCAGAAACAGGGACACATAGAGTAAAAATACGTGATGAAGCTAAGCAGTAAAATCTTAGTTCCAGGGTCTCTAAAGTAGCAATGGGTGTGTGCAGGCCCCCCAGCAGGGGTCTGGGAAGTGAACAGATTGTCAGGAGGAAATAAAAGGCCTTCACTGATTCACTCAATCATTTATTCATGCAGAAGCGATGAGTGAGCACCTACTAAGTGCAGACACTGCCAGGGTCCAGTGTACAGTGGAAAAACGAAAGACCTGCCTCTGCCTCTGCCCCTGCCCCTGCCCCTGAGTTGCTGACAGCCTAGCCAGGGAGCCAGTTTGTCCAGTGTGAAATGTGCTAAGATGGGGAGGCACAGGGACCACAGGATTCAGAGGGAGTCAGGGAGGACTTCCTGGAGGAAGCAAAGCCTGAACAGAGCCCCAAAGGATGAGCAGAAGTGAATCAAGCAAAGGGGAGTGGGGAGAGGAGAACATGAGTGAGGTGAGAGGGGAGAGAAGTTTGGAAGGGGAGTGAAGACAGGTGAGGCCTAGGGGTGGAGTATGATCAGATCACACAAGGCTTTGAAGACCATCCTGAACTAGATCAGGATGGCAGTGTGGAGCCATGGAAGGGTCTTGGGTGTGGGGCATGATAGGAGCCCATCTGTGGATTAGGACACTGAGCAGCCCCACCAGCCATTAAAGACTCACATTTTAAATCCTCTGGGTCTCCTAACCCGTAGTCCTGACCTAAGATTGGAGAAGGGCTGGACTGGTTGGGACAGAAAAGAGCTTGAGGAGAGTCAAGGCCCAAGCCCCTTGATTTGGTCCAAGGCCCCTACATGACTTTGCCCTTATCTGCAAATGTCTGATTCAGAACATGTCCTGCTCTAGAACCACAGAAATCCTTGCATTCCGCACCATACCAAGCAGTCTCACTCCTCCCAGCTTTTGCTCAGGCCATTTCAGGTCACTGGGATGCCCACTCCCCTGTCCGCTTCACCTGGCTGACTCCCACCTCTCTTCAACCACCTCTGCCACCCTCCATCCCCAGGCTGTTCCAGTGCATCCTCTCAGACTCCCCCGGGCCCAGCACTTCCCTAGTCACAGCTCCATTGTCGTGATCACCTACTTATATGTCTGTCCACACCCGCTAAAAGCTGGGCTCCTGAAGGGCAGGAACCTCTTCAATTCAGACTCCTCAAAGCATACCAAGCTTAGCACCATCCATGCCCTACAGCCCTGAAAAAGGAGGATTCCTCAAAGATCATCTTACCCAGATCCGCTGTTGTCTGAATGACCCCCATAGTGCACGTGTTGAAAATTACTCACCAATATGGTAACATTAAGAGGTGGAGTCTGTAGAAGGGAATTAAGCCATGAGGACAGAGTTCTCATGAATGGCATCAGTGGCCTTATAAAAGAAGCTTCGGAGCGCTTCCTCCCTTTCCAACTCTTTGACCCTTCCACTGTATAGGAGGGCATAGCATTCATCCCCTCTGGAGGATGCAGCAACGGGACACCATGTTGGAAGGAAGCAGAGACCGAGGCCTCACCAAACACCTAATGTCCAGACGCCTTGACTTCAGCCCCCCAGCCTCCAGAACTGTGAGAAAATAAATTTCTGCTGCTTATAAATTACTGCTGAAGGTATTTTGTTACAGCAGTACAAACAGACAAAAAGAAGACCCCCATCTTCCAAGCAAGAAGAAATGGAACCAACAATTGCAAGGCTCCTACTGGCACCAGGCCTTTTGCAAACCTCCTCTCTGGTCATCCTCAAATATCTCTGCCTGGCAAGTATCATGAGTCCTGCTCTGGGTGCTCAGGGGGCAGCTACCTGTCCAAGGCCACAGAGCCAGCCAAGAGCAAAGCTGGGATTCGATCTCGACCTTTTCCAAGACTCCTCCCTTAGAATTTTCCAACCCAGTTTTCCACCTTCTGCATGGAATGACAGGGAACATGGCTATCAAAATGGTTTCCTTATGTCTGAGAACCGGAGCCTGCTGGTGCGTGATCTTGAGCTCCAACATAGACATAGTCATATATACTAGTCACATGGCCTCCTGAAAGAGGGCTGCTGGTCATTTAATGAACTGATCCAGGCAGAATGAGGAAAAGCATCCCCAGGGCCACTACCATGCTGTCCTTCAACCTCACACGTGCCAGCTTCCCTCGTGGCTCCAAGCCCCATGGCTTCCCAGCAAACACAACTCAACCTCCTCACAAACACATTCTCTGGCTCCACCGGACCTTGGGCTCACGGATTCAACACCATAATAATACTTCCCTGGAGGCGAGGAAAGCGCACTGAAGCAGCAGACAGTTCTGCAGTATCTGCAGGAACCTGGGGTGGACCGGCGCCCCTGTGACCCGGCAGTCCAGGAAGTCGGGCACCCTTGACTCTCACAGCATCTGCCACTGCTCCATCCGGGCGAGCTGAGACATTGCCCCTTTTATAACATTTTCATCATGGCTAGAAAGCACCGGGTTATGACAAGAGGGCAGCATAAGAAGGCTGATCAAGAAGGGGAGATGAGAGGACCAGAGCAAGCTGACAGTGACCTGTACCTTTCAAATTAGCGACTTTGATTGGGAAGCAAATCTGATCATATATGCACATGGAAGCCTGAGAGAAGCCTTGCATCTTCACATTTAAACCCCAGAAGTCGCAAAGCACTGTGTGTTTTTACTTAAAACGTGTGACAGGCAAGACCTTTCTGAATGTGAGGATCGGAGAAGGGAGGATAGCCTGGTCCACGAAGGGCCATCAGATGCAAGAAACGAGTGTCGTGATGTGAACAGCACCTTCCCTTGTTGTTCTTATTTATATTTTATTATGAGTTTATTGAATGTTTTCTTGTAGGTTGCCTCAAATCCTTTAGGGAGCAAAGCAATGCAAAATAAGTAAATGCTTTGAATTAAAAGCACTGGAGCGACAGCATTCCAGGGACAGAAGTGAGTGTTCAGGAAATCAGAGGGGGCTTTGCACAGAGACCCCACCAATATCATGCAGCAGCGGCAGCTCCAGTCTAGGCATGGCTAATCTTGCTTAATGCCCACCAGGCACCTTTCTGCACTCCATCCATCACCCAGGCAGGCCTAGGTTCCCGGGGACCACCTCCTTCTTCAGCTCCCCAATGAACCTAGCCCTGTGCTGTAGGGAAGGGCCAGGGGAAACAGAGAGGAGTGTTTCAGGGCTCTGGAGCCAGACCACCTGTATTCAAATCTTTATTCTATTTCTTCCTACTGCGTGACCATAAGGATGCCTCATTATTTCTTGTGCCTGAAATGAGGTCAATGCAGCATCTGCCTCCACAGGGTAGTTTTGAGCTCAAGGATGGGAAGCGCTGAGCTTCATGCATAAGAGGAGCTCCACAAATATCAGCTCTAAGCCTAAGGCCTGGTCCCCAGGAGCCTGCCCCGACACTGGGGAGGCAGGAACGAGACTGTGTGGGAACTCAGATGATACAGGGCCACTGGGTGCGTGGTGTGGTCTGGACTGTGGATTCTGTAGGATCTCAGGGCAGGGAAGGGTTGGAAGGTCTCAGGAAGTCTTCATAGGGGAGGAAGGACATGGAGTGTCTCAGAGAATGAACAGGACAAAAGATGGCACTCCAGGAAAGGGGAGCAGCCTGCACAGAGGCTTGGAGAGGAGAATCGCTGGGGAGTGGGGAGAACTGTAAGGAATCTGCTGGCTGCGGTGGATGGGCTGTCGGTGGCTGCCCATGGGAAGGGGAAAAGACTGGCTCTGCAGGGGTACACTAACTCCTGTCAGGGTCACAGGGCCCAGCAAATGTGCCCAAACCTGTGCCCTGGGTGTTTGGTTTCTCCCTCCTGAATATGGAAAAACTAAGCAAACAGGCCAACAAGATTAATCTGCACAGACAGATGCCTCAAAGCGACGTGTGTGAGTGTGTGACCTGAATCATATGTAAATACTTGAAACAAGTGAACAAGAGAAGAATTCTTTGACTGATCCAAGTGACAGGGGTCCTGCAATTTCTGCCTTTCACTTGTGTTTAAAGAACTGAAATTCGGCCTATGCCAGAGAAGAAGGAACTCCTGGTTTTAGCAAAGACCACAATACTAGTACCCAGTATACCTTCAATAAATTCAGGAAGGAAGGAATGAAGGAAAGAAAAAAGGAAGGAAGGAAGGAAGGGAGGGAGGGAGGGAGGGAGGGAGGAAGGGAAGGAGGGAGGGAAAAGCTCTTTAATATTTTTCAAGCACACTCATCTTGTCTGAGAGTTGGAGAATAGTTGTAATTCTCATCAGCTGAAGCTGTTCTCACTGGTGTGTTAATATCAAACTTCAGTAGAAAATGTGGCCTTCCAGGCTAGGAACCTCCAAAGCTAACATTGCCAGGACCTTATTAGGAACATTTGAAACACTGAATTAAATCTTGAAAGAAGGGGAATTGGAGTGGCAGAGCACAGTGGGAAAGCTCTGCAACCCAAAGGAGAAACCCTGCACAGAGCCCCTGGTTTCCTGCCCAGGCCTAGCGAGTGGGATGGACTCTCCTTCCTTGGCCTACAGGAAGTACCCGGGGTTCCCAGGTCCAGCCTGACCATTCCTCAGGGGTCCTGCTTCCTCCCACCCTCCATCCCCAGGAGCCATGCTCCCTGTCTCTGCAGGGTGGAGTAAAGACAGCATCTCGCATTCTACAGGCCCCATCCATCCCTGCTGCAAAATAACACTTTTGACAATGCACAATCCTCAAGCACCTATTGTGTGCCTGCCCCTGTGCTAAACACTTTGCATTCATTACCTCCTCTGCTCCACATGACAACCCTCCTGAGAAGGTATTATTAGCCCTGTTTACAGATGGGGAAACTGAGGTGCAGAGAAGCCCTAGGTCATATCGCTGGAAGAGTCAGAGCAGGACCTCCCAAGCCTGTGCTCTCAACCCGCCTTGTACAAGCATCAGGATTTTTGCTGTATTTATGGTAGACCTGTGGTGTTGTTTACTTAATGTTTTTCTTTAAACAAACTCCCTTTTTTTTTTTTTTTTTTTTTTTTTTGAGATGGAGTCTCGCTCTGTCACCCAGGCTGGAGTGCAGTCGCGCAATCTCCACTCACCGCAAGCTCCGCCTCCCAGGTTCACGCCATTCTCCTGCCTCAGCCTCCTGAGTAGCTGGGACTACAGGCGCCCATCACCACACCCGGCTAATTTTTTTTTTTTTTTTGTATTTTTAATAGAGACGGGGTTTCACCGTGTTAGCCAGGATGGTCTCAATCTCCTGACCTCATGATCCGCCCGCCTCAGCCTCCCAAAGTGCTGGGATTACAGGTGTGAGCCCCCACGCCTGGCCCAAACTCCCTTTATTTTTTAACTTAAATACATTTATTTAAAT
The DNA here is from genome assembly GCF_000001405.40 of Homo sapiens. Lineage (NCBI taxonomy): Eukaryota > Metazoa > Chordata > Mammalia > Primates > Hominidae > Homo > Homo sapiens. The sequence goes on from NC_000016.10 coordinate 66,312,610, forward strand.
GAGACAAGTGTATCACTATGGAATGTGTAAAAATAGTATCTATTGTCAAAAGTAAGCCGGAAAGAAAACAGGGAGCACAAGTTGCCAGTGAACACTGTCGCCTGCCAAAGGCGCGCCCTGGTCCTGCTCACTCTGCTCTGCATTCAAAAGGGAGTAAGAGCCAGAGGGTTCCCTGGCACCGAACCCCTCCTTCACAGATTGGCTGGGCACGGTGGCTCACACCTGTCATCCCAAAACCGTGGGAGGCTGAGGCAAGCGGATCACCTGAAGCCAGGAGTTTGGGACCAGGCTGACCAACATGGGGAAACCCCGTCTCTACTAAAAATACAAAAAAAAAATTAGCCGGGTGTGGTGGTGAGCGCCTGTAATCCCAGCTACTCTGGAGGCTGACGCAGGAGAATTGCTTGAACCTGGGAGGCAGAGGCTGCAGTGAACCGAGATCACGCCATTGCACTCCAGACTAGGCAACAAGAGCAAAACTCTATCTCAAAAAAAAAAAAAAAAAGACAGGATTGATGGAGATGCCAGAGGGATCTCTTTCTCACCTGTGACCCAGCACTGTAAGCACCGTGCCTAGACTCCTAATAGCATCCCCCAGGACTCATCCACCTACAGTGCCATTTGGCCACCAGTGGAAAATGTTTCTCCATCCTGTCCTGGAATTCCAGGGTTCAACGCCATGTGTCTACTGCCCAGGCCCTATGGCCAAGTGCTCGATAGTCAGGCTCTCCCTCAAAGTGACCCCAAGGCCCAAGACCACAACCAGTGTCCACGCACACACCCGAATATCATACCCTGAGTCCCCACACATCTGAATGGCACCACCGTCTGCAAAGGGGCCCACACGGGAAAGAAGGAAGCTGTTTCTACCTCTCCCTTCATCCCAGCATCTGCTGATATTCCCTGAAAAAGTGCCAGGCTGTGAGCCAGTTAGGCAGGAATCAGGCATCTCCACCATCCCTGCTCTGATGGAGTTCTCAGTTCAATGACAAATAATGGCAGTGCACCCCAGACAGCTCTAACTGGGCTACAACAAAGGTCTGGAAGACAGACAAGGAAATTGTTGCTTAACTTGCAGGGAAAGGGATTGGAGAGGTTCACAAAGGAGGTGACGCTTACCTAGAGGTTAAGAAAGCCTCTCTCCCAAGGCAGGAGGATCACTTGAAGCCAGGAGTTCAAGACCAGTCTGGGCAACATGATGAGACCCCATCTCTACAAAAAATTAAAAAATAAGCCAGGCATGGTGGCTTTCGCCTGGAGTCCCAGCTACTCAGGAGGCTGAGATGGGAGGATCGCTTGAGCCAAGAAGTTCCAGGCTGCAGTGAGCCGTGATTGTGCCACCGTACTCCAGCCTAGGTGACAGAGAAAGATCCTGTCTCTGAATAAAAAAGAAAAGAAAAGAAAGCCTCTCTCTTCCATCCCCTGGTGACTGTTGATACAGGGCTGTGGATCACTTAGGGATGCCTGGCCCCATTTTGCAAATGAGGAAATAGAGAGCCAGCAGGTTTCAGTAACACAGCGTCACACTGGCCCTCCAGATGAAGCTGAGGTTGAAAGTCAGTTGCCAAATCTGTTTTCTTTCCCAATATTCCACTGTTTCTCAAATGGGCACTCAGCAAATGTTCAATGACTTGAATCAAATTCCTACATCTCCAAACTGGGTGAAAAGCACTTGAATGCAGGAGTCATTTCTTGTACTTCTTTCTCCCCCATCAGCCTCCAGTTCCCCCAGTGCCATGCCCACAGCACTGAGTGTACAGCTCCCTGCAGATCAGAGTTGTTTAATAAAATGAAGGTGTGAGAAGTGTTAAGAGCAGGGTAAAGAACAGGAAGAAGAGGAGGATGCCACAGAATATAGCCCTCGGCTGCCTTCTTGCTGGAGAGACAATGACCAGGACCTGGGGCAGGGGTCACAGGTGGGCATGGGAACCCCTCTAGAAGGTTTCCTGGAAACGGTCATTTTAAAGATAGTTGTGGGCCGGGCACAGTGGCTCACAACTGTAATCCCAGCACTTTGGGAAGCCAAGGTGGGCGGATCACATGAGGCCAGGAGTTTAAGACCAGCCTGGCCAACATGGCGAAACCGTGTCTCTACCAAAAATACAACAACTAGCTGGGTGTGGTGGCGCATGCCTATAATCCCAGCTACTTGGAAGGCTGAAGCATGAGAATCGCTTGAACCCAGGAGGCGGAGGTTGCAGTGAGCCAAGGTTGCACCACTTCACTCCAGACTGGGCAATAGAGTGAGACTCTGTCTCAAATTTAGAAAAATAATAATAACACTAAAGTCGGTTGTGTGTCTTCTGACTGTGGCCAGATAAAGTGGTTCACCCCTGTAATCCCACCACTTTGGGACGCTGAGGCTGGAGGATTGCTTGAACAAAGGAGTTTGAAACCAGCCTGGGCAACATGGTGAGACCCTCATCTCCACAAAAATATTAAAAAATTATCTGGGCATGGTGGTGCGTGCCTATAGTCCCAGCTCCTCAGGAGGCTGAGGTGGGAGTATCGCTTGAGCCCAAGAGTTTAAGGCTGCAACAAGCTATGATTTCACCACTGCACTCCAGCCAGAGTGACAAAGTGAGAGCCCCGTCTCAAAAAAAGAAAAAAATAATAACTGTGCTTTAAGAACTAGATTGGGCTTCTTCAATACTATCCACCTCTACCAGGCCAGTAGCCAGCCACTGGGTTCCCGTTTCAGCACCTCTTTCAGAATCTGGGAGGGAAAAGTCATTGATGCAGAACAATCCCCTTGGGTTTCACGCTGTGGGAGAGAAGCCTTTGCCGAGAACCTTGGTTCCCCCTAGTGGCCATCAGAGGCAGTAGCACCCAGCCAGTATGGAGTCATTTCTTGAAAGCAGGAAGAGAGGCCTCTGGCCAGAGAAGGAGAAAGGTCAAGTCCAGCCAGCCAGGACCTCCGGGCACTGCTCCTGGACCAGTCCCCAGCCTGAGACAGCCCACGGCAGTCAGTGACAGAGGGAGGGTCTGTGCAGACACCCATGGAAAATTCATTAACTCAGAATCTGAATGTTTATGAATGACCTTTTCCCCCAAAGAACTTTCATAACCAATGCTTTCGATATGATCTGGAAGTTGGAAATTAACAACACTACTATTGACACAAAGTGGGCTTTAAAAGTGCTTCTTACAAGATTTTTCTCCATATTCCTGTATCTAAACAATTGATAGTTTTTAATAGCCATCATTGAACCAATAGCAGCCACTTATTAAGGCATTTAGCAGCGTTTGCCATCTCCTTTTGCCATGGAGGTAAGAGGGAAAGTTGTCTGGTTTTTAGAAACAGTGTTTGTTTTGTTTTGTTTTGTTTTGTTTTTTGAGACAGTCTCACTGTGTCTCCAGGCTGGAGTGCAGTGGCGCAATTTCAGCTCACTGCAACCTCTGCCTCCCAGGTTCAAGCCATTCTTCTGCCTCAGCCTCCCCAGTAGCTGGGATTACAGGCACACTCCACCATGCCCAGCTAATTTTTCTATTTTTAGTAGAGACGGGGTTTCACTATGTTCGCCAGGATGGTCTCGATCTCTTGACCTCGTGGTCCACCCACCTTGGCCTCCCAAAATGCTGGGATTACAGACATAAGCCACCACGCCCGACCTAGAAACTGTTTTTGAGGGCAATTTTGGTACTGCTATTCAAGGGCCTGAGCCTCCCTTGAATTTCCCCCAACTCCCTGCAGGCTGGGCAGGAAATATAGTCAGGACCTTGCCCCATCCTCTCTGTCCGAGCCAGGCCCACTCCTTCCTGGTTGAGGAGCTCCCAGGCAGCCCAGTGAGCCCTGGGCTCAGTGAATTGTGCCAGACTTGGGGCAGGGAACATCTCCATGGCAGTGGTGCAGAGTGAACCACCCACAAAACAGCTCCTTGAGGAGAAATTGCCTTTGGAGTTTCAGCTCCTTAACTGCCTGTGCACGGCCCAGAAAACCTGCCAGAGGGTGATCTTCATTGAACTAGAGCAGCAGCAGGAAGGCCTTTGCTGAAGAGGCACAAATAACCCTCGCCAAGGCCCTTCTCAGGACCCTGCTGCTGCTGCTGCTGCTGCTGCAGATTGAGGGAGGAGGCGCCCAGGCACTGGTGATGGGTTTTCGGAAAACAGCTCCCACATCTGTGCCTTACACTAACTGGGGGCCCAACAGCTGGGCTGCTTCCAGAGGCAGGGCCAGGCCAGCAGTAGCAATAAGAAGCTTTAGAGGTGATTCGGTAGACGGCCCAGAATCCTGAATACATGGGGCATGATTGCATGCCAAGCGCTTTCTTTACATGCATTGTGGCATTTAAGCCCCCCAAAACTCCAGTGACAGAGGCTTTTAGGAACCCTATGTGAGAGACGAGGAGACTGTGGCATGGAGACATTAAGGAATTTATTCAAAGAGCGAAGTTGCAGAGGCAGAAGCAAACCCATGTCTATGTGACCACACACGACTCCCAGGTGCCAAACAGGCAGTGTCCACTCTTCTACCTCCAACCTCACCAGCCTTGCCCCTGGTTCATCCCAAAGCCGCTCACCACAGCCAATGCACAACCACATCTGTTCCCATCAGACATGGGTCCCACTTGTTGCCATCCGAAGGGCACAATGTCTCTCTCCATGAAGCTCACCAGTTTGCCCCGTGCAGATGGTGATTGTGATCGTGACTATGACTGTGTTCTTACTCATGGCCGGTGATCTCTCAGCAGCTGCCCTGGGTGAGGGAGGAGATGCAGACAGAACCTCTTTGCCGTACCCTCTGCCTGCCTTGGGTAAGGACTGGACCAGCTACTACTGGAAAAGCACCCCATAGGCCTCATCCTAAAGAAACCCACCCTCATCCACCCTCTTAACAACTGCCACAGGTGGGTTCTGAGCACTTAATACCTTGCCCTCCCCATCCTCAAGTCCTCCAAAAGCTCCTCTTGCTTTCAGGATAAAACCCAAGTTTCTGACCTCACGTAGCAGGTGTCTTATGATCTCACCTTCTCAGCCTCTCCAAGCTCACCTCCGCCCTGCACCCTTCCACCCACTAGTCATGCCAGTCAATGTGCCCTTCCCTGCGACATTGTCCACTGTCACCACTCCAGACATTTACACGCAGGCTTTCCTCTCTTTACAATGCACTTCCTTTCCATGAAGCTGTCTGCTGGGAAAAAGCTATTCAGCTTGCAAACTCTGGCTCAGGGGTTTTTCCCCTGAGAAGGCTTCCGTGGGGTCCCCTCCCCACTAACCTCCAGGCACAGAAAAGGGTTCTCTTCTCCTGGCCGCTCTCCTCAACACCTAGTGCATCCATCTCTGTACTTCGCTCTCACCTCTGTATTTTCAACATTGGTGTACATGCGTTTCCCCTGGTCTGTGAGCTCCTGGAGAGCAGGGCAGTGCTTGAGCAAGTGCTATATTCTGGGACCCTAATCTGGCCTGGACAGTGATTGACACTAAAAGAATTGTGTTGATTGAGTGAGCAGGAAGAGGGCGTTGCAGTGGTCCAAGAAGGGAAGATGTGGGGAGGGTCTGGATGAAGTCAGTGGCACTGGAGGTGGCAACAGAGAGCTGCCCATTTGAATTGTTTCCATGAGGTGGGCATTCTAAGGAGTGTGGTGCCAGAGGCCCATGATAAGCTGGATGCTCAAGGATGAGTGACACGTGGGTGGGTGGACGGATGGAGAGGAGAGGACATCCACTCCACTTAGAGACAGTGATCTGGGGAGACCTTGGCAGCAGAAGGAAGGACAAAGAACATGAGCCCCTTCTGAGGTCCAGCTGTATTCTTGGCATCGTGCAGGCCAGTTACAGTCTCCAATTTCATACACCCAGGAATCATCGATAACCAAAAGTCAGGGGGCAGCAGTCAACTTCTGCTCAGCACTGACACCTTTAAGAAAAATCCATAAACAATCCGCAGACTGGGGAGAAAATTTTCATATCTAGAATATATAAAGAACCCCTACAAATCAATAATAAAAAGACAACCAACCCAATATTTTCAGTGGGAAAAAGATTGGAACAGACACATCACAAAAGAAAATATGTGAATGACCTAGAATTATGTGAAAAATAAGCTCAAAATCATTAGTCATCACAGAAATGCACAATAAAAGCAAAATGAGATACTACTACTCATACCCCAGAGTGGCTAAAATAAAAAAGACTAGCACCAAAGCTTGGCAAGGATGTGGAGCAATTAGAACTCTCCGTATTACTAGTGGGAGTGTAAAATGGTGCACCACTTCAGAAAATGTTTGGCAATTATAAAGTTAAACATACAGCCACCTGCAACCCAACAATTCCACCCCAATTATCAACCCAAGAGAAATGAAGACATTTGCCCACACAGAGCCTTGTACATGAGTGTTTGGAGAAGCTTATTCATTAGAGCCCAACAAGGCAAACAACCCAAGAGTCCATCAGTAAGTGAAGGGGAAACAAAGTGTGCTGTCCATCTATGCAATGAAAAATTAATCAGCAATGAAAGTAATGAACTACTGATACATGCGACAATATGGATGAACCTCAAAAACATTGTTCAGAGTGAAAGAAACAGTATTTATTGTTATATACATAATTCCAATATATAATACCATTTATACAAAATTGAAGAACAGAGCTTACAGGCTGGGCGCAGTGAGATTTACATCTGTAATCTCAGCACTTTGGGAGGCTGAGGCTGGAGGATCACTTGAGCTCAGGAGTTCGAGACCAGCCTGGGCAATATGGTGAGACCCTGTCTCTACAAAAAGTAGTTAGGCATGGTGGCACATACCTGTAGTCCCAGCTACTCAGGAGGCTGAGCACAAGGGATCACTTGAGCCCAGGAGGTTGAGGCTGCAGTGAGCCATGTTCATGCCACTGCACTCCAGCCTGAGCAACAGAGCAAGACCCTGTCTCAAAAAAAAAAAAAAAAAAAAAAAAAAACCACAGGTTTACATATTGGTGGTGGAAATCAGAACAACAGGTGCCTCCACTCCAAGTGTGCAGTAGGAAGTGACTGAGAAGAGCCACGAGGAATTATGGAGGTTCTCTGTATCTTGCTCGGAGGGGTGGTTACACGGGGGGACGCATTTGTCAACAGTCATTGAACTGAACACCTAAGATCTGTGTATCTTGCTATATTTTAATTATCCCTCAATAAAAATTTTTTTAAAAGACCATACAGTCAGACCATCTGGGTTCAAATGCTAGCTACCTCTTACCAGTTTTGTGACCCAGATCATCTCTGAGACTCTATATCCTTGTCTATAAAATGCGAATACTAATGGTTCTTACCTGGCTGCACCACACCTATTAAGTGAGATAGTTAATGTGTGGTAAGAGCAGCTCAGCAGCCTGAGACTTGGCAAAGCATGAAATAAATGTTGATCGAGTAAAATTAGCTTCCCCATGGTCCTGCCATGGAGCAAGTGGAGTGAAGCATAGGCGAGGATGGCCCCAAGGACATGGCGCAGAGGGCAGAGCTGAACCAGGAAGCTGTGACGCCAGCCCGCTCACTGCCCTGAGGGTGAAGTGAGGCCAGAATCCTCGGGAAAAACTGGTGCTGGGAGCCCTGTGTGCCTCCATGGCCCCAGACATAAATAGGGGTTGACATTGTCATTTATGAACAAGTCATGATTTCTGAGCTGCTGGGGGCTGCAAGAAGGAGATGGACGGTTGCTGCCCAGTGATTTGCTGTGGGAGTGCTTGGTAGCTAGAGCAGGCAGCCCAACTCCAACTAAGCCAGGGGACAGACAGACTTGGAAAGTAGATGGAGGGCTGTGTGTGGAAACTGAGGCACGGGCACAGGCCACACATCAGTGTGGAGGTGAAAAAGCTGTCGCTCCACAGCCTCCCTGGAACAGAGCCCAGGGGGTGTGACTGAGCCCACCCCACCTGCCATATGTGCAGGGGCACCCTCCGTGGCTCTGGGTTCCTTACAGACCCTAGAGGCACCCACCTCTGCCGATGTTAGCAGGGATCACCCCTCTGCAGAGCCACAAGGACCACGGTCAGACACCCATGAGCCTGGCTGGTCCCCACCAAGCCTGTTTCGGGGCCCCTTCTCCAAAAATGACACTAATTAATTTGTGATCTCCGGCAGGGGTTCCACTGCACCCTGCATCTGTCAACCTAATTACAAAATAGCTCTTCCAGGCTGACTCACAGCCTTGGGTGATCCCAGCACAGGCACCAACAGCTGGAGGGAACAACAATGACTACAAAAAAAAATAAAAAAGAAAGAAAAATCAAGGCTGCTAATGATGATAATGATAATCATACAAGCCATTATTTATCCAGCTCCCAATGAGGTGCCAGGTACTTTACAGATATTATCCCCAATATTCCCAAAGACTCTAAAGATACCATTAACATAATTTCCCAAACCAGGAAACTAAGGTTCAGAGAGGTTAAGGAATTTGTCTGAAGTCACACAGCCAGTTAACAGCAGACCTAAGCTATAAACCAAGGGATGGCTTACTACAGTGAAGCCCATGTTCTTACAATGCAGTACACTTCCTAAGGAGTTTCTTGCACCCTTTACAGGGACTTCTGTCTCCCCACAACTACATGATGTTGCATCTAATCCCTCAACCCCAATTTCCAGGAACACAGCCTGGAAACTTTATTGTACAGATCAATGCCTAGCTGGACTCCAGTGGTGACCCAGCAAGATCCCACTTCTTAGGGACAGAAACTTGGGTTGGGCACCATTTAAAAGAGAGGCCACGTTTTTTATTTTACTACCTGAGGCCATGAGGCTGCTGTCCTGCAGGAAGATGCCAGGTTCCCCCTAAGGTCTCAAAAGGTACATATGTTCTCCATCACGGCCTCTGCAGCTGAGAGCAGAACACCTTCTGTGCACAGGTCACCTACAATGTACCGGGCACCATGCTAGACACAGGGAGGTGAATAGCCAGGAAAAAAACAGATATGGAAATGGGCAAAGGTAAAAGAGAGAAGGCTGTGAAAAGTGCTCAGGATTCAAGACAAACTGCAGTGGGAGCTCACAAGAAGAAGGGGTTACTTCCAGCTTGGGAGAAGGCTGGGTGCAGGAGGAAGCATTTCAGCTGGGGAAGCAGGTGCACTGTGCACATGAAGGCAGAGGTGCTCGGGGCAGAGGAAACTGCAAGAGCAAAGGCGCCAGGAAAATGGGTCCATCCAAGACATGTGGAGGTGATTCATTCACACACTCAACAAATTCTACATCGAGCACTTGGAGAGCGAAGGACTTGGGAAGGGAGAGTGGATGCAGAGTTCCTGAAGGTCACGCCATATGGCCTCTGGTCCCAGGGCAATAGGGAAATGGGGAGCTATGGAAGGATGTAGAGCAGGTGATGGTGAAGGTGCGGATGTCACATACAAGATCAAGACAAGTGGTTCAAGAAGCTGATGGTGGAGAGGACTGGTTTGGTTAGGATGATGCTGAGCATCAGAAAAAGCCCTGCATCCCACCCGCCCTGAGCAGCCACTTCTCCTGCAACCAGACTAGACCAGTAGACAAGACTAGACCAGACTAGAGAGAGTGGCCCTACCCTCAAGGCAGTGGGATGGGCCGTGTGAGCACTGCCCCTGAGCCTGCACCAGGTTTGAAATTTTCATTTCTTTCCTTTTTTATTTTTTTGGGGGGGCCTTTTTTTAAAGACACAGGGTCTCACTATCTTGCCCAGGCTGGAGTGCAGCAGCACGATCATAGTTCACTGAAGCCTCAACCTCCTAGGCTCAAACAATCCTCCTGCCTCAGCCTACCAAGTAGCTGGGATTACAGGTGTGAGCCACTGTGCCTGACTGAAATCTTCACTTCCTTATTTCTCTAAATGTATCACTTTCTTTCCCCTCTATTCATTTACTTGGCGTTTGCTCATCAGAGAGAAAAATGATCTGCAAACAGAATGGCACAGCGGTGTGTCGTATTTGAGCATTAGGAGAATGAAATGGACTCAAAAAGAAAAGCTAATTTCAAGCAAATGTGGCTTCAGCACACACATATACCCTTTGCAGAGCCTGGTCCTCCCCTGGGTAAACTGGCCCCAGCCTGGGAAGGGGACACCCACAGGAGAGCCACAGGAGGCTCAGAGAGCAGGAAGGGTGTTTGCCAAGCGCTCCCAGGGGGTACAGGAATAGCCCTGTGACCCACGGGGCAGGGAATGATGGGGAAGGGAGGGAGTGGTAGGAGTAGTAGGGGAGGCTGGGAGTCTCCACATTTACTCAGGGCAGCCCTGGCTCCTGCCTCTCCCCAGCCTTCATGATGCTCAAGCCTGGGTGAGCATTCTACTCTTCAGGCAGCTTGCTGACAATGCAGATTCCCAGGCCCCAGACCAGCTGTATCCAAATTTAGGTGCTGCCTAGGAATCTGTATTTTCAACAAGTCTCCCCAGGTCATCCTAAATGCCCATCTCGGTTTGGGAAGTGCACCCCATCCTGCCCTTTCGGCACAGGGACCCACCTTCTCTCTCCCTCTGGGGCCACTTCCAGTACCCCTGCAGGGCCTTCTGACTACAGCCCCCACGGCCTCTTTCTAAAAGTCCTCCTTTAGGGATGAGACGCTGAGTGTCCTGCCCCCTTCCAGCTCAACTGCCTCCAGACAGGGGCCCCAGGCCACTTTGCTGGGTGCTACCACGGCTCAGGGGCCACAGTTTGTGGTTAACTCTGTTCTGCTTTGTCTTGTAGGAGTTACGGGTGTGAACTTCACGCCACCTCATTGCCGTGCCAGAAATGCCATGTTACTTGTTTAATAGCCAGTTAATCTCATCTCTAGGCCCTGCATCTCAAAGTGGTGAGAAATTTCATCTCGACTTCTTGGGATGGGGTGGGATGCACCCTTAGGTGCAATCTGGGTGGTAGCGCCTCCGGTTCTCAGGTTGCTCTGTTTACCTTGAGTTCATTGCCTGCTGTTCAAGCCCCTTATTCCCAGTGGGGCTGGGTCAGGGATCCCCTTTGCCCAGGATCATTAGCTTCCTAGGGGCTCCACAAAGCCAGTACCTCTTAGGTCCTGCTCCCCCTCCCCCAAAACCCAATGAGCAGGGCACCCAAAACCCTATGTCCTTTCCAGTCCTGGGAATTTCCTCCCACGGGCTATATCTGTCCTCTTGCCTCTACCTTTCCAGAGTGTTCTTCCCTCCCTCCCCTGCTTCTCTTTCCTGGACATGGCAAAGCTGACCTGCTTTTCCTTACTCACATGCCTCTACACAGGCATATTGATTGATCGATTGACTTAAGGATTTTTTTTTTTTTTTTTTTTGAGACCGAGTCTTGCTCTGTCACCCAGGCTGGAGTGCAGTGGCGCGATCTTGGCTCACTGCAACCTCCGCCTCCCAGGTTCAAGCAATTCTCCTGCCTCAGCCTCCCGAGTAGCTGGGACTACAGGCACCCGCCACCACGCCCGGCTAATTTTTTGTATTTTTAGTAGAGACAGGGTTTCACCATGTTAGCCAGGATGGTCTCAATCTCCTAACCTCAGGATCCACCTGACTTGGCCTCCCAAAGTGCTGAGATTACAGGCGTGAACTGCCACGCCCAACAGGATTTTTTAAAATTAATAAAACTCTTAGTCCACTGGTTTCAAATGAGTGGCTTAGAATCTAATACTTTTACTAATACTAATACTTGTAACACAATAAACAATAAGGAAGAAAGAGCTCTCATTTGTTGAATTCTGCCACAAGCAGACCGTGTCACAGAAGCTTCCGCACAGGAGCAGTTCTCATTCCCAGCTGCACACTGGACTCGCCTGGAGCTTTCTTTTTTTTTTTTTTTTTTTTGAGAGAGTTTACCCTTGTTGCCCAAGCTGGAGTGCAATGGCGCACTCTTAGCTCACTGCAACCTCCGTCTCCCAGGTTCAAGTGATTCTCCTGCCTCAGCCTCCCCAGTAGCTGGAATTACAGGCGCCCGGCACCATGCCCTGCTAATTTTGTATTTTTAGTAGAGACAGGGTTTCTTCATGTTGGCCAGGCTGGTCTCAAACTCCCAACCTCAGGTGATCCGCCCACCTATGAGCCCCACGCCCGGCCGCCTTTTTTTTTTTTTTTTTTTTTTTAACTGCTGATATTCAGATCTCTCACACCAGAAATTCTGATGAAATTGATCCAGGAGGGACTCGGGATAGACCCAAGCTCAGTACCTGCCTTAATCACCCTGATGATTCTCAATGTGCACCCAGGCTTGAGAACCTCATCGGGGCCCTTTGAGGTGAGTGTTGTTAGTGTCTCCATTCTGTAAATGGGGAAACTGAGGCCTAGAGGCTTTAGGAAGAGGTGGAGGTGGGAGCAGGGGAGGCAGAGCCAGGGGCTGCCCAGACTGGGGTAATTCGTCTGGCGGCTGGGGGAGGGGGAACTCTGCCTTCACCCTGCTGCTGTCTAAGCAGATCCTGGCTGGGGTTGAGGATGCGGGCTGCAGCCTTGGGCCATTCACAGCGAATCACCAGTGGGTGGCGATGGTGGAGAAAATAGACTCCAGCCGCCAGCCACAGCCAGGGAGGAGGGAGCCCAGGCAGATGGCCCTGCCTGCCTGTGAGTCAACCCCTCCTTGGCACTGGCTGGTAGCCCCCCAAACAAGGACCATGGTGGGCTCCTGTCTTTTTCCCAGGGCCAGGCTGTAGCAGATTTGGCAGTTGGCTGGGTGGGGCTGGCCCAGGCTTATGCAGGAAGAACAAATTTCAGATAGGACCAAATTCTGCAATTAAAAAAAAAAAAATAGCAGCCCCATGAATAAAATAACATATAGGGGGGGAAAGGGGGTAGTTCTCCTGGTCCCAGATCATCTGGCTTCAATTCCCACAACTGGCAGCGGAGTAATAGTGAGATATATAATTAGCAGCTGTTATTACATTACCATGCCTGATACATGCTGATTAGATGCCATTCACATGGAAAGAACTTGGGTGACTTACGCCCCACCTCGGCTGTGAGAGAGCTTCAGACCAGGAAGGCCGAGGGAAATGGTAGGGGTCGGGGGGAAGGACCCCTGGCCGAGCCTCTGGACCTCTCAGAGTGGACAAAACACATCCTAGATATGCCCCACCCCATGTCCTCATTTACATAATGGAGACACTAACAATGCTCACCTCAAAGGGTCCTGGTGAGTATCACAGCCCACAGCCCCCCTCCCCACCCCAACACCTCAGTGGGACTCATTTTCCTCCCCTGTTGATGAAGCAAGCCCTTTGGCTTGTTGGACCCAGCATCTACTTCCCCCCACAGCATGACTCCAGGGCCAGCAGCGATACTTCACATTCCCCATCAGACTCTCAGAAGACGTTCTGTGTATTAATCAATTCAGGACACTTAGGGATTCTGAGCAGCTGGTTATTTCAAAACAGCATTTCACATGGTCCAGCAGGCAAGCCCTGCCCAGGACTGAGACCAGACAGGTCCTCGGGTCAGAGCTGCTTTCCCAGATCTGCTGGGGCTGGGGAAACTGTTCTCCAAGGCTGCCACCCCACTAGTTGATTGAGTGAAGTCTTGAGGGGCTAAGGGAGGGATACTGGATCTCTGCAGGGATGTCTAAACCAGGATCCTCAGACTGTGTTTCATGTGCCACCCATGCCACCGTTGGTGCCTATGAAAATGCAGATTTCAGGGTCCTGCCCGAGCCCTGCTGAATCACTGGGAGTGGTGGCAGGCCTGGGAATCTGTATTTTCACAAGGCCCGCAGACAATTTTCATTCACATAGAAGTTTGGGAAGCCCTGATCTGAGGACAGTAGAGGCCACGTGGTCACCAGTATGAACATTCAGACTGCAGGAAGGTGGGGATTGTTCAGATGCCCTGGGGCCCAGCTCCACCGTGTGCCAGCTCCTTTGCACACACAGTCTCACTTATGCATTACAACAGGGGGGGTCGGGGGTCCCCATCACCATGTTACAGATTAGGAAACTGAGGGTCACAGAGGCCCAGGTCTCAGCTCATGTCCTCTCAGGGACATGAGCACAGAAGTTACTGGAGCCCCCCAGTCCCTCCTTGTCACAGCACCTGAAACTAAAATCATTTTGTTTAGTTCTTCCTGCACATCATCACCTTGACCATTCTGCCTGTCAGCACAGCCCCAGCACCAGCATGAAGCCGGGCAAAGGGTAATGTGCACTGAAGGGTGGAAAGGTTGAGGTCGGGGCTCACACCTAGGTCTGGGGACTCCAGGGCAGGGAATGGGCAGAAAGGGACAGGGTGCGCACAGCCAGGCCGCGACTGTGAACCAGGCTAGAATGAGCAGACAGACAGAGGAGCCGGGTTAGAAGCAGAGCCGGGAGGGTCACAGCTCCTGGTTTGCAGGTGAAGAAGCTGATACAAGAATGAAATAGGGCCTCCCCACACATGAACATCAGGTGTGCTCCACACACCTCTCCCTCCTCTGCCCATGAGTGGAATACTTCCCCACCAGTATCCTGGGAGCCGGATCCCAAGTTGGACCCAGGCTGGCCCACACTCAGCCCTCCAGGGTTCTGGAAGGGTCTGCTGAGCCAGGCGGGCCAGGATGGAATGCAGGCAAACAGCCCGGTCACATCCATCGGCCAAAGACAATTGCATCGAGCCTCTTTCTGGGAAAGACTAATATTTACACTGCATGCTAAGCAGCTGCTGCAGCTGCTTCAAACCCACCCTGCCAGCGCCAGCTCGGGCCCAGCAAATGGACTTTTACCAGGCAGCAAATGAACATGTCAAGCCCAATCAGTCCATCGCCTGTGGGGGGTGGGGGGACAGCGAGGGACGGTGACCTCATGCACTGCTGTCCCCGATAGCACCGGGCTCCTCCTGTGCATGTAATCTGCTTGGCCCAGGGAACTTCACATCCAATCTCCACACATCTTGCGCCTGGGCAGAGGCCACGCAGAGCAGAGGAGGCAGCTGTCAAGAGAGCGAGGTGGGGTGATGCTGATGGGGACAGGGTGGGCTGGTCAGCCCTGTGCCCGCTGAACCACTCTGCGGGGAGGGAGAGGAACGGGGCCTGACTGGGAAGTGTCAATAGGCAAGTCTGTAGCCCCAGAGCTGGGGAGGGTGTCACCCTTCCCTCCCATCTCCACTCCAGGTAAATAGCAGACGCCTTTGTTCTCTACTCTGCCCAGAAAAGCTTTGAGGGAAATGTCCCTGCTTCAGAGGAAACCATCAGAAGTTTCAATGCCCCAGCCTGAGGCCTTCCTTAGACAGCCCCCTTTGCAGGCTCAGCTTTAGTCACTGGTGGATGTCCGGGACCCAGCCCTGACTCCACCCTCACCCCTGCCACCCACCCAGAACCTCTGACATGCCTCAGACCCCCAGGAGTACCTCCTTCTCCAGCCCTGACCATACTGGTCTTAGCACCAGGCTGGATTCCTGTGTAGGCCGTGAGCTTCCAGAGGACAGGAGGGAGTGTTTCCCTCCTGTGTCCCAGGCCCAGGCCCAGCTGAGTCTCTGCTGAATGAAGGCAGAGAGGGCACCCATTGGGTGGCAGGCACTGGGCTGGGGGCTTTACCTTCACTGAGATCCCTAGAGGCCACAGTGATCCTGAGGGGTGGTTGTCAGCTTCACCACTTTACCAGGAAAACTGAGGTCAGTGGGGCTGACACTTGCTTAAGTCACACAGCACTTGGGGCACACCTAGGATGAGAAGCCTGAGTCCCTTCTGGTGTCCCAGCTAGGGCTCTTCCCACCACACAGCGCAGCTGATGTCGTTACAGCACTCATTTAGGCATTTTGTGTTTAAGATTTTGGCAGAGAACGGTTTTCATCTCATTCGTACACAGACATAGTCCTTTTTTAAACTAACCACCAGAAAATTGCCCCATTTACACCGGTTCAGATCCCGTAGTGAATAACCATTGCCCCAACCCGGCCACGCACCGAGCCACCCCTCTTGCTGAAACCTCGTCTCTATCCACAGACCTCACTGGAGGCCATCCCATCACCAAAGGCAGCCACCAGCCAGGCGGATGTGGCCCTCATCCAGACCTCCCGCCAGATGGCCACCCACTGGTCATTCCAAGACCTCATCAGGAGCAAAGGCCTCTCTGCCTCTGCCTACCACACGGCTGTGCCCTGCCCTTCAGCTCTCTTCTGAAGGAGAGAGGAGACCCGTGGCAGGACCAGGGTGGGGCATGAAGCTGGCTCTGGGAGCAGAACGGGCCCTCTGGGGGTGTGTGAACCCTTCCAGTCACAGACGGGTAAGGTCTGCAAGTTGTGTCTATTTCTGGTGGAATCGGCTTCAAATCAGGGTTTTAAATGGAAGTTCATCTCGCCCTAGAAACAGAGGCTTTGGCAGGTGTCATAGGCAGGTCAGGGAGGAGGGGTTGATAAAGACCCCTGGAGTAGGCTGGGCACGGTGGCTCACGCCTGTAATCCCAGCACTTTGGGAGGCTGAGGCAGGCAGATCATCTGAGGTCAGGAGTTTGAGACAAGCCTGGCCAACATGGTGAAACCCGTTCTCTACTAAACAGACAAAAATTAGCTTGGCATGATGGTACATGCCTGTAATCCCAGCTACTCGGGAGGCTAAGGCAGGAGAATCTCTTGAACCTGGGAGGCGGAGGTGGCAGTGAGCCAAGATCATTCCACTGCACTGCACTCCAGACTGGGTGACAGAGTGAGACTCTGTCTCAAAAAAAAGAAAAAACCCTGGAGTAGATCCAGCTCTCTCCTTTTACAGATAGGGAAACTGAGGGAGGGAAGAAAAGGCGCTTGCCTGAGGACACATGGAAAGTTAGTAGCCCTGCCAGAGCTCCAAGCACCACCCCAGAGCCACCAGCACCCAGATGCAGTCCCATTAACTCACTCACAAACAGGGAGGCCAAAGAGGTTCTCCAACCTTCCCCAGCCACACAGGCCAAGCTGCAATCAGACCTTGCCTTCCCAGGCCACTGAGCTGAGAAGAGGTTATAAGGTCAATTCTTCCATCTTTAATAAAGAAATTGGGGTGGTGTGGAGGTGCTACCAGAACTGAGCAGGAGGTCCTCACAAAATACTCTGCCTCACCTCCAGACGCCAGCCATGCCCAGGACCTCGGGAATGCTCACACCAGCACGAGGGTGAGGCCAGTTAGCACATCTTTGACAACCTCGCAGAGGAGCAAACCCAGCTGACCTGCCTCAGAAGGGCTGCCAGAGCCCACAAATACAAATATAGGATGTCCGAATCAAGGTGTCCACAGAGCCACACTCCCCTCTGGAGCTCCAGGGAAGAACCTGCCCCACGGCGCACTCTTAGCCCCTGCCATTGTGGTCATCCTGGGCATTGCATTACTCCATTCTCTGCCTCCCCTGAGCCACATCCATTAGATCGTCACCTGTCTAGATCTCCCTTTGGGTCCCACTGGGGAGGGGGACTAGTGGCGTTCTCCCTGCACATCTGTGTGTCGTCACATGTCCCTGGGTCTGCTGTCTTTCCTCTCTGTGTGTCTCTTTACCTCTTCTTTTTTTTTTTTTTTTTTTCTTGAGACAGAGTCTCATTCTGTCACTCAGGCTGGAGTGCAGTGGCACTATCTCGGCTCACTGCAACCTGCATCTACTGGGTTCAAGCAATTCTGCTGCCTCAGCCTCCCGAGTAGCTGGGATTACAGATGCCTGCCACCACACCCAGCTAATTTTCATATTTTTTTAGTAGAGACGGGGTTTCACCATGTTGGCCAGGCTGGTCTCAAACTCCTGACCTCAAGTGATCTGCCTACCTCAGCCTCCCAAAGTGCTGGGATTACAGGGATGAGCCACCATGCCCGGCCTTCCTCTTCTTTTAAGGACACCAGTCATATTGGATTTAGTCCACCCTACTCCGGTATGATCTCATCCTAATTTAATTAAATCTGCAAAGATCCCATTTTCATACAAGGTCATATTCAGAGGTTCAAGGGTCAGCCGGGCGCAGTGGCTCATGCCTGTAATCCCAGCACTTTCGGAGGCCGAGGCGGGTGGATTACTCAAGGTCAGGAGTTTGAGACCAGGTTGGCCAACATGATGAAACCCCATCTCTACTAAAAATACAAAAATTAGGCAGGTGTGTGTGGTGGCATGTGCCTGTAATCCCAGCTACTCAGGAGGCTGAGGCAGGAGAATTGCCTGAACCTAGGAGGCAGAGGTTGCAGTGAGTCGAAATCATACCACTTTACTCCAGCCTGGGCAACAGAGTGAGGCTCTGTCTCAAAACAAAAAAGCAGTTCAAGGGTTAGGGCTTGAACATATCTTCTGGGGAAGACACAATTCAGTCCACAAAAATATGTCCCAAATATTACATGGCACATATTGTAACTTAAAAAGTATCTGTTATTTATTTGAAATTCAGAGGCAATTGTGGTGTCCTGTATTTAATCTGGCAATCCTATGCACAACTCACATGGAATTCCCCAAGTTTCCACTGCCTGGCCCCTGGGTTTGCCCTCTAAAAAGTAAACTATTTTAAAAGAGGGAGAAATAATGGGGAAGGGGGAATCAACTATTTATGAACAAGGGTTAGTGTCCAAAAGGCACTTGAAAATGACAAAAGATGAGGGCAAGATAGAAGTAGGGGGAGGACAGATATTCAGTCCCAACTTATGCCTAGATTTGGGCTGGGCACTGCAGGAAAGACAAAGATGAAGGGGTCTGATGACAGGGGCAGGTGGCTGCCAGCTCTCGAAGGTCAGGAGGATATGCAGAATAAGAAGGGTACTCTGGGTGCTGCACCTGCCCAGGGCCAAGCAGTCACAGGTCCGGGGAACCTGAGCACATAGTTGGGAAAGCATTTCTGTGGGGTCACTAGCACCCCAGGCCCCTCAGCTCTGCCCTTGATGGAGCATACCTGAGCCCTGCTCCTTGGTCTCCTGCCTTTCTCACTCCACTCCGTCTCCTGGAAAATGCACCCAAACCCCTCAGTCCCACTTGGTGCTCGAATCTACTGAGCAGAGTCACTGAGCCACCTCCTAGGTTGTCATCTGCCTAGGTCTCCCCTTTGGGTCTCTTTCAGGAAAGGGACTGGCAGGAAGCAAGGGAGACAGGCTGACTCCCTAGCCTGGAGGGCTGATACTTCTAAGTGAGGCAAGACTCAACACACAATGCAATTTACCAAAGCCTGTCTAGGCCTCCCTGCCACAGACTGTGATATGGTTTGGCTGTGTCTCCACCCAAATCTCATCTTGAATTGCAGCTCCCATAATCCCCATGTGTCATGGAGGAACCTGGTGGGAGGTGATTAAATCATGGGGGCGGGTTTTTCCCATGCTGTTCTCGTGATAGTGAATAAGTGTCACAAGATGATGGTTTTATAAAGGACAGTTCCCCTGCACACACTCTCTTGCCTGCTGCCATGTAAGACATGCCTTTGCTCCTCCTTTGCCTTCTGCCATGATCATGAGGCCTCCCCAGCCATGTGGAACTGTGATTCCATTGAACTTCTTTTCCTTTATAAATTACCCAGTCTCAGGTATGTCTTTATTAGCAGTGTAAGAATGGACTAACACAGACTGAATGTTTGCATCCCCCCAAAATTCTTAAGTTGAATCCTAACCCCCAGTGTGATGGTATTTGGAGATGGGAACTTTGGGAGGTGATCAGGTCATGGGAGGGGAGCCTGCATGAATGGGATTAGTGCCCTTATAAAAGAGACCTCAGAGAGCTGCCTCACCTCTTCTGCCATGTGAGAACACAGAGCAAAGACAGCTGTCTATGAACCAGGAAGCAGACCCTCACCCAATGCTGAATCTGCCTGCACTTTGATCTTGAGCTTCCAGCCTCCCAAACTGTGAGAAATAAGTTTCTGTTGTGTCTGAGCCTCCACTCTATGGTATTCTGTTATAACAGCCTGAACGGACTAAGACACGTCCCCTCCTGGGTGGGGGTAGAGACTGACTTAGCTGGTGGGTTGCTGCAGAGTTGGGGGTTGGAGTTTCTCATCTGGCAAGAGAGGAACACTGAAGCCAGGGAGAGAGCAGAGCCAGGAGTACAAAATGAAGATCTGAAAGCCAGAAAGGAAAGCAGGGTCCCCTCACCCATCCCCATCACCCCATCAGCAGCATCAGCAACCTTTCCTGAGCACTTACTACAAGCAAAGCAGCAGGGGAAGGCTATCACATGTCTTCCCTCCCTAAACCAAAGGGCCAGAGAGAGAGGGGACCCGAGAGGGGTGCCCACTATATTGCTTTGTTAAATTAAACTTACGGCCAGTTATCAGAGTCACCCAGTGGTGATAGAGCTAAGGGCCATTCTTGGGCCGTGTCCAGAACAGGCTCAGGTGCCTGGTAGGTGTGGTCTGGGCCTCTAGCAGGAGCTGGCTGGTGTGCCTGGGCTGAGTGCCCTTGACCTCTTAGAATGGAGTGTGCCAAGTGGAGGGGGCCTTTGCAGCCAGGCTGCTGGCAGAGGGACACCATTTGTGCTGCTAAGCTCTCAGCGGAGACAGCATGCCTGAGCCCAGGCCAGCAGGACAGACACTCACCGAGGGAGCTGGGGATGTGAGCACATCTGCCCTAAACACAGACCTGGCATCCAACTGACTTGGGCAGCGTTTGGTGGAAGATGCTGGATGTTCGTCCCTCAGGCTGCCTCCTCCAGGGTCTCGCATCCAAATTAGTCTCTCTCTGGCTCCTTCTCTTGCGTGCTGCAAACCCAGCACCCTCACACACATGCTCACACTCACAAACACTCATGCACACTCATGTATAAGTCATACCTACTCTATATACACAGCATGCACATCCTCACACACACAAACCCACACCTGGGCACACACACACACACACACCTTTCCATAGATAGATCGATACCGGCACATACACACACCCATCCATAATAACACGATGAAAGCTATGGACTGGAATTTATTTACAATGTGCCACACATGCAGAGAGCACTCCCTCACAATGCCCAACTTTGCAATTGCACCCACAGCTTGTATTTAAAGCATTTCCCTGGCTCACCAGTGGAAAATAAATTTCTTTTCTCACTTTCCAGATTTGCTTTCATCAACCTGGTGCCAATTTCCACTTAAAAAATGATATCCAGGAAAGACCAAGAACCTAGAAAGGAAAAATGAATCTCGGCTCCGACAGATAGACGGGAGCCAGAGCTTCCCTACCATGGAGCTGACGCTGTAACCACCTGTCTTTGTGGCAAAGATGCAAGGTGATGGGGAATATTTGGATAGGCATGTGGGGCTTGTGCTGAGGCCAATGGTCAGTGGAAGTGAAAAGGATGAGGGGTGAGGCGTTTGCAGCCTAGAACAGACAGACACTGGGACCGGCAAGCATGCAGATGATAGGAGCAAAAGTGAGCGACAAGAGAGCAGCGACAGCTCAAGCACATGAACAAGCACAGGGCACTGACTTTGATCAGCCCAGGGTTGGTACCACCTCTGAACTGTGAGAGAACAGGGTGGGGAGGGAGAGTTTGATGGTTTTCCAGAAAGTTATTGTGGCAGCTTCAACCCTCATCAGGAAGCTGCTTCTGCCCCTTTGTGACAGGGAGAAGAACGAGGTAACCTGGCAAACCCAGAGCATTAAAATGAGGGAATCAGGGCCAGGCATGGTGGCTCATGCCTATAATCCCAGCACTTTGGGAGGCTGAGGCACACGGATCACTTGAGGTCAGGAGTTCGAAACCAACCTGGCCAACATGGTGAAACCCCTTCTCAGGGCTGGGAGGGGAGGAACTGTTCTGGGCCTCTCTCCTTGGCTTACAGAGGGACATCTACTCCCTGTGTCTCCTCACATCATCTCCCACTATACCTGTCTGTCTCTGTGTCCAAATTGCCCCTTTTTATAAGGACACCAGTTGGATTGGATTAGGGCCCACCCTAATGACCTCATTTTAAATTGATTACCTCTGCAAAAACTCAATCTCCAAATAAAATCATATTCTGGGGTGCTGTGGGTTAGGACTCCAACCTATCTTTTTGGGGGTGGTGGGGATTGCCTCATAATTTAGTGCAAAACACCTCCAGACCAGATCACCTTAATAACAGAACTGACGAAGCCCCTGGGATTGAGTTTAGCACTTGCAGTTCATGACCCAGCAGGAGTCACAGAGACAGACCCTGGCTGAGCTCGGTGGCTCACGCCTATAATCCCAGCACTTTGGGAGGCTGAGGCAGGTGGATCACCTGAGGTCAAGAGTTCAAGACCAGTCTGGCCAACATGGTGAAACCCCATCTCTACTAAAAATACAAAAATTAGCTGGGCGTGGTGGCAGGCACCTGTAATCCCAGCTACTCAGGAGGCTGAGGCAGGAGAATCTCTTGAACCCGGGAGGCAGAGGTTGCAGTGAGCCAAGATTGCACCATTGCACTCCAGCCTGGGCAACAAGAGTGAAACTCCATCTCAAAAAAAAAAAGAAAGAAAGACCCCCAATTACAGAGGGTAGACTTAGCACCATCCTGACTACCTCTAACAGGTTTTCCAAAAAAATCAAGGCTCTGTGTAGTGTTTTAAGGTTTTTTGTTTATTTGAGTCACTTATTTATTTTTCTTGCAAAATAATCATTCTACAGGGATAAATGCCTTTATTTGTATTCCTAACTGAGAATGAGCACAGTCTTTTGTGTTGGCTGGGCTCATTAGAAACAAGTCCCTGAGGTCTACAATGGGCTCATTTTCACAGTTACTAAGTAAAGTCAACCTCTTATGAAAATCGTAGTTTACAACTTTAAGTAAATAAACACAGTTTTCTACAAACATTCTAACAAATTTAGTTTCCTATAACAAATATTCACAGTCTCATATGTAAAAGTCTACAGTTCTTGGAACTATTAAAAATAAACCTTTCAATATTTCAGGAAAATTCCCTGTCCCCTTAGGAAATATGCTGGGACAGAAAATCAACTCTACGATGACAAGACATAGCGTAAATACAGATTTAACTTGAATTTCATGGTAACGGGTATGTAAATATTTGCTGCACTTCTCTCATCTATCTAAATAGAGGCTAATGGCTAATCCAGGGTTTTGCATTCTCAAAAGTGCTTGTGCCCTCTCAAGGCACCTGCTACCAAAGCTGAAAGCCTCTGGTCTCCACTTAATTTTAATCAAGTCTGATTTAAAAGTGTTTAGGGTTTATAATTGTTAATTCTACATAGCTGCTAGAAAACACTCCCAGGGCCCCTTTTCTAGAAGTCATGACCTTGTTTGGGTGGGGATGGGGGCGGCTCTTAGGGCAACTCACGTAAGATAAACATGGGTTGGGGGCAAAAATGTTGAGGCCAGCCTGCCCGGGTTGGAATTCTAGCTCTGCCATGCACTAGCAGCAAGTACTTGAGCAAAGTATGTTAATTTCTCTGAGCCTCAGTTTCCTCATTTGTAAAATGGGGATGATAATAATAATAATTTTGTTAGATCGTTCTGAGAATTGAATGAGATCATATGCGGGTGGTGGACGCTGTAATGTGACTCCCACTTCAGAAACAAAGCTTTCTTCTCCCAGCTGCTGGGCGTGCTGCCAAAGACAGCCTTCAGCTGTCCGCTCTCTTTGGGGGCTGTCTCAGCTGCAGACTGCCCTGCCCAAAATTATACCTCCTGCTAGGGTGGCTTGCATCAATGACTGATCAACGTAGGGATGTAAAGGCCTGTCCCCCTTGTCCCAACTCGGGACATCCCAGCTCCAGAGCTTCCCATGGGGCTGGCCGAGCTCTTCATTGGGACTGCATCACAGCTCAACTTCTCCCTCTGCCCCATCCTGCTTCCTACTCCTTCTTCTCCAAGTGTTGATCCACAGACACCTCCCCTCCTTCATAAACATCCTCTACTCTAATCCTTGACTCAGAGTCAGCTTCCCCAGCAAGAACAGTAAGTGACAACATATAAAGTATTCAGAAAAGCATTATTTAAGTGTCTGTTAAATAGAAAGTTAGCAGGTAAAACTGAAGTTAGAAACCACAGGATGTCCTCTATGCCTTGGAAGCAAAGATGTCTGGGTCCAAATTTGTCTCAGAGGTAGAAACTTTGGGAAGCTTCTAGAATGGGAAGGAGGGAACATCACTGGACTGCATGCCTCCAAGTCCCTGGAAAGTAGAGAAGCAAGGAAAGATTTGGGGGCTTCTCTGCACCTCGCTGCCCTGAAGCTCTCTAGGAGAGACTGGGGGAAAAGTAGGAAATGTGGAATTTTCTTCCAGAATTTTTCAATTTTTTTTAAATATGGGATCTCAGGATGATCTCTACTGTTAAGAGCTCGACACTGTTTCAGAGCAAGAACACCTGGGACAAACAGAAGAGTGGAATTTAGACCAGAGTGGAACAGACACTGGGGACAGCTCTTAGTCAGAGGTGCCTGGGATGGAGTTTAAGTTTCTCATTCAAAACTTCAAATGCCAAGCTTTTAAAGGAAGTGTCTCTCTCCATTGTGATATGGGCCCACTCCCAGTCAAGGAGTAAAGGACTGACCATGTACCCCTGACTCTTACCACTGGTCAGCTTGGACATATGCCCCTCATCCCCCATCAAAAAGCAGACATCAAAGGCATGAGACTAGTGTCATGCTAAGAAGGGGCTTTGGATGCAGTGGAAGCCCAGAGGGAGTGGAGATTGAGTCTGACTGGAGCAGTGAGGATAGGCTTCCCAGAGGAGATGACGTTCAAGGAGGGCCTTGACAGACGGGTAGAAGTTCTCCAGTCACACAAAGAGCAGAGGGATTTCTAGGCAGAGGAAATGGCACATCTATTGACACCTAGACACAAACAAGCAGAGGATGTTCAAGAAAAATGTAGGGGGTTCGGTGTGGCTGGAGCTTGGAGGACTTAAGAACTGCCTTGAGTGGAAGCTGGAGAATCACAAAGTGACCATGGCCAGCCCCAGATCCCAGACCAAAGAACTTGAATTTGATTTGGAAGGTGATGGGGAACCCACAGGAGCCCTCAAGCAGAGGATTGGCCGAGTCAGCCAGTGTTGTGGTAACATTATTTGGGTGATGGGTATGGAGGAGAAAGTAAAGGGCTCTCCTGGCCATAAGGCAGGACTTTCTGGTGTGGGCTCGTCAAATAGGAGAAAGCAACCTGAGTTTTGCACTTCCAGATGAAAGCTGGAAGACAAACACCCATTTGGAAAAGGCAGAAGGTCCCCGGTTGGAGGAGACCAGGGAGCTGGAGCAGTTTCCTCCGAAGCAGCTGTGGTGTACACGCGTTTGGATTTGGTTTGATTACTTAAACAGAATGTACTTCTCACTGCCTCTCCTTGTTTTATATCAACATCTGAGGTGGCCGCAACAGTATCCAAATTATCCAGGGACTTGCTCAGCAAACAGCAGACGCTCAGCCACAAATCACAGCTGGAGAGCCCGTTTTTCTATGGAATTTTCAGCCATAAAAGGGCCCAGATGTTCTAAGAAAATTTTCTTGGTGCTGAAAAGATGCCAGATCTTAGCGAAGAACTGCAAGAAGATGGTTAACTTTCAGTGGGCTCCTTGGAAAGTGGCCCTGGGAGGGATAATTGCACACAGGAGGTTTATCAGGGAGTGTTCCTGGAAGACACACCTGTGAGGAAGTGAGAGGGGCAGAGCTGGGTGGAGGGAGGAGCTGACCCACAATGCAGCAGCAGCTGAGGTCTGAGCCATTCCCACAGGAGCTAGGAAGCCTCCAAATGGAAGCAAGGAGGCTGGCCTTGATATCACCTGTGTTGGCCACTCCTTAGCCACAGGCTGTCATCTAGGAGGAGCAAGGAAGCTCGCACAGCTGAGTGCAATGTCCAGTAAGCAATGCCATTGTGAACTGATATCCTTGGCAGCTGAGGGATGGGTGCATGAGCCCTGAAGAGGGGAAATGGGCAGAGCTCCCCAATATCTACCACAGCTGGTATGTTAGGCTGTCCTTGCATTGCTATAAAGAAACAATTGAGACTGGGTGATTTACAAAGAGAAGAGGTTTAAGTGGCTCATGATTCTGCAGGCTGTACGGGAGGCATGGTGCTGGCATCTGCTCAGCGTCTGGGGAGGCCTCAGGAAGCTTTTACTCATGGCAGAAGGCAAAGTGGGAGCAGGCACATCACATGGCCAGAGCAGGAGAAAGAGGGAGAGTGGGGGAGGTGCCACATACTTTAAACAACCGGATCTCATAAGAACTCACCCACTACCGTGAGGACAGTGCCAAGCCATGACCCAAACACCTCCCCCCAGACCCCACCTCCAACACTAGGGATTATATCTCAACATGAGATTTGGAGGGGACATCCAAAGTGTATCAGCCAAGATCCAAATCTGCCTCCTGACCCATGAACCCCCAAAAGATACAGACTGTGCAGCTAGAGCAGGATTCAGAGACATGCCACATTCAGAAGAGAGGACCCAATTCAATCCACCCACGGTGGCCTCTGTAGTCCTTTGCATCAGCAAAGTCACATCCAAGCTCAAGGGCCACCTTGCTGGACAATGATGCCAGTAGCCTAAGAGCAGCCAGAAAGCCCCGCTGGAGACCCAAGATTACTCCAGAGAGCTGACTCTGCTATGCGCGATCTGCATGGGGTGGCCCAACTAGACAAGTGATTTTTGTAAGGGTGCCACCTTACTGAGTGACGGACTTGACTGTGAAACTTTTTAAAATACACATGCTCCCCTATTTCTACTTCAGAAAGTCTGAGATGGGCCTGGGTATCTGTATGTTTCTAAAGCTGAACAGGTGATTCTAATGCGCAGGCCTCCTTGAGATCCCACTCCAAGGCCAGCCTGGATCCACCAGTTCACAGGCGTGCGGGTCAGGGCAGACCTGGGATCACAGACTCTAATGCCGGGGGCTCAGGTGGGTGTCACTAGTATGAGTGAGTTGGGTGGAGACAGATGCTTCCCCAGTTGTCCCCTCCAAATCTCATGTTGAGATATGATCCCCAGTGTTGGAGGTGAGGCCTGGCGGGGGGTGTCTGGGCCATGGGATAGATGCCTCGTGGCTTGGCACTGTCCATACAGTAGCGCATGAGTTCTCATCAGCCGTGCTCTCTCCATGCTGTGTTCACCCTGTGAATCAGAACACAGTTCTGATACTTACTAAATGGGAATGGGGTCTCAGGGAGACCAGAGCTTTCCAGATAAACTCGAAATCCAGATTGGTATGCAACATCTGATTTTAAAATGCTGACGATTAACTCAAATATTCTTAACATCGTGTAAGCCACACAAAACCAATCTGTAGGCCTGGTTCTGTTCTTGGGGGCACCAATTCATGAATTCTGGTGTAGATCACCCCAGACCAGGCAGTGTGAGGAGTCCTATATAGACCAGTGTAGGCCGTGGGTTGACCAAAATGGACAAACCCAAACTAGACAGGTTGAACTATCCTGGATTTGACAGCATGAGTAGTCCTAGCTTGCAGACTTTAGCTCATACTCAATTAGCCAACCTGGAGCATTCTAAATCGAACGGTGTATGTTGTCTCCCCCTAGAGACATTTGTCAATATATGGAGTGTTTTTTTGTTTGTTTGTTTTTTGTTTTTGAGAGGGAGTCTCGCTTTGTTGCCCAGGCTGGTGTGCAGTGGTGCCATCTCGGCTCACTGCAACCTCCTCCTCCCCGGTTTAAGTGATTCTCCTGCCTTAGCCTCACCAGTAGCTGGAATTACAAGTACCCACCACTACGCCTGGCTAATTTTTGTATTTTTAGTAGAGACAGGGTTTCACCATGTTGGCCAGGCTAGTCTCAAACTCCTGACTTCAGGTGACCCGCCCACCTTGGCCTCTCAAAGTGCTGGGATTACAGGCATGAGCCACCGCACCCAGCCTATGGAGTCTTTTTTATTGTCACAGCTGGGTGGATGCACTGTCCTCTAGTGGGTGAAGGCCGAGGATGTTACTATCTACATATCCTACGATACACAGGACAGCCACCCCCACCTCCAATAAAGAATTATCCATCCAAAAACTCAATAGCATCACTGTTGAAAACCCTGACGTAGAACATGCTGGATAAAAATGGTAGCTACCAGTCACATATGACAATTAAGCACTTGCTAAGTGGCTAGTGAAACTAAAGAACTAAATGTTTTGTTTTTATTTTAATTCAATTCATACTTTATGAAATCTAAATGCTAATCAGGTATTTCCAGCAAAATGTTAACATCTGAATTGAGATGTCCTGTAAGTATAAAATATACACCAAATTTCAATGTCACAGTGTAAAAAAAACTCACTGATAATTTTTTATTAATTACATGTTGATTTGATTATATATATACACTATATATATACACACACACATATGTGTATATATACATGTATATATTTTTAGACAGTCTCTCTCTGTCACTCAGGCTGGAGTATAGTAGTGTGATCTCAGCTCACTACAACCTCCGCCTCCCAACTTTAAGTGATTCTCCTGCCTCAGCCTCCCAAGTAGCTGGGACTGCAGGCGTGTGCCACCATGCCTGGCTAGTTTTTGTATTTTTAGTAGAGACAGGGTTTCACCATGTTGGCCAGGCTGGTCTGGAACTCCTAGACTCAAGCAATCCTCCCACCTCAGCCTCCCAAAGTGCTGGGATTACAGGCGTGAGCTACTGCACCCAGCCTAATTTGATAACATTTTTGATAGATTGAGTTAAATAAATATTATCAATGTTGATTTCACCTGTTTCTTTTTACCTACTAGAAAATGTTAAACAGGTGGCATGCACTGTATTTCTATAGAAAAGAGCTGGTGTAGAAATCTCGGATTCTCCAGCATAGATAGTCCTGGGTCAAACAGAGTAGAACATTCTGGATAGGGAAGTTGGAGGTAGAGGGGGAGATGAGATGAAGAGGGGAGAGGAAGGTAGATCACAGGCTCTGGGAGGAGTTTGTAGCTCCCATGACCTAAGTCACTGGGGAGGCACTGGAGGATTTTAAGCAACAGAATGATGTAATTAGATTTGTGTTCTACAAAGATCCCTCTGGCAAAAGTGCGAAATGGATTGGAAAAAGACAACTCTGACTTTTCCATAGAAGATGTCCTAGCAGAGATTGTGACTGTATTAGGCTCCTCATTGCATCTGCCATGCCACCTGGCAGACGCATGAGTGACACTCAGTAAATACTTGAATGAATCAATCAATCCCAATCAGTCAATGGCAGGTGCTAAAGAAACCCCTGGCGCTCTGTTCCCTGGTCCAAGGTCATACCTGAGTGTGGTCCAGGAGACAGCAGAGCCTGTTTCTCATCTTTTCTGAGTACAGATTAATCCCCAGCTCTCACCCTCCTACATTAAAAAAAAAAAAAAAAGGAGCATGAAGAAAAATATCATTTCTTGGAAAGCAACACTTCTCAGTGGCTGTTTTTCTTCTTCAAATTATTAGGCGAGAATATGTTTTTCAGAGGGAGGAATTGAAGGCATAAAGCCCAGAATCCATGTTCCCCAAAAAATTGTGTTTACTTTCTATGCAAAGAGAAGCGAGGCGAATGGAAACTCCATCAGCTGGGGAGTGGGTGCTGTGGAGCCTTACGGAGAGTGTATTAGTCCGTTTTCACACTGCTATAAAGATACTACCCCAGACTGGGTAATTTATAAACAAAAGAGGTTTAATTGACTCACAGTTCCACATGGCTGGGGAGGCCTCAGAAACTTACAGTCATGGCAGAAGGGGAAGCAGGCACCTTTTTCACAAGGCAGCAGGAGAGCGAGTGACAGTGAAGAGGGAAGAGCCCCTTATAAAACCATCAGAGCTCCTGAGAACTCACTATCACAAGAACAGCTGGGGGAAACTGCCCCCATGATCCAATCACCTCCCGACGCTTGTGGATTACAATTCAAGATGAGACTTGGGTGGGGACACAGAGCCAAACCATATCAGAGAGCAAGGGACTGGCTCACTGATTCCACCTAGGAGTGGGACAAGGATGGAGCAAAGCAAGTCCCCGACCCCAGCACCAAGCCCACAGCTGATGACTTTCAGGCTGTGTGACCCCGGGCAAGTCTACACAACCTCTCTGGACTCACCCTGGTCCCCCAGGGTAGTTTCTTTAGCACAGGGGGTGGCACCTAAGAGTCCCCAGCAGAAGACCCCACAGACACCTGGATGGGTGGGACAGGAGTGGGAACACAAGGACAGCAAGGGGAACAACTCAGCTGTGCAGCTGCCAGCAGGGGGCAGCAGGGAGGGTGGTCCCTGACCCTCTGGGCTGCAGTTTCCCTGCAAGGAAGGAAGAAATGGGATTGTCCCTAAGCTCCCGTTGATGCTGCGTGTGTGAACTCTCCTCTGTGGGGCATGTGTCAGGCAAGGCGGACACCAGGAAGCCTCAGCAAGCACCAAAATCTAAAGCCGAGGAGAGGGTGGTGAGCTGGAGCTGCCTTTCCTGGGGGAGCACGGGCTCCTTCGAGGGCTGGAGGGGCCCCCACTTCCCAGAACAGTTGGTCAAGGTCTTCTCCCCATCCTCCTTAACAAATTCCTTTCTGGTGGAAGGAGTGCCCCCCCCCCGCCACCTCCCCGTTCCTCTTCCTGCAGACTGGCATTGCCCACTCCTGTCCCCACCCCAAAGGTTAACATCGCAAAGAGAGGGACATTTTTTACTATAATTCAAGGGGAAGGGGGGCACAATGAGGCCTGTGTCCCACGCTGTCAGGAAGTTCACCTCTGTGGTGTGAGGGTTACGTGGATGGATGTTCAGATATCGTGCCTGGAAACTCCTTCTCCCTCTCCTCCTCTGCCTTCAAAGCTTCCCCACCACCTTCCAGAAGGAGAACAATGGAAAACCCCCAGCAGGGGCTCAATGCAGGAGAGTGGGAACCCAGGAACGGTGGGTGAGGCAGTAAAAAGACTGAGCCATAGGAGGAGGACCAGAAACATCTGCCACCCTCAGAAGTGGACAAAGACCCCACGTCCCGGAACAGAGCCTAGGAGATGCCGAAGGGACCAGAGCGGTCTCCCCCAGTGGTGTGTGTGAATAATCGATGGTTCCCCTAAAACTGGAGCGGAAAAAAACTATGTTCGCCACCTGCGATTTGTGTGCTGGGCCCTCCCCTCCCCCAGTAAGGGGCTAGAGCCTCAGAACACACAAAGCAAAATACACACTGAGCGCTTCCAACACTGCCTCCTGGCTTCTGCCAGGAGTGTCTTCTCTGCCAGAGACCATGAATTCCCCTGACCCTGAGTCTTTTCTCACCCCATTTCCCAGCCCAAGTTCCCCTCGCTTCCTCTCTGACCTTCCCAGACTGTGGGACCACCTTCTCCAGGCCACTTCACTGGCCCCATAAGCCTCCTTTATCTGAATACGTATTGCTTTATAAATATTGATCGATGGCCCACTGTGCAAGGCACTTTCACAATCAAAATCCCATTTCATCTTCATAGCAAGCTTTGGAAGCCGACTGTGGAATTGTGCCCACTTTTCAGATGAGGACTTTGAGGCCCTCAGGTTCAGGTCCCTGGGCAGAGCTGTCCAGCAGTTATTTGTGACTGGAAGAAACTCAAGTCATGTACCCCTGCTCCCCTCCTCCTCTTCCACTTCCTCACGGTCATCATCCCCTCCATCCCCACAGTCTGAGGGAGAGAGCATCCACGCCAGCTGGCTTGATAAGGTGGAAAGAGCACAGACTTTGGAGTTAGATGTGGGTTTGAGTCCTGACTCTGCTACTCACCAGCTTTTTGATCCAGGTAAATCTTCTCATCCCCTCATCTGGCAGGGACTAAGTAGCCTTAACTACAAATTGGAGGTTTTGTCATCCAGACCCCATCAAATAGCCAAAAGGAGATGATGAGGCAGTATGGATGCAGCTCCTCGTACCGGGTCAGTAGAGATGGCATCATTGTCCTCATCACAGCGATGGCGAGTCACAGGTGAGGAAGGTGAGGCCAACAGATGCCAAGCAACTTGCCCGAGATCCCATAGCAGGCAAGCAGCCAAGATGAGCTTCAGATTCAGGTCTCTTGACTCTAGCTTGAAGGCTATCTTTTGTCCTCCCTCTATTTCTACTGAACTTGGTTTCAGCAGGAAGCAGATTGAGCAGCCCAGAGCCAGAGGGCAAGTGACAAGCTGACTTGGCTTTCCTTGAAGAGCATCCATAACCCCACCTTCCTCCAGCTCTGGCAGAGGACAGAGCTCAGCAAAGCCAGTTTCCCAGCCATTCCCCCCAGCCTTGCTAGGCATCAGCCAAGCAAAACATCACCAGGGGATTTAAGAAACACTGTGCATTGGGCATTAAGAGATTGGCCATTGCTGCCTTCTAGTGTCCCTGTAAAAAAGGTCAGTCACTCCAAGGCTTGAAGTTCATGGACCAAAAGAAAAGAATACATTTGGGGGAAAAGAGTTGCCCACACTTTATTTCACACTAAATTAGATTGTGCCACTTTCATTGCTTGACATTCTCCAGTGCTGCCATCTAGTGGTGGATCCGATATAGTAGCCATTAGTCATTATGTAGCCGTTTGAATTTAAATTTAAAGTAATTAAAATTAAATAAACCTGAAATTTCAGTTCTTCAGTCACACTAGCACACTCCAAGTGTTCAGTAGCCACATGCAGGTAGTGGCTACCATATTGACCATTACAGATACAGAACACGTACATCATCACAGAAGCATCTATGGCAGAGGTCCTCAACCCTTGGGCTATGGACGAGGTATGGGTCTGTAGCCTGTTAGGAACCCGGCTGCACAGCAGGAGGTGAGCAGCGGGCAAGTGAGTATTACCACCCGAGCTCCGCCTCCCGTCAGATCAGTGGCAGCATTAGATTCTCGTAGGAGCGCGAACCCTATCGTGAACTGCACATTCGACAGCTCTAGGTTGTGCGCTCCTTATGAGAAACTAATGCCTGATGATCTGAGGTGGAACAGTTTCATCCCGAAAACACCCCTCCACTGTTCATGGGAAAATTGCCTTCCATGAAACCAGTCCCTGGTGCCAAAAAAGTTGGGGACAGTTCCACTGCAGCAGCTTCCCATTATCGGATTTACGATGAAGCATCATACTCCTAGCCATTACCCAGATGATCCAGCCCAAGGCTCAGAGCATGATTTTCCTAAAATCCACAAAGCTAACACATGCTGAAACAGATGTGAACCCATGTCTGGCCCATAAGCATTCGCCATCACTTTCGAGTTCTTCATCACTCCACAGCATGAGGAAAGATCCCTTGTCCTACTCCTCCCAAGCATAGCTCGACCCCTCTTCAGGCCTCTGCCCCGATGGCTTGTCACATGGTAAGTGCTGAGATGCCATTCTGCCCACAACCATACCAAGGTCAAAGGCAGAATAAGGCTCCAAGGTGTGGCCTGCACTCTTCTTTTCCATCCACAGGAGGAGCATTTCCATGGGCCACTAGCTCTTGTCAGCCAAGAGCCCAGAATGGACAGAGAAGGGAGCAGGAGGGATCCTTTTAAAACAACAACAACAAAAAAAAAAAAACATAGCCTGGAAGAAATTTCTTGATGCAACAAACATGTAAACACATGTTTACGCTCAGGGGCACACATCTGGCTGGCACACACTCACACATATAAAAGATAAACACACTCAAGGACACACAGGAGCCAGGTGCGATGGCTCACACCTGTAATCCCAGCACTTGGCAGAAACCAAGGCAGGAGGATCACTTGAGGCCAGGAGTTTGAGACCAGACTGGCCAACATGGTGACACTCTGTCTCTAAAAAGAAAAGAAGAATTTTTTTTAAAAGCAAGGACACACAGGTTCGTTAATACAGACGAACAATGCCCACAACCAAAGCCTTTCACAAAGACAGCCAGGAGTGTCCCCCAACTTAATTAATGAAAAGAGGTTTCTCTGAAGTCGTGGCCTTCCAGTTTTAGCTCTAATAAATCTCCAAGCTCCAAAGACAAGCACCCATGAAGGCTGTTCAGAGGCACACAAGCAGCCTCACAGACTGACTGAAAGCCGGTGAACACATGTGCCAGCAGAATGATGAGGCAACAAGAGACAGGTGCTAAAAGGTGGCCCACAGGGGACAGTCTGGGTGGAGGACAGCAATGATGGCATCCCAGGAAACAAACACATCCCTCTGTCCAGAGCCCTGGACAGACAAAGCAGATACCAGAGCCACCTCCTGGCCGCCCCAGGTGAAACACAAGTCCTCCACAGCACACCCAGTCTCAGTTCAAACCTCCTAGACAACAGCAGTCAAAAAGGTGCTCCACTCCCCCAGCCCCTCCAGAGAGCCCTGATGGGGCTGTGCTGTGGGGCCTGAGTAGAAACCCACAGTGAGGAGAGATAGGTGGGGCAGGGTCCTCCCTCTGATCCTTCCTGACCACTCCTCATGTGGGGGAAGAAAGCCGAAAATACCTAGGTTCTCTGAAAGAATATCCAGTCCCGTGGTTAGACTCTGAGAATACCTGGGACATTCTCAGCACCCAGAAAACACACAGGAGGTAAGGATATTCTATGCAGTCCCCACATCTCAGACTGTCAGAGCTGAAGGGAGGGCATCGCGAAGCTCAGCTGCTCCATTTTGCAGATGTGAAGGCTGAGCCCAGAATGGGCAGTGATCTTCCTCGCAGAGTTGCACAGCCAGTCAGTGTGAAAGCCAGAACTAGAATCCAGTCTCTTGACACCCATCCCAGTGCTCCCTCCCAGCTCTGCTCCTGACCCGGGACAGTCACACCCACCTCCGAGCCTTGGTTGACCCATTTGTAAAATCAGTCTCTTGGCCTTGACAGCCTCTCAGGTTCCTTTCTGCCTCCTCATCATGCCATTCTCTGATACATGAAGTGGGAGAGGGACACAGATTTCCAGAATTTACTCAGTTTGTTCTTTCTGGGGGGCGGATGCAAATGGAGACTGCAGGCAAGGCCCATTGAGATCTCTACACTCATTCATCCAACAAGTACTAATCCACCATCTGCTGGGTACTGGGCTCACAAGGAGGTGGGTACTCCTTGGTCCTGAAGGCAGTGGAGAAAGGCTTCCACTCGTGGAAGGGTGTTGAAAGTGATGTGCCCAGGCTGGGTGCAGTGGCTCACACTTGTAATCCCAGCACTTTGGGAGACCAAGGCAGGTGGGTCACCTGAGGTCAGGAGTTCGAGACCAGCCTGGCCAACATGGTGAAACCCCATCTCTACTAAGAATACAAATATTAGCCAGGCATGATGGCACAGACCTGTAGTCCCCACTACTTGGGAAGCTGAGGCAGGAGAATCGCTTGGACCTGGGAGGCGGAGGTTGCAGTGAGCGGAAATTGCACCACTGCACTCCAGCCTGGGCGACAGAGGTAGACTCCATCAAAAGAAAGAAACAGAGAGAGAGAGAGGGAGGGAGGGAGGGAGGGAGGGAGGAAGGAAGGAAGGAAGGAAGGAAGGAAGGAAGGAAGGAAGGAAGGAAGGAAGGAAGGAAAAAGAAGAAGTGATGTCCCCAGATTTGCATAGGGGACAGATCACCATAACAACCAGGCTGGAATCTGGACTGGAGGTAGGGAGTTGGAGGGCAGCTAAGCTTGGCCCCTGCAGTGGCTCATTCCATAGAGAGAGGCTGTAGCTAGGAGAGTGGAGGCAGTGAATGAAGAGGGAGGCATGGGCTCAAGAGATATTAGAAGCAAAACGTCTCAGGAACTGTTGCTGAATGGATAAGAAGGACAAGTGAGAAAGCGGGGAGCATGAGCTTATGCATGGGCAAGACCTCAGAAGGATGCCCAATACATGGGGCCTCAAGGAGATGTTACTCTCCCACCCACACTCTTGTCACTCTAACCCTTCCATTGAGCTGCCCAGGAGACCCATTGTCCCCTACCTGCTTTCCCCCATTTCCCCCCACCTGCTTTCGGCTGGGGTGTCCCACCCCAGAGGGCTGTGCTGCTTCCAGGAGCCATGTCCAATGAAGGAGCAAGGACTCCTGGGTAGCCCAGATCACGTCTCCCCCAGTGGGGCCAGACCAAGTGTCTTGCCAACTGGCACAGACAACACTCATTGACTCATTCATTCATTTATTCATTCATTCATTCATTTACTCATTTATTCAACCCACCGTGGGCCTGAGGCAGGGCTGGGCACTGGACACCAAAGACAGTAAAGCAGATGCAGGGTTCCTGACCTTGTGGGGCTCACAACCCAGATGGGAGACAGGCAGGAAACACAGAGGCAGACACAAACAGAACTACAAATGGTGGTAAGCGCTCCGAAGGCCAAACCAGAGGCTGAGAAGGGGGCTGAGCGGGGCAGGGTAAGGTCTGGTTGGGAAGGCAGAAGAGGAAAGCACATTGGAGCAGAAACCCGAAGAGTGAGAAGGAGCTGGCTGCGCAAGAAGTGGGGAAGCTGAACAGACATTTCTCAAAAGAAGACGTACAAATGCCAACAGGTTCGTGAAAAATACTCAGCGTCACTAATCATTAGGGAAATGCAAATTAAAACCGCAATGAGATGCCACCCCTCACCTGTTAGAATGGCCATTAACACGAAAATAAAAGACAAGCGTTGGCGAGGATGTGCAGAAAGGGGAAGCCTTGTGCACTGTTGATGGGAATGTAAATTGGCACAGCCATCATAGAAAACAGTATGGGAGTCCCTCGAAAAACTAAAACGAGAACTACCATATGATCCAACAATCTCGCTTCTCCATATATACCCAGAGGAACTGAAATAAAATCGTTAAAGGGATACCTGCAGTCCTGTGTTCGTTACAGCATTATTACAACAGCCAATATACAGAATCAACCTAAGTGCCCATCCCATGGATGAATGAATAAAGAAAATGTGACATACATACACAAA
This sequence comes from Homo sapiens, assembly GCF_000001405.40. Lineage (NCBI taxonomy): Eukaryota > Metazoa > Chordata > Mammalia > Primates > Hominidae > Homo > Homo sapiens. Next base: position 66,349,071 of record NC_000016.10, read on the forward strand.
TGGAACACTATTCAGCCTTTAAAAAGCAGAAAATCCTGTCATTTCCGGCAATGTAGATGAACCTGGAGGACATTATGCTAAGTGAAATAAGCCAAGCTCTGAAAGACAAATTCCACATGATCTCATCTACATGTGGAATCTAAAAAAAAGTTGAATTCACAGAAGTAGAGAATAGAATAGTGGTTACCAGGGGCTAGTGGGGAGAGTTGGAGGAGGGAATGTGGAGCTGTTGATTAAAAGTTACAAAGTGTCAGCCAGGTTTGGTGGCTCACACCTGTAATCCCAGAACTTTGGGAGGCCGAGGTAGGTGCATCACCTGAGATCAGGAGTTCAAGACCAGCCTGGCCAACATGGTGAAACCCCGTCTCTACTAAAAATCCAAAAATCATTTGGGTGTGGTGGTGCACGCCTGTAATCCCAGCTACTCAGGAGGTTGAGGCAGGAGAATTGCTTGAACCCACGAGGCGGAGGTTGCAGTGAGCCAAGATCACACCATTGCACTCCAGCCTGGGCAACAAGAGGGAAACTCCATCTCAAAAAAAAATCAAAAATACAAAGTGTCACAGAGAGAGGAGGAATAAGTTTTGAGATCTACTGCACAACAGGGTGGCTCTTGTCAATCATATATGTCATATACGGTCATGTGAATAACAACATTTTGGTCAGCAGTGGACCACGTATATGATGGGGGTCCCAAAAGATTGTAATGGAGCTGCTGTATATAGGTGTACTATTTTTTATCTTTTATACCATATTTTTACTGTACCTTTCCTATGTTTAGATATGTTTAGATTTACAAATACTTACCATTCACTACAGAAGCATGTTGTACAGGTTTGTAGTCTAGGAGCAATAGGCTCTACCATATAGCCTAAGTGTGTAGTAGGCTGTATCATCTAGGTTTGTGTGAGTTCACTCCATGATGTTCACACAACAATGAAATTACCTAACAATGCACTTCTCAGAATGTCACCCTGTCGTTAGGTGACTTGTGACTGTATTTCAATAATTAAGACAGTAAGTTTCAAACATCTCACCACAAAAAAAAAAAAAAAAGGCAAATGAAGTGAGGGATATGTTAATTCACTTGATTTAATTATTTCACATTGTATACATGTATGAAAACATCACACTGTACTCCATAAATGTATATAATTATGATTTGTCAGTCAAAGTCATTTTAAAAAGAAGTGGGGAGAAGAGCATTGCAGGCGGAGGGAACAGCACGTACAAGGTTCCGGAGGTGGGAAATCTTACCACCAAGCCAAATGGCTTCATAATACAAGGGAATGTGGTCCAGAGAAGAAAGGATGGACTCAAAGTTACACCAAGCATCAGTGTCAGGGTCAGGAAGAGAAACCGAGCCAGGGGATACCCTGGCTCGAGCCACCACTCCTGCAGAGTGGCCGCATGCCCTGGTTCAGCTCCAGCAACCCCAGGACTCTGCACTCCACCTAACCCTGCCTCAACCTCCATGGTTCAGCGTTTTCATGCTGCCTCCCTGAGCCTCAGTCTTCCCATCTCTAAAATGGGGTTGTTTTCACCTAGAAAGATGGCCGTGGTAACACAAGGTAGCCCTCCCCAGCCCCACACCTGGCACATAGAACATACCAAGTTCACATGTTCATGCTCTCTGTTTGTCCCCTTCCCTTGTTGCAAGTGAGCATGCACCCTGTGCAGTAGGGTGCAGTAGGGTCTTCCCTACTGAGGACAGAACTCACCTGGAGCCCTGGTAACCATATGGCAGCCTCGCGGCCCCTCCCAGGAGGTTCAGGTTCAGCGGGGCTGGCTGGGGCTGCAGCACTGTGGTTTTTACAAGTTCCTAGGTGACTCTCGCCATCAGGAGACAGAGGAGCCCTGCTGAGTGGGATGGAGTCACACAGACTCTGGTGGGATGGTGGATCAGTATCTGCCTCACTGTGTGGCTTTGAAAAATCAAAGATGCTACTATTCCAGAGGGAGCACTGGATGAGATTTCAGGCTCCCACCCTCCAGTCCAAGAACAGAGTAGGTGCTCAGCCAATTGTGTTATTGTGGGACACTCAGCAATGGATGCAGGCAAGGGGGACCAGGAGGAAGGCCCCCCCAGTAGGCACACAGCAAGCCAGGGTTGGCCCTCCACCTGACCTTTGGGTCAGTTAGGTCCTGCCAGGAGATAAAGGGTCCCAGCAGTGGGGTGCAAAGCTTTAGGTCAAGGCATTCCCCCAACGGGGAGCCTTAGTACTTGGAAGGGAAACTGACCACAACACAAAACAACAGCTGCCCCCATTTCTGACTCCTGGTGTGTGATCCGTGCATCCTAGCAGGTGCCTTGCCAACACCCTCTCCTTTAAGCCCATTGCGGGTTGCAAGGCAAGATGCATGATGGCTGCATGGACCATGAGCCCTCGGCACTTTTGCCTTCGTGGGCCCCTTCCTCCCTAAAACAAAGATTATACTTTATCTGCTGAGCGCAGTAGCTCACACCAGTAATCCCAGCACTTTAGGAAGCCCAGGCAGGTGGATCACTTGAGGTCAGGAGTTCAAGACCAGCCTGGCTAACATGGTGAAACCCATCTCTACTAAAAAGACAAAACTTAGCTTGGCATGATAGCATGCACCTATAATCCCATCTACTGGGGAGGCTGAGGCAGGAGACTCACTTGAACCTGGGAGGCGGAGGTTGCAGCGAGCTGAGACCACACCACTGCACTCCAGCGTGGGAGACAAAGAGAGACTCCATCTCAAAAATATTAAATTAAATTAAAAAATAAAGATTATACTTTATGCTTTTTGGTATAAACCCATATACAACTAAGCCTGGCTTATATTTATTTTTTTCTTCTGATTTTAAAATAAATTAGAATATTTTTGTATGTCCCTGTATTCACTTTTTTTTTTTTTCAGTTTTTATTTATATTTTTGTTTTTTAGAGACAGAGTCTCGCAATGTTGCCCAGGCTGGAGTGCAGTGACACAATCATAGCTCACTGTAACCTCGAACTCCTGGGCTCAAGTGATCCTCCTGCCTCAGCCTATCTAGTAGCTGGGACTACAGGCACATGCCATCCTGTTGGGCTAATTGTTTAAAGCTTTTTTAGAGATGGGGGTCTCACTATGTTGCCCATGCTGGACCTGGCCTCAAGTGATCCTACTGCCTCAGGCTCCCAAGGTCCTGCTGTTTGCCACTGCACCCAGCCTGTATTAGTTTCTTCTTGCTGCTATGACAAGCTACCATAAATTTAGTGGCTTAAAACAATGCAGATGTATGACTTCATAATTCTGGAGGTGAGAAGTCCGCAATGGGTGTCCCTAGGCTAAAACCAAGGTGTTGGCAGGGCTGCATGCCTTTCAGGATGCTCTATGGGAGAATCCACTTCCTTGCCTTTTCCTGCCACATTCCTTGGCTTGTGGACCTTTCCTCCCTCTTCCTACACATTACTTACATTACACACATTCTTACCTCCCTCTTTACATTACACACATTCTTACCTCCCTCTTTACATTACACACATTCTTACCTCCCTCTTCTTACACATTACTTACATTACATTACATTCTGACATTACTGTGATACTCAGTCTCCGTCTCCCTCTTCCACATTCTAGGACCCTTGTAATCACTTTGGGCATCCCAGGAAAATCTCTCTATTTAAGCTCATCTAATCAGCAACCTTAATTCCACATACAGCCTTCATTCCCATTTGCCATGTGGCATAACATTGTCAGTTTCCAGAGATTGAGATGCGGACCTCTTCACGGGCCATTATTCTGCCAACCGCATCCCTTAAAAGTAGCTTGGGTCCTAGGAACTGTGTTTCCTGTGCCTAAAATGCATACATTGGTCCTGGGCATTACTATTCCCCTTTATAGCTGAGAAAACTGAGGCTCAGAGAGTGGAAGCAATTCACCCAACGTCACACAGCCAGGAACCATGGAGCTAAAATGCCAGCTTCACCTTGCCTTGTTCTGAAGCCAGGGGTGGGGTGGGTGGCTGTGGTCAGGGTTCTGGGGAAGGTCACACTGGGGGACCAAAGTCATCTGCACCAACAGGCACAGCACCTGGGAGGGCCTGGGTTTGGTGGAGAGGGGAAGTGCTGGATGGCAGAGGTTGCCCCATTCCCTTCTGCCAAGGCTCCCAGTACTCAAGCAGGGAGGCAGCGCCTGCAGGCACCGCGCAGCAAGCAGGGGAGAGCCAGGGAGTGTTCCAAGGCTTCGTGATTCACAGCCCAGCAGATGCTTCCCTGAACCAATATGCTAATTCTTCACAAAACAGATTCATTTATCTGACATTTATGACCGGAGACAGAAATCATGTTGGGGGAAATGTATCACTTTTCAAATTCACATTTGTTTCTTCCTCATCACCTACCAGCAAGCAGATGGGGCAGAGAGTTATTTATTTGAGGTTCCTGTTAACCGATAACTAAGTCACTAACACACTACGAAAATCAAATGCAATTACGCAAGAAGAGACGCTGGAGACCCCAGTGTGCCCACAGAGCCCAGAGAGGCCAACAGTGGCGGGGGGCGCTGGGGAGGGAGTACGTCCAGTAGAAGTCAACTGAACTCTGAGCCTGGGAATTGGGAAAGTGACAATAGATGTTCCCAGGGCCACAGCAGGACACAAGCATGGTGAGGAAGGGGAAGGACCCAAGACTTGAGGGCAGGGCCCCCAAAAGCTGATTAACCCACCTCCCAGAATAGTAACACTGGCTGCTTACAGTGTGCCTACTAGGTGCTGGACATCTGGCAGACAGCTTCTTCGTTAACCTCCACGGTGGGACAGCCATGGCTGACGTGTATTAACACGCTGACTATGGATGACATTGTCCCTGCATCTCACTCAGCGCCTGCCGAAAGTGTTCCCAGTTTTCCAGGTGAGAAAACCAAGGTGCAGAGAGGTGAATTCACATACCCATGATCACACAGCTCAGGGGCTGGGATTCACAGGTGGGCACCAAAGGCCAGAGAGAGGCAGGTCTCCTCGCTCTGCCAGCCAGGTCTGAGAACCAAGAGTCCCACTGAGGGAGGCCGCCAGACCCTCTCCACTTCCCCAAATCCACCACCTGCCAAGGCAGCGCCACTGGAATCTCTGCTGCTGCTGCTGTTGCTGCTGCTGCTCACCCCACAATTGATGAGGGTCTCAGGATGAAAGCAGAGAAGGAGGCGGAGGGCAGGGGGGAATTCACCACCACCACTCCATTCCCCAGCTGCCCACCCCAATTCCCTAACAGATAATTCTCCCTAATGTTTATTGCCTTTCTGCTTATTTATTAGCCAGGCTATGTCAAAATGTATGCTAAATCAATGTTGTAGCACAGCTCAGCTGTGAGGATTGATTTCTTTTATTTAAGGTGAAACAAGTTTAGTTTGGAGCCCAGAGCAAAATTCTAACGTGCTGAAAACATGCTGCCTGGCAAGATTCCTGGGAAGGATTCCTAAGAATCCTCCCAAAAGCTGGAGCCCCTCTGGGAAAGCAGCCTTCAAGGCACATGGTTCCCAAGGTACCACCAGCAAATCCAAGGAGGACAAGAGAGAGGGAAGGTTCAGGGCTGAGTCCCTCCCATGTGCCCAGTAAGAGCAAAACAGAAACCACCACCTCAGCAATGTTGGGGAGGGTATGTGTGTCCTCCCTCCCACTCCCTAGCTCAGATTACTAAATACAGAAACTGAGGCACAGAAGTGTTGAGAAACTCACCCAAGCCACATAGCTAACTCGAGGTCATCTGCCTCTAAATCTACGAGACTTCCCCAAATTGCGTAGCTGTTGAGTTTTTTCTCCCAGAGTAAATTCACTGAGTTTCTGAATCCACATCATAAAATGAATTACCGTAAAGCAAGACACGTTTTCCCGCAGAAACAATGTTAAGATATTCAGCCAGGCTTCCTGACCAATGGCTAGGCGTCCAGTACATCATAAATACGACCAACCCAATGTCATAAATATAAATGTGCAAAAACTATAAATGTCTTAATAATCAGCTGAAAATGTAAACCCTAAATGGTCATGTAAAATTTGTCACAAGTCCTAGAACTCAGAAATATAGTGAGCATATTTGTCATAGAAGAAACCCCAAAGTATTATAAATAAAGCATACATTCCATGTGGAAAAAATATAGTCCTCCCTTATCATAAACTTGACTTTAAAGAAATAAATTGCTAGAGCAGAATTATAGAATTGCAGAGGGAAGAGGGACCTTAAATATTATTTCTTTCTAGACCCTATCTGTTGCTGAGATCCTTACCACAACAGCACTGCCAGTGTTTTCCAGCCTACACTTGAACATCCCCTAAGGATGGGGAGCTCACTACCTCCATGGCTTCCTATTCTACTTTTTTTTCTTTTTCTTTTTCTTTTTTTTTTTTTTTTTTTTCTGAGACAGAGTCTCGCTCAGTCACCCAGGCTGGAGTGCAGTGGTGCGATCTCAGCTCACTGCAACCTCCATCTCCCAGGTTCAAGCAAATCTCCTGCCTCTGCCTCCCGAGTGGCTGGGATTACAGGTGCCTGCCACCACACCTGGTTCATTTTTGTATTTTTAGTAGAGATAGGGTTTCACCATTTTGGCCAGGCTGGTCTCGGACTGCTGACCTCAGGTGATCCGCCCACCTCGGCCTCCCAAAGTGCTGGGATGACAGGCGTAAGCCACCGCGCCCAACCCTGTTCTATTTTAGGTTAAACTTTCCCATAGTTGTTTCCTGTACATTCTCTGCTTGCCCTGAAAGGAATGAACATGGTACCAGCAGGCCCTGAGGGAGGTTCTGAGTTATTTAACCTCTAGGAGCCTCAATTTTCCCATCTGTCAAATAGGGATCAATAATAATACCTATTTCATGCATTGTTGTGAAGGTCAAATAAGGTCGTCCATGTCAGCTATCATTATTTTATTAATACTATTATTATCCCAACCATTGACCAAGTGGTCCTCAGTTTCTCTCATATTTGTCTCCCATCTTTGGGCAGCTGCTTTTGACTTTTTTTTTCCAATCCCAAATACAGGGCCCTCAACTCATCCTTGTAATGTTTCCTATTGATATTTTGAATCATTTCCTCACCCTGACAAGACCTCTGGATCCTGACCCTGTTGTCCAGCCCATCCTCCATCCCATCAGGGTTTAAAGAGCCCATTGATTGGATCAGTAGACAATCGTCTTCATCTAAGTTGATGATAAAGAATGCTGGTCCAGACCAGGCACAATGGCTTACACCTGTAATCTCAACACTAGGAAGCTGGGGTGGGAGAATCAGCTGAGGTCAGGAGTTTGAGACTAGCCTGGGCAACATAGAGAGACCCTGTCTCTACAAAAAATTTAAGAGTTAGCTGAGCATGGTGGTGCACACCTCTCGTACCAGCTACTCAGGAGGCTGAAGTGGGACAACAGCTTGATCCTGAGAGGTCAAGGCTGCCATAAGCCCAGGAGGTTGAGGCTGCAGTGAGCCATGATCACACCGCTGCACTCCAGCCTGGGTGACATTGCAAGACTGTCTCAATAATTAATTCATTCATTAATTTTTTAAAAGAATGCTAGTCTAGATGGGCCTGGAATAGAATCTTGTGGCATACCACTGGAGACCTCCCTTGGGGCCAATGTGTCCCAAACTGTATTCCTTGGAAATTTTTGCCTCCCATGAGATGTGAGTATGTGTTTGGGAATAAAAGAGGCTGCAATCAGATGAGATTGATACACAACAGATGCTAAAACAGCGTTTACATGAAGAAGCAAAGACACGACATCTAATGGTAAGCTTCCAGGCTAGAGGCTTTACCTTCCAATAGTACAAGCCCTTAAATCTCTTTTGTCCACTGAGATTTATTTTTACAAAAGAATTCCACCCTGTGAGTGCCCTGAGCGTAGTCAGTCACTCCCTCCTTTCTCAGACAGCTTTACTTCTCTCCGTGCCCTGCCATGGTGAGAACCCCAAGCACATCAGTCCTGAGACATCCTCTGGCGCCTCTTGTCTGGCCCCACAAGAGCCAGCAGGGTGGGGAGCAGCCATTGGATTTGAGTCATACCTATGGGCTCCTATTTAGACCCTGGGCACAGGCTCCAAGAAGCTGTCCCCCTCCCCCACAGCCACCTCAGTTCCCCCAGTTGGAGGCAAGACCCTCTCCTCGCCCCATCAGCCTCCACAGGAGCTTCTGCCCATGGCCAAGAACAGACCAGCTTGGATCACGAAGGACTGAGCACCTGGAATATTCTGTGCTTCTCCCCTGATGTCTGAAGGCGAGTGCAGCCTCGGGCCTGGCCCACAGTGGCTGATGGTGGAATGAGTCAGTGCCCAAGCAAAGGTGAGCCAGCCCCTGCAGGAAGGTCAAGCTCTCCTGCCCAGGTGAATCCCCCTCATCCCGGATCCCTCTGTGCCTCCCCCTGCCTGGGGACCACACCTCATGCTTCTCCTGGGGTTCATGAGTGAACTCCCAATAGCTCTTAAACACGAAACCCATCTTCATTCCACTGTCCTTCTGAAAGGACACCTTTTGGGAAAATGAACCCAAGTGTCCCAAAAGCATCTGCCTGAGCAACTATGAATGATGGCCTTTCCTCTTCCCACGTGTGTCCTCCAGGAGCCCCGTCTTGCCAAGTCCAGAAGAGGCTCATCTGTTCTCATCGCTAGCCACTAGATGGCGACATCAGGAATTGTTTAATTTTCCAAAGAAAGTTGCTTGGGAAACCACACAGTTCTAAATAAAGCAAAAAGCAATGAATGGGAGGAAGGAGGGGAAGTGGAAAGGCAGGGATTTAGAATTCCCCATCCCTTTACATGGCTATATAACTTGGGCACGCCCTTTAATCTCCCAGAACCTATGCACCTGCAAAATGGAGCTAAGAGAGGTAGCTACCTCCTAAGGTAATGCTGGAAGACCTGGGAGCATATTAACCTCCTGGGGAGCTTTACAAAATAGTGAAGTCAGCCAGGTACAGTGGCTCACGCCTGTAATCCCAGCACTTTGGGAGGCCAAGGTGGGTGGGATCACTTGAGGTCAGGAGTTCGAGACCAGCCTGGCCAGCATAGTGAGACCCCCGTCTCTACTAAAAATACAAAAAATTAGCAGGGTGTGGTGGTGCACACCTGTAAGCCCAGCTACTCGGGAGGCTGAGGCAGGAGAATCGCTTGAACCTGGGAGGCAGAGGTTGCAGTGAGCCGAGATCGTGCCACTGCACTCCAGCCTGGGCGACAGAGCAAGACTCTGTCTCAAAAAAAATAAAATAGTGAAGTCCAGCCCCCACCAGGCCAATTAAATCAGAATCTCTACATGTGCCTTCCCCAGATACTACTTGGATGTGGGGAGGGGAGCTGGCCAGGCAGTTCCAGGGCACAGCCTGAAGTGAGGATCTCTGCTCCAGGGCAGCAGTTCTCAAGCTTGGGCATGCATCAGAATCACTGGAATCTCTTAGTAACACAGATTGCTGGGTCCCACCCCCAGATCTTCTGATTCGGCAGGTCTGGGGTGGTACCCCAGGATTTGCTGATGCTGCTGGTTGAGGCCACACTTTGAGAACCACTGTCTTGCAAAGAAAGAGAGACAGTGGGTAAGCTGATGCATATAGAACACTAGGTTGCTTGAGTCCAGGAGTTCAAGACCAGTCTGGGCAACACAGTGAGGCCCCATCTCTACAAAAAAAATTTTTTTAATTATCCGGGCTTGGTGGTACGTGCCTGTAGTCCCAGCTACTCAGGAGGCTGAGGCAGGAGGATCACTTGAGCCCAGGAGGTTGAGGCTGCAGTGACCCATGATTGCACCACTGCACTCCAGCCTGGGCAACAGAGCAAGACCCTATCACCCTCAACAACTGCCCAGCACAAAAAAAAAAAAAAAAAAAAAAAACAACTAGGCTCCATGCCTGACGCAAAGGAAGCTGTGTGGGTTTTTCCTAACAACAACCAATTGTCCAGTTCTCCAACACCACTTGGGTTTCCAACAATTCAAGCCATTTCTGAGCCTAACTACCCAGAGTTAGTGCAGACTTCACAGGTTAATAAAGGCTTAGACACTAGCCACAAGCAGGGTCACCAAGTGAGCCACGCTTCTGCCTGCCCAACTACAACTTCGGGGGTTGCCCGCAGCCCTCCTTCGGATTCGATAATTTGTTAGAATGACTCATAGAACCCAGAGAAGGGCTTTACTTTTGATTACTCATGTATTACAAAGGATACAACTTAGGAACAGCCGAATGGAAGCGCTGCATGGGGCAAGACGCAGGGGTGGAGCCCAGAGCTTCTGTGCCCTCTCTCAGAATGGAAGAGGCATCCAAGTTTACAAAGCACTTGGAGAAATGTTACTCATGTGACCCACTCCGGCTGCCTGTGAGTTCAGAAGAACATGGCAAGGTACGACCTTTTCACAAAGGAGAAAACTGAGACAAAAAGCACTGGTGAGCAGTCAGCGGCAGAGCATGGGATCAGAAAACTGGGGCTTCTGGTTCCAAGCCCACTGCTCTTACCACTGTGCCCCTCTTCCCTGGAGAACCTGACTTGTTAGGACTGTACATAAACCAAGAGTTAACAGGCATGTCTCTGAGCTTTAGCACAGAGGCTGGAAAGATTCCTTCTTTTGGCTGGTCGGAACCTCTCTGTATTCGCTCTTGGTTCTCAGTGGCATGGCAGGTGGGTGAAGCTGGAGGATCCTCGAGGTCTCCACCAGCCTGTGCAGTCAGTCCCATCCAATCGGACTTGAGTTTTTCCTAGTAGCTTCCTTCCCCGGGACCAGCTCAGACGCCTCCTCCCCTAGCTGGATTTTGCCCAGGGGACTCGTCTCAGGCCACAGAGTGCAGTGTGCACTGAGGGGTGTGGAGATGGCCTGGAGAAGAGACCCAGACAGGCAGGAGGCAGATGGCCTGGGCTTGCCTGGTTCTGGGCCTGCTGCCACACTGCCCAGCTGAGGGCTGGTGCCAGAGCCGTGTCTGCTTGCCCCATCAAGAGGTGGGAGGGATTGATCCACCTTCCTGCCCCACAGATGGTGCAGCCTCCAACCTATTGTTTTCCAGGACGCTTCGGTGGAGAGCACAAGGAATGTAGGGTCTAGAAACAGGAAGCCCTGGCTTCCGCTGGACAAGGTTTCCTCCAGACTCAGGCCTGCCCTCCAGACAACAAGGCAGGGCCCTTGGTCCCACCCTGCCCTGCCTGGCTCACTGGGCCACCCCAAGGAAGGCCTTGCCCTCTCTGGGCTTCTGCATGTGACGGATACACAGAAGGCTTGGGCAGTGGGGTGACCAATGGCTCCAGACAACGGAGGAGGAGGATGCTGCCCAAGGCCTCAACCTGACTGCACCTCTCAGCCCACTCATGCACCACGAACACAGCACATGTGGTCACATCCATGTGGATGCCTTACACACTCCATGCGTGTTCTTACATACTTATGTGTAGCCACATGGTTGCCAAACACCGTGCACATGCCATGCCCATGCTAACACACTCACATGTATACACGGTCGTCCTCACACACTCACAGGTGCCCCCACCATTAACGTGTCTGTGGCATCACTGTCATGACAAACATGCATTGAGCACCTACTGTATACCAGAGACTATTCTATGCACTTTACATGCATCTTCTCAGTTAGTCCTTTCAGCAACCCTGGGAGGAAGGCACGCCATCATTCCCATTTTACAGAAGGGAAAACTGAGGCACCAAAGGCCATGTGGCTGGTCCAGGATCAGCCAGACCATAAGTAGCAGATGTGCCCCAGCATGTAACCACAGGGCACCACTTTCTCTCCACCCCTGGGAGCCCCACTTCCGTAACAGCCTTTTCAGGATGTTGTGAGAAAAAAGTGAGAAACATCTGGGGAAGTGCTCTGGGCAGCCTCCTCCCTCCCAGGGGCTGCGGCAAGGTATTGTTCTCACTGTCGGGAATTCAAACCCCGTTCAATCGGCCTTTCCTGGCCAAAGAGAGGCTGCACTTAGCCTTTTCCTCACCCAGCTCCAGTGGCTGCATCCTGAGCCGCCATCCCTTGCGGTTCCCCAGCCAGTGGCCTCTCCCTGGCCTGACCACAGCCCACAGGAGGTGGCCCCGCCAGCAGGCAGCTGCATGGGGACACGGTGCACTGGACAGGGGGCGCCTCTCCTAAAATCCAGGGATCCTTGGGTCCCTGGCCTGCATGAGGCCCCCAGCGGTGCCCTGCCTGAGCTCCTCAGTGTGGTGTGACAGGCCCTCTACCACCTGGCCTCCTCCCCAGCCAGTCCCTCTTCCCCTCTCAGCACCTCAGTGCTCCCCTACCCCTTGGAATGTCTTCTCCTTCCCTAAGAGGCCTCCTTGCCTTTGACCCTGCCAATTCTGCTGTCTGCAGAGCCCTTCCCGTGCTCCGCCTTTGGTGACCTCCTGCTCATGCTTTCAGATCAGCTTGGGGACCCAGTCCTCCGGCAGCTCCCAGGCCACCTCCTCCGGGCACCCTCATCTCAGGGTGCACACCTCTGTCACCAACCCAGCCCCACCCAGTGTGGTTCATGCATGTCTTGGTGTCTGTCTCTCCCACCAGACTGGGGCACATCAAAGACAAGGACCCAGCCCAAGTCACCTCCACGTCTCCATGCCTAGCACAGGGCTAGGAAAAGCCTGAGCACCAAATGTATTTTTTAAATAACAAAGGAACATAAAACATTGGTGAACAATGGCAAGTTATCAGAAGAAGGGTGGTGCTATAGAATGAGCATTGAACTGGGATATAAACAGGAATATAAGGGTTGAAATCCTGGCTCTGCTACTCAGACACTGTGTGACCTTGAGCAAGTTACTCAGCCTCTCTGAGCCTCAGCTCTTTCATCAGGGAAATGGGAATACAAATAGCACTTACATCTTTCAGGGCTATTGCAAAGCATCATTACATGAGAAAATGGAGATGGAATGCATAGACAGAATGTGGCAAAGGCTTCGCGGGGATAAGATGCTTGTCAGAATAGGAGTCTGGAAGCTGCATGGGGGCCGGCACGTTTGATCTGAGCACTGATGGGCTGGGAGATTTGGGTTGCAGAAGGAGGAAGGAAAGCATGGGGGAGGACAGCATGGGAAAGGCTCAAAGAGGGAAGCCTCAGATTGGATCTCGAGTATTCAGCAAGGTTCAGCAGACACACACAAGCCTGGTGTGAACCGGGCAGTGCCACACTGGGCTCGTTACTGAATTCTGTAAAACGGGCGGATCCTCAACCCTCTCTCAAGGACCCCGTGAAGTATGAGAAATAAGAGACCGAGCCTGAGACAGGGATGACACATAGGAGGGGCTCAGGTAGTGCTGGTGACTTTAACTCCAGCCCAGCCTCAGAGCTTGTAGCAGAACTGTCTCTTTTAATTCCCTGGATCCCCATTCCCAGGCTGGCGCAGAACTGGGCACCAACCAGGACTGAGAGACTGGTTGATTGATTGATTGCCTGATTGACTGATTTGGTGACTCCTTGAAGCCTTAGGAAAAAGGACCCACTGTCCATCAGAATATACCACAGAACACAGGTACACACCCAGCCCCGCACCTCGTGTCTGCCTCAACATACCAGTGTTTCATCCGCTTGTTCATTCACTATTCACGCATTCATTCATTCATTCATTCATTCATTCATTCAAACAGTGGGCTCTTCCTCCCTGCCTGACGGCCACCTTGAGCTCAGATCCAGGCACCCCAAAGTGAGCCTAGCCCAGTTTCTGCTCGGAGGAGTTCTCAGCTGGGCCTGCAGCTCTCATCACAAGCTTTCTGTTCCTTGTAGAATCACAGCTGAGGATGAGACCCCTCCCTGCTCCTCCTTCCCGCTCTTCCTCCTTCTGAGCCCCTTCTGAGACTACCTCAGGTGAGCAGCCCTATTTTATGTTCCCTGGAGGTGTGTCCGCCCCTCAGCACAGCACAGCCAGCTGGGCAAAAGGGTTTTTCCTTTGCCCGTAACTGAGCAGATGGGCTCATCAAGCCCTCTGCCATCAGACCATCACCTGCCTTAGAACACAAAACACTCGACTCTCCCCCCAGTCTCTCTGACCCGGGGAGCAGCGGGCTGACTGCCGGTTCTAATGAGTGCACAGTTTCAAGTTCACATTTGGGGAGCACTCACCTATTACCAGGTGCTGGGGATAAGCACCCAAATAGGACACAATCCCGGTGGGAAAGGAGAGGAGGGTTGTGAATGAGGTCTGTATAAAGTGCCCTGGGAGCTCAGAAGAGGGAGTGGAGTGTAGAGACAATGAGATCTGGGTGGCTCTGCCAGGGCTCTGCGCACAGGCGAGGAAGGAGAGAGAAGGAAACACACAAGGTGGAACAGCATGGGCAAAGTCCTGAGGCGTGAGGCTGCAGGGCTTCACCACGACCGCCCCTGCCAAGCTGATGGCATCGTTTTCCTGCCCCATCCTTGGGTGTCTCACGCTGTGGGGAGGAAGGAAAAGGAAGTCTTATTTGGGGAACCCCTGCTGTGTCCCGACTCAATTACAGCAGGGCAGGAAAGCTCCCTGGGTAAGGAGCTGGGCTCTGGAAACAGAAGCGTGGCTCGGAATTTCCGCCCCACCACTGACAAACTCTGATCTCAGAAAGGCTTTCACTCCCAGCCTCTGTTTTCCCATCTGTAAAATGGGCCTAACAGTAGTACCACCCCCGCAGGGTTGTCCTGAGGTTTGAATGAGGAGTCCCAAGGAGAGCTTAGTGCATTAGCAGCAGACACAAAGGCTGTGGTCCTCAAATGTAACAACACAAACACGTTTCCTGGGGAGCTACAAACACATAAGTCCTGGGATTCTATCACCAGCCATTCTGACCCCATCAGCCTGGAGTGGGGCCCAAGAAATCTGCATATTCACTCCCCCTCTCCCAGGATGGATGGCTTGAAGACCACACTTTGAGAAACAGCCACTCGATAAGGCTTGCTGGTCCTGTCATTTATTTTCATTGTCTCATTTCATCTTCCAAACGGCCTGCAAAGTCTGAACAGATAACTCATTTCACAGGTGAGGAAAGAAGCTCAGAGAGGCAAGTCGGCTGCCCAGGTCATGCAGGCAGCAACGGGTCATGCTAGGATCCAAACCTGGGTCTGCAACCCCCACACCTGTACCTCCCCAAGCAGCGCTCCCTGTCGGGTCAGGCTTCCTCCTGGCAGAGGCCAGGTGGGCGTCCCCAGGCCTTGTCGTCCCACCCGCCATCCCACCCCCACTGCCTCCACTGTTGCTTCCTCCTCTGCTACTAATCTGGTCTCACAGACCATCCCATTTCCTGCTAGCCCACCAGCCGCCTTCCTTGCTCCCAATGACACTTCCTGGCCTTGTGCCCTCCTGTTACCTCCTTTGCCTCCAGAGAGGTTGGAGCAGAGGCTGGGCAGTGCCAGAAATCAGGCATGAAATCCTCAGGGGGACCAAGGAGGCACCAGCCTCCCTCCCACAGTCTCAGCTACCTCTGCTACGGTGACCCCCAGCCCCACCCCTGGGGCCCACAGCTCATGCCTGGCTCACCATTCCTTTGTTTATGGACCACAGGAACAGTCGTTTTCAGGGCAGAGTCAACTTCCTCATGGACTGGGAGTACAAAGGGAATTGGCAGATGGTGCCAGGACAGGCCCTGTCCCCATCTGCCACAGCCCCGAGTCTGAGACCCAGCAGGAAGCAATGCACAGGCCAGTGTATCCCCATGGGCACGTAGACCATGAGGACAGGCGGGGGTGAGGGGGATGTGGACTGGAACACAGGGGACAGAGCACTGTCCTGGCTCCTCTGCGGCCAACCCCCCCTCTGGGCAGGAGAAAGCAGAGTTAATCCCATTGGAGAAGGAAGCGCTGAGCTGTTGTTTGTTCATTCCACAATCGGCTGTTGAATGTGTTGGATCCCACTCAGAATTCCGCCCCAAGGACTGTTCTCCTTCCAGCAGGTCGCTCCTCAGTCTCCAGCATCATCTGTCTTCCCGTCTGCTGGATGCTCCCTGGGGACATGAGCGTGCTGCCATAGTTAAAAAAAAAAAAAAAAAAAAAAAAAAAAAACCCTCCCACTTCTCTGCTCCCATTCACTGTAAGACTTGGGGAAGAAGCTACAGTCACACGTGACTCCACATCCCCGTCCCCCTTTCTCCCCTTTCTCTAGCCCCTCCAATCTGTCTTGTCTACCTTTTCCTGTTTAACCTGTTCTGGTCACAGTCATTGATGACCTCATCTTCCAAATCCAAAGTTAAGTCTCAGCCCTCATGCTCCCCAGGCTGACCCACTGACTACTCCCCTGCCCTCCTCCTCTGCCCTCTCCTGGCATTCCTCCTTCATCATGGGACCCTCTTCTAATGGATCCCCAAATGTCAGAGGGTCCAAGTCCTCCCTCCCTCCAAGCTCATCCATGCCCATGGCCTCAGATGCCAGCCATAAGCTGTTGGGTTCCAAACCTCGACTCCAGGCTGGACTCACCCCTGTCTCCCCCACCAGCCTGACACCTCCACCTGGGTATCTAACGAGCATCTCAAACTCAACCTGCCTGAGACAGAGGAATCACTATCCCCTCCTCCTCCAAAAATATCCTTCCATCACACTCCCCATCTTGTGCTCTGATTTACTAAACGGCCCTGGGCCCTCTCTTTCTCAGGGTCTCTGCTTGCCCAGCTATATAATAAAACAAGTTTGGGACTTCCCAACCATTCACCCATGGAAAAACAGAAGCAACTCTTCAAAGGACAGATTCCCAGGATCTGCCCTGGGAGATTCCAAATCAGTTGATCTGGGGTGAGCCCAGTCCTCTGTAGTTTTTAGAAGCTCCTCCTATGTCTCTCCTGGTCAGCAGAATCTTGGCCCCTCCCTTCCCCCCAGCCTCTTGGTTCTTCTGGGCTCTGATCCAGCCTCAGCGTCACTGTCTTCCACGCCCCTCTTTGATTCTCGTTTATGTCAAAAGCCTTGTGAGGATGAGGCTGTGATTATCCCCATTTTACAGATGAGGAAACTGTGGCTCCAGGATGACACAACTGGCCAGAGGTCACATCAGAAGCAGAGCTGGGTCACTTGACTCCACCCAATATCCCTAAATGCAAACATCCCCTACAGACCGAGGCTGGCACCTTAGAGCTGGAGTCCATGCCCGCTCTGACCAGGAGAAGCCAACCTGGTCCTCCAGAGCCAAGAGCTTCTGTCCCTTTCCCATCTCCTGAAGCCTCCCTGTCACCTTTAAAGTCCATTCCCACAAAGACATCATGGGATCACCACAGAAAATCAAGCTCTGGGGCTAGGCTGACCCCAGCTAGATTTTTGGCTCTTTTATACCCCAGCTGGGTGGACAAGCACCTTAAACCCGCTGAGCCTCAGCTTCCCGGGCTATAAAATGGGGGTGATGACACCTGCCTGTAGCATTCCAAGGAGGGTTAAATGTGATGCTGCAGCCAAGGGTCCCCACAGCCAGGCTCTTTGCAGGTGCTGGGTTCAGAGTCCCAGAGCTGAGGCCGGGAGTAGGGGTTCAAGTGGGGTGCCCCAGGCAGGGTCCAGTGCCAGCCCTCTGTGGAGACAGCCATCCGGGGCCGAGGCAGCCGCCCACCGCAGGGCCTGCCTATCTGCAGCCAGCCCAGCCCTCACAAAGGAACAATAACAGGAAACCATCCCAGGGGGAAGTGGGCCAGGGCCAGCTGGAAAACCTGAAGGGGAGGCAGCCAGGCCTCCCTCGCCAGCGGGGTGTGGCTCCCCTCCAAAGACGGTCGGCTGACAGGCTCCACAGAGCTCCACTCACGCTCAGCCCTGGACGGACAGGCAGTCCAACGGAACAGAAACATCCCTCAGCCCACAGGCACGGTGAGTGGGGGCTCCCACACTCCCCTCCACCCCAAACCCGCCACCCTGCGCCCAAGATGGGAGGGTCCTCAGCTTCCCCATCTGTAGAATGGGCATCGTCCCACTCCCATGACAGAGAGGCTCCTCGAGGGCACGCTGGGCCTCCTCGTGGCTCAGAGCAGGGTCGGGGAAGGTGCACCCAGAGGTAGTGCCAAGGGCACAAATGGGCATCTCGGGGCTGAGGGGGGCAGGGCAAGGGCTTGGCTCTCCCAGAAGTGTATTCTCCAACTCAAAAAGGCCCACTGGCCTTCATCAGTGCCAGGCTCAGAGAGGGCAGTATTCTGCCCCAGTTGCCCAGCATGCCGGGGCAGAGGACTGGCACCCAGGCCTTGGCCTCCCCTCGGTGCCTTACCCTTACTGGAGAGGATTTACCAAGGCCTGACACCAGCCTCCTCAGCCCCCTACCCATACGCCACTAAAGCTCTATGCTGGGATCTGGGGAGGGGCCCTGAAAAGGAAGCTCCGAGCCTTGGCCCCTCTCGGTCAGCCAGTGCCCCCATTTCAGGATAGGCAAGCTGAGGCTTGGCTCTGGGCACTTGAGGTCTTGCCTTTCCCTCTGGGCCTTTCCCTGCCCAAACACCATCGGGGCCCACTATGTGTCAAGGGAGCTGTAGTCTGGACAGCGGTCCACCATTCCTCCCACCAGCACCCTTTCAAAGGCTAGAGCATAAGAGCCCCAAGGCCCCCACAGCCCAGGAAGTCCCCCAGAAGCAGGAGGTCTGGGCCAAGAGCCTGGCCTGGAGACAGCTGCCCTGGGTACAGATCCCAGCTCTCCCATTTGCTCTGGGGTGACCTTGGGAAAGTTACCCAGAGTTTCCAAACCACAGTGGGGAACAAGGGATGGTGTGGGGCTCATTATTTTACCATTAACAACTCCACAAGGTAGATACATTCTTTCTTTATATCTCAGTGAAAGCAACTGAGCTTTGGAAACATATGAGCTGGTGTGGGGATTTGAACCAGGATCTCGTACTCCAAAGCCCCAGCTCTCCCCAGGTCTCAAGTGTCTCATCTGTGAAATGGGGAAACAGTGTTTCCTCAGTCAATTGAGTGAAGTGAGCTACATCCCTGGTGCTGGGAATGGCACATAACATGAGATCTTTAAGGAATAGTGGCTGGATTTACCAGCTAGCACAGAGCCGATCCTGGTTGTGAATGTGATAAAGATTTTGGCCCTTGAGGTATGGTCAAACCCCATCACGGAGGGGTCCTCAGGTGCCCAGCAGGTACGAGGAAGGGGGTGCAAGTGAGAGGACATCGCGAGCACCTCTGGGCCTCTGCTCCATGTCAGGCTCCCTCCCCAGCGTGGACGTTTCTCATGTGTGATGGGCAGATAGGATTCTGACAAGAGAGGAAGGGCATTCCCAGGGAGGCAGCTTTGAGGAGTCGAGGGTGTACCTGGAAGGCTCTTTTGCCACAGGCCACTGGAGCCAGGGCCAGAAGCCCTGGTCCATCCTCAGGTGGTGGGAAGCCTGGGACTCTCCTCTGCCTGCCCTAGAGAGCAGCAGGTATCCACCAAGGGGCCCAAGAGCTGCTGAGCCCCTGAGCAGCCCTACCAATTTCAGCTTATGGTGGTGAGGGGTAGGGGAGGTGTATACTGGCCTGGAAGGGGTTAAGCTGCCCGCCTGCAGCCTCAGCCTGAGCTATTGTGTTGCCAAACAAGGGCCGGACATGAGGGCAGGAAGCCAGCAGGGGCCACACATTTTCTGCAAAGTTGGATGATTCACTGCTGACTTGGGGACACCCAGGGGACAGAGGGGACACCATCCCAGGAAGAATCTTAGGCTCATTTTGCCCACATGGACCCATGACTGTTCCCTGTATCCTCTCTCTGCACCCCCTCAGTCACACTGAAGCAACTATGAGAATTCCCATTTGACAGATGGGACCATCGAGGCTGAGGGAAGCTGTGCAGCCAGTCCAAGGTCACACAACCAACACAAGGTAGAAGCAGGGTGAGTGCGGTTCCTTCTGACCCACAGTCCATGCCACACTCCACAGTGAAGCTCAGAGAGGGGGAAAGCAGAGCAGTCCAGGCCACAGAGGCAGGCACAGGGACAAGCCAGGAGCCCAGTGATACCAGGGGAAGGAATGTTCTAGGAGGCAGGGCCTCAGGAGCTTCACCTCTGGCTGAGGAGATACTAAAAAGTCTGTCCTGATCCAGGTTCAAGCTGGTGTTAAGTGGGTAAATCATGGAGGGCTTGCTGGAGGAAGAGTGGGAATCCCAGATGCTAGGAGGCCTTGGGCAGCCCCTCTGCAGCCTGCACCTCAGTCTTCCCATCTCTTGAGAGTAGGGGATGGTCCCTAAACTAATTCAGGGATTTCCAGGTTGTCTGCCTTGGACCATAGCAAAACAGTCAGATCCTGGCAGGTCCAGATACTAGAAGGAGGAGGAAGTGGGACCCAGGGGCAGGCCGGGCTGGTGGTGAATGAGATTTCCTTCTGCAGAGGAACAGAAAGAGTAGGAGGTGGGCCCAGAGTAGAGCCAGGAAATGAGGTCAAGCGTAAGTTGGCCAGTCAAAGCCACACCCACCAGGCTGGAGAGGGCGGGTAGATAGGAGTCAAGACACCTGCACCCTTACTGAGCACCTACTGTGTGCCAGGCTTTGCACCCATGATCTCATTTAATCCTCCTGCCCAGGGAGGCAGCTATTGTTGCCTCCATTACAGATAAGGAAGCTGAGGCTCAGCAAGCAAGAGATGAACCCAAGGTCACACAGCTCCCGAGCAGCTGGGCAGGTTCAAATAGGCAGGTGCAAGGGCCTCATTCTGTTCCCCGCACTGCCCTGACAGTCCCAGACAAAGTCAGGAAGCCCAGAGGAGTCTGGAAGCCTCCTTAGCATGGGTGTTCTCTCCTTGAAGTTTGGAGCTGTCCCTTTAGAAGGCAAGGGGATAGACTAGATGACCCGGAGCCCAGAGATTCCAGCACAAATTTGTTTCACATCACAAAATAGGTCTGGCCAGTTGGTACCCTCTACCTTCATTCAGTGGGAATGAACTTGAACTCAGCCCCTGAATCCTCAATACAGTCTATGAGGATCCTCAATACAGTCTTTGAGTGATTGATTCGTGATGTCTGCCATAGGTGTGGAAAGGGGCATGTGGCAAGCTGAGTTCTGTTTTGCCAGCCCTGTCTTAAGAGGTGCCCTGCTCAGGGGTGTTTGCATATTCACTGGAGACTTTTTTGTTTGTTTGTTTGTTTGTTTGTTTGTTTGTTTTTGAGACAGAGTTTTGCTCTTGTTGTCCAGGCTGGAGTGCAATGGCGCAATCTTGGCTCACTGCAACCTCCACCTCCCAGATTCAAGCGATTCTCCTGCCTCAATCTCCCAAGTAGCTAGGATTACAGGCATGTGCTACCATGCCTAGCTAATTTTGTATTTTTAGTAGAGACGGGGTTTCACCATGTTGGCCAGGCTGGTTGCGAACTCCTGACCTCAGGTGATCCACTGGTCTCGGCCTCCCAAAGTGCTGGGATTTACAGGTGTGAGCCACCACACCTGGCCAGGGACTCTTAAGAAGGATAATTTTGTTGTCAGTAAAGGATCAAAATCCTATCGGTGGTCTTTTGGGCAGTCCCATGGCAGCCTATCCCATGAGCCATCAGAGGACCTATTTGGGAACAAGGAGGAGCTTCTTTAAGTTATACCAACAATTGTACCTACTCTGACCACCCTACGTGTTGTCTGAAAATATACAGATTTGTTTCTAAATCCTGTGAGTGGGGAAGGAGTGGGTGACAAGACCAGAACTGGAGCTGGCACCAGGCTGACAGGCAGCACGTCCAGGTCTA
Source organism: Homo sapiens (assembly GCF_000001405.40). Taxonomy (NCBI): domain Eukaryota; kingdom Metazoa; phylum Chordata; class Mammalia; order Primates; family Hominidae; genus Homo; species Homo sapiens. The sequence continues at coordinate 66,370,588 of NC_000016.10, forward strand.
GGGCCTTGAGTTCATGCACCCAGGTATGGCATGAAGTGAACTCTTAGGCCCAGAACCTGCCTGGGCAGATAGGCCAGGAGGCAGAGGCTGTGCTGGTGGCAGGTGGCAATCAGAAGACCTCATGGAGTAGGCAGTGTGGGCCTTGAGAAGAAGTAAAGCGTTAACCCAGGAAACACAGCAAAGAAGAGCATTCCAGTCAGAAGGAACAGCCTGGGCAAAAAGCCTGCTGCTGAGAGGAAGGGCATTGTGCATTTCAGGAACTCCTAGCTCTCCTCGAGGCTGGAAGGGGCAGGGAAGTGGAGGAGAGGAGAGCTGGCAGGGTGGGCAGGGGACAACCATGCTAGGCCTTAAGGGCTGGCTGAGGAGCTAGACTTCCTCCAGCAGGGAGTGGGGAGGCTGTTGGCAGAACCTGCAGGGAGAGGAACAGGTCTGGAACCCACAGAAGCCTATCCCAGGGCCAAACTGAGCCACAAACCAGGAGGAAGCAGAAGGGGCCAGGTCATAGCTGCCTGGCCAAACCCCATTCCCGAGCTCCCAGGGCCTCACCCTTCATCCTCCCAAAGTCTGTGGCCGCCAATACGCAACTTTAAATGCCTGAGCTCAAGTAGACCATTTGAGAGTCCCCACAGAGTTTGGGGGTCACTGGGTCCCAGCCCCAACCTGGACTGAGATTTGAGCTGTGGAATGGGAAAGCGGTGGGGAGAGCTGCCCAGGGCCACACACGGAGCTGGGTCTTCAGTGCCCCCACTCCAGCAGGCACACCTCCTGCATGTTCTAGGCCGGCTCCTCCCAGCGCCCTGCCCCTCATCCCTGACCCCAGGCCTCTGGGCTGGAGTCCAGAGGCTGCAGGAGGCTGGGCTGGGATCCTAGCTGAAAGCGGGTGTGCTGGGGGTCAGGGAGGAGAGCAGCCAGGCCTGCAAAGAGGAGCCCTGCAGGAGTTGGCCTGGGCAGGTGCCTGTGGTCAGGGGTGTGCACTTGTGAAGGCATGTTTGAGGGTGTCACAGGTCCATGAGGCCTGCAGATGTCATGTGTGTGTCCTGGACCTGGAGCCTTCCTCTGCCCCACCCCTGAGGCCCTCCAGCCTATTGAAAACCCCCTATACTGCAAAGCCCAGACTTGGCCCCTGGAATCTAAGGCTTGAGTGGGGCTCTGGTCAGGTCGAGGGGCAGGGGGTCCTCCTGGTGCTCAGGGGCAGGACCAGCCCAGGGGCTGAGGGGCTGGACCAGCCCATTGAGGGGCCCCCAGCTGGGTCCAGACTTCCTATGTCTTATTTAGCTACAAAGCCAGGGGTCCCAGGCAGTCCCAAGAAAAGCAGCTCTAGCCCTTCCCCTCCCCGCCCTTCCCTTCCCTTCCTCTTCTCTTGTATCCCTAGCCTCTCTTTTTGACACTGTAACTCAGCACAGAGCTGAGCCGATCTCACAGCCCCTTGGAGGCAGAACCCCAGAGAGATGGACGCCCACAAAGGGAAAGGGACCAAAGGGAGCTTTGTGTGATGTCCCACAGTGGCTCAGTGAGAGGCAGGACTCACTCCTGGGACTGTGGTCCTCAGACCCATCAGGGCCCTCCCAGTCTGTATGCTCCCACAGCCTCCTCGATTTGTCCATCAAAGCACATGTCACAATTTCAAACTGCATTTTTCACCACATGACCGGCATCCCTCTCTCCCACGGAAGTGGAGCCTGTGTTTATTCCTGCATGGAATTAAGTGCCTGGCACATAGTAGATGCTCAATAAATGTTTGCTGCATGACTGTATAACCCCAGGACTCTAGAGAGAGCTTCAGAGAAGTGGTGACATGTGTCCTAAATCCAGGCAGAGGAGAGAGGACAGCAAGTGCACGGGCAGGGAGGATGCAACCAAACCTGGTGGGGTGGGGAGCTTCCCAGAGAGTTAACGTCCTGTGGGCCGGAGCTATGCCTGGAGGCTCACCAGGCACCTGCAGACCCAGACAGGCAGCTGGAGAGGAGCAGAAAGAGCCGCAGGAGCCCCAACCTTTTCTCAGGCTGCCCAGGTGACTCAGCCTTCGGAGGACCCCTCGGTCACCAGGCTTGGCCTAGGTGTCTAGGTTCTGATCCCAGTGGCCCCACCCACGGTAGATACAGACCTGGACCCCAGAGGCCTCTGCGGTCCCAACCTCCCATGGGAGCATGGTGGAGCCCAGTCGTCCCCCTTATTTTCCAAGGCTCCCCTGCTGTTTAATCCTGGGCTCCACGCCCACTCACCAGGGGATTCGGGCCACTCACTCCGTCCTCTCATTTTGGGTCCTCCAGACCTCCCCAGACTGAGGGAGGGTACAGAGGGCCCATCCTCCTCCATTTGGAACTGCCCCCAAACCCTCTCACATGGCTCTGGGGACAGCAGCATCGATAAGCATCCTGGATGCCTGGGACACTGCAGGTACCTGGCCTCGGCGTGCTCAGAACCTACATCTGAGTTGCCAAGCGTGGCCCCTCCCTGCTCACCACTGTGATCAGGCAGTTGCTGGGCTGCTCAGCTGGGAATTTCTGAACATGGAAATCACTTCCAAAATCCTCAGACCCTCTGAATGTCTGGGGTGCCCCAAATCTACCTGGCAACAGCTTGAGTCTCTCTGGAAACTGCTGAGAACGACCGAGAGATGTGACTCTTACCTGCCGAAAGGAAACAGGCTAAAATGAAAAAAGGGCTATGACCACATCTCCAGAGGCTGCAGCCAAGAGAAATTCAGTTTTCAGCTGTGGCTGCAGTAGATCTGACTGGCCCGGTTTCCTCTGCATCATGATGGGAAGGAACATCTGTCCAACAAGACCCTTCCCTGCAGCCCCCATTTTGGTTAGCCAATTTTTTTTTTTTTTTTTTTGAGACGAAGTCTTGCTCTGTCACCTGTTGCCCAGGCTGGAGTGCAGTGGCAGGATCTCAACTCACTGCAACCCCCGCCTCCCAGGTTCAAGCGATTCTCGTGCCTCAGCCTCCCGAGTAGCTGGGACTATAGGCATGCGCCACCATGCCAGGCTAATTTTTGTATTTTTTAGTAGAGACAGGATTTCACCATGTTTCCCAGGCTGGTCTCGAACTCCTGACCTCAAGTGATCCACCCGCCACAGTTTCCCAAAGTTAGTGGCCAAATTTCTAACCTAAAGGGCAAAAGACACAAATAAATGTGGCTTTTCAGATGGGAAGGTCCCACAGGTGTCTCTGAGATTGAGTATAGAAGGAGCCTAGGATTTAGAAAAAGATCGATCTGATGACAACCATTCATGAGTTGTTTGTCTCTGAGCCTCAGTTTCCTAATCTGTGAAATGGGAATGATAAGTCTTACATCCTGGGGATAGTGTGAAAATTAAATGCGCTGGCATGGATGAAGACCAAGCACCGAGAATAGTTCATTATTATTACATGTGAATGTCACCACAGAGATAGAGAGAGTGGCATGACGCAAAAAGCACTAATTTGGGGGAAAGACAGCCTAAGTTCAAATCCTGGCTCCACTGCCTCCGGCTATGTGAACTGAGATGACTTACGCTACCTCTCTGAGCCCCCATTTCTTTACCTGCAAAATGGGAACGCAGACAACTACCTAGAAGGGTTGTTGCAAGGTTTAAATAAAATAACGTGTGCCTCGGGGGAGTGCTCAGGGATGTCAGCCCTCCTCCACCGTCCCAGGCGAGAAAGAGCTGTCTCGGGAGGGTGCTCAAGGCTCTGGCATGGGGGTGCAAATGGGATTATGTGATCCCAAGCTCCCAAATGCCCCCAACCCAAGGTCCTGCCCCTCACCAACAGCTGACTGATGAGAGCTGAGCACCCAGACCTCCCTCTGCCCTGGCAAATGACACACAGCTGCTGTGAGGTGACTCTGCGAGAGCCAGTCTCAGCCCTGTCAGAGGGAAGGAGCTTGAGGGTGGCCCATGTGCTCCAAGGGACTTCTCTCCAGAGCTAGCAGCAGGGCCCCTGCTGGACACACAACAGAATCCAAGGGGCTTTTCTGCACCTTCAGAGAACGCTTTGTTATGTGGGGCCAGACAAAGCCCACTGAGGAGTTAATGTCCCCCCAGGAGCCACGTGGTCCGAGCCTGTGACTGGTGGACTCTGCTTTGCTGAAGTCTGGTGTAGGTACAGCCGTGCATCTTTTTTTTTTTTTTTTTCAAATCAAGGAAGGAACCTCATTTTATTCTGAATGTGTTAGTTTTGACCGTCTTCACCCTGAAATTTTCTCTTTGTTTAATTTTATTTATTTATTTTTTATTAGTATACTTTAAGTTCTAGGGTACATGTGCACAACGTGCAGGTTTGTTACATATGTACACATGTGCCATGTTGGTGTGCTGCACCCATTAACTCGTCATTTACATTAGGTGTATCTCCTAATGCTATCCCTCCCCTCTCCCCCCACCCCACGACAGGCCCCGGTGTGTGATGTGCATCTTAATGACTGGGACACATTCTGAAAAACGAGTTCAGGTGATTTCGCTGTTGTGCAAACATCAGAGAGTGTGCTTACACAAAGAAATCTGGATCGTATAGCCTGCCGCACACCTAGGCTGTACGGTACAGTCTATTGCTCTTAGGCTCCATACCTGTGCAGCATGGTACTGTACTGAATGCTGTAGCCAATTTTAACACGACAGCAAGTATTGATGTATCTAAACATATCTAAATACAGACAAGATACAATAAAATTCCCATGTAAAAGATAAAAAAGGAGCCTGTAATCCCAGCACTTTGGGAGGCCAATGCAGGAGGATCACTTGAGGCAGGAGTTCAAGACCAGCTTGGGCGATATAGTCAAACCCCTCCACCCCAACTATCTCTTCAAAAAAATTTAAAAATTAGCCAGATGTGCTGGCACATACCTCCTTGTGGGGCTGAGGTGGGAGGATTGCTTGAGCCCAGGAGTTTGAGGCTGCAGTGAGCCGCATTCACACCACACTCCAGCCTGGGCGACAGAGGGAGACTCAATCTCAAAAAAATAAAAAAGTAAAAAATAAAAATAAAAATAAAAAAATAAAAAATGGTACACCTCTCTATGGTACATACCATGAGTGGAGCTTCCAGGACTAGTAATTGGTCTGGGTGAGTCAGGGAGTGAGTGGTGAGTGGCCTAGGACGTCACTGTATCCTACTGTAGACTTAATAAACACCGTACACTTAGCTTCACTAAATTTACTTAAAAATATTTTTCTTTCGTCAATAAGAAATTAGTTTACTATTAGGGTAGTGCAAAAGTAATTGCTGTTGTTGCCGTCTAAAAAAAAAAAAAGCCACCGGCTACGGTGGCTCACGCCTGCAATCCCAGCACTTTGGGAGGCTGACGCGGCGGATCGCCTGAGGTCAGGAGTTTGAGACCAACCTGGCCAACAAGGTGAAACCCCGTCTCTACTAAAAATACAAAAAAAAATTGGCCGGGCGTGGTGTCACGCGCCTGTAATCCCAGCTACTTGGGAGGCTGAGCCAGGAGAATGACTTGAACCTGGGAGGCGGAGGTTGCAGTGAGCTGAGATCACACCGCTGCACTCCAGAACAAAACTCTGTCTCAAAGGAAAAAATAATAAATAAATAAATAAATAAATAAATAAAACACAATTACTTTTGCACCAACCTAATATAACATTTTTTATAAAGTTGGTCTACACTACCATCACCCCAAACACACGAGTAATGGCTTGTGCTGTGACGTCACAATGGCTGCAATGTTACTAGGGCAGAGGAATTTTTAGCTCCATTAAAACCTTAGGGGACCACATTCATATGTGCAGTCCATTGTTGACCAAACAGTCATTTTGCAGCACATGACTCTATTTATCCATCTGACCGCTGGCTGCGGTCAGCCCTAGGGATCACTAACCCATCCCAATAGGCCCCAGGAAAGAGAAAACCACATTCCCGCTCACTGTATTAGAGATGGGGTTCCCAGCAGGAAACAGAGCGAACCCTGGGAGGCCAATTGAAGAGATTTTATGAAGGGACTGCTTCAGAGAGGTGGGCTCCTTTAAGGAAACCAACCACTGCCTGCACAGAGGTGGGCTCGGATGTTGAGGTACCCAGAGACCAGCAACAGCACTTCTGCCTGGAATTCCCTTCCCTCTCCTGTCAGTCCTGTGGCTGGCACTCAGATGTGGGCTGAAACGTCCGCTCTCCCAGAGGCCTTCCTGGCCTCACAGGCTCAGCCAGCTGCCCCCTCACTCTCTGCAGCACCTCCCATTGTAATTCCCTGAACATCTCTGATCGCCAGCTGATACGTTTCCTCATTGACTTATTTATTTTCCTGTTGTTCCCATTACTGCAGACTCCCCAAGGGAGTGTGTCTTACTTACTGCGGCACCCCCATTGCCTAGCATGGAGCCCATCATGCAGTAGGCACCCAGCACCTATCTATCAGCTCAGAGCCTGGGCGCTCACCCTGTTCTGCCCAGAGCCCTGAGAACTCTCCCTCTCCCTGTTTCTCGTTTTCACTTCTGTCCATTTTACTTTGTCATCTTTGAGTCACTTCTCACTTGAGGCAGGAAGAAAGAATCAAGACTTGCACTTTCTTTCTGGACAAAGAAGGAAATGAGCCACAGGGTCTGGGTCCAGTGAGGCTGGGGCAGGGGTCATGCCTGCCGCCTCCCCTGAGTCAGGGACCAGCTTCCTGGCCAGGACTCCCAACCTGCCTCCTTTCTTCTCCAAGCCTTTCCTCACCGCCTTCCTCCTGCCTAGAGCATCCCTTCAAGGGCCTCAAGTCTCTTCCAGGTTGACCCCCTCATTTATGGCTGAGGAAACTGAGGCCCAGAGGGGTCAGGGCCTCTCCCAGGCATATGGCACTTGCATTCTGGGGCCTATCCCCACCCTGGGAGTCCACTTCCTCCAGGGCCAGAGGCAGGAACCAGAAGGCAGGGGCCGTCGATACTAAAATCAGTGGGCCCAGAGGTCAGCTGGCCCAGCACAGACACCCTCAGCCCTCCCTGAGGTCAGCCTGGCGCCAGCAAATCAGGGGAAATGTTACTAGAGTTTACAAACCTCTTGTGATGTACAGAGTCCAGCCTCTCCCTCTGGCCAGACAGGGGACAGTCAAGGGAGGAGGCCATCCCATCCAGCACCTTGTAGATCCTTGTCTGTCTCCATATGTGAGTCCTGGTTCCCTCTCCCACCCACCTGTTCTTCCTCTACATCATCCCAGGAGTTGCAGGTCAGTAACACAGGGACCCCAGAGGGTGGAGAGATAGAGTCAGGGCTGAGAGAACATGCTAATGGCCAAGGTCACAGCCTGCACTCCTCGTGGGGCTGTAGAGAAAACCCCTGTTCCTGGAATTCAGAATGAAGCCAGGCCTTGATCTCTGGGTGATCCACATCCCTACCCCACAGACCTGCCTTCAAGAGTGTGCAACCTGTGCAACTGTACAGGGCTTGCACTTCAAAGGGCATCATCCTTGGTTTAATGTTCTGTCGCCTTCTTAAAATTCTTTTGCACTGGGCCACACAAATTATGAAGCCATTCCTATGAACCCAGACCCTCAACTCACCACCCCACCCACCCCTGCTCTTCTGACAGCAAAGCTGACCACTCACTGTAAGATCTGGAGTGAAGGGCTGGCCCTCAGGGTTAAGACAGTTGGATTTTCCTAAGAGCCTTCTGAAGACAGAATCAAGGCAAAATTGTCAAAGGGGCTTTCAGGCAGGAAGATGTTTGCCGAGAGAAGGCTTTAAATCTTACCCCATAGCAGCTGCTGGGACAAGGGAAGTCAGGAGGAAAGGATTTGAACTTCCGGGCCAGACAACCTTGGTTCAAATCCTGGCTGTGCTCCTTACAGTTTGGGTGATTTCAGGAATGTTCTGAAACCTCTCTGTTCCTCTTCTGCAAAATGAGGGTTATAATTACACCAACCTGGAAGATGATGGGGAAGATTAAATAGATAAGATATATAAAGTGCTTGAAACAGTGCCAGGCAAAAAATAAATGCTTGATAAAGATTAGCTATCAGACACTTGGGTTCCTGTCTGAGTCCCACCACTTACTCCAATGTGAACTTAACATCTGTGTGCCTCAGTTTCCTCATTTGAACAATGAGGATAACCTGAGCACCCAATGCCTGGGGACTTAGGAGCTGCCATTGGCATCAGCCTCACACCCTCTTCCTGGAGACCTTCCCCACAGGCCCTCCTCTGGGCTCCCATATCCCCTGCACTTGCTTCCGTCCTAGCACATGTGACTCGCAAGTAGAAATGGTTTCCACGTCTATTTTCACCCTCCCCAGTTCGGAGTTCATCAAGGCATGAAGGGGGTCTGGTTCTGCTGGTGTCAGCAGACAGTGAAGGATGAAGGAGTGAACAGATAAAGGGAGTTAGGTTCCCTATGGAAGCTGCTCACACCCTTAGGCAGTGGCCACCATATATGGGCGATCGGTCAGAGTGGTGGAAGAAATTTTAGGGAAAGGACGCAAACCTTCTTGAAAGGTCAGAAGGTTTTGCATAGCTTCGGGGAAGAATAAGCAGAAGGCAGCTGTTCTACCCTGAGGCAGAGGGTGAGGAGTAGGTACAAGGAAGTGTAGGGAAATTTATCTTAAATGCGCTTGTTTACTCATGTTGTCCTAAAACCGACCTTTCATCCGAGTGCATGACTGCTCCCTGAAAGGGGGAACAATAATGTTAATTACCCGCAGATTGTGTTTGCCCCAGGCTTTTGGCATTATATCTAGCTGCTCTTATGTGAAATACCTGTGTCTAAGTACTCCTTTCATCGTCACTGGCCAGAGTCTGAATGTGTCTCCTCTTTCCCCAGATCTGTTCCTCCTGGGAAGATGCAGAGGCTCATGATGCTCCTCGCCACATCGGGCGCCTGCCTGGGCCTGCTGGCAGTGGCAGCAGTGGCAGCAGCAGGTGCTAACCCTGCCCAACGGGACACCCACAGCCTGCTGCCCACCCACCGGCGCCAAAAGAGAGATTGGATTTGGAACCAGATGCACATTGATGAAGAGAAAAACACCTCACTTCCCCATCATGTAGGCAAGGTAAGGCTCAAGCCCCAGGACAGGAGAAGCCATCAGCAGCTGGCCCATAGTGACAAGTGGTGGTGGTGATGGCGATGGTGGCAAAGGTGGTAATAGATATTGTGGTGGTTGTAGGAGTGGAGATGATAAGGGTGAAGGTGGTAGCAATAGTGGTAGAGGTCGTGGTGGTAGAAGTAGTGGTGGTAATGGTAGCAATGGTGGTGGTAGTGATAGTGATGGTGGTGAGGATGGGAAAGGCCAAGGTGGTGGTGGGAGTGGTGAGAATGGTGGTGATGGTAGTGATGATAAAGGGGTAGGTGGTGGTTGTGATGGTGGTGATGGTGGTGGTGGCTGTGATGGTGGTGATCACGGTGATGGTGGTGATGATAAAGGGGTAGGTGTTGGTGGTGATCACGGTGATGGTGGTGATGATAAAGGGGTAGGTGTTGGTGGTGATCACGGTGATGGTGGTGATGATAAAGGGGTAGGTGGTGGTGGTGATCATGGTGATGGTGGTGATGATAAAGGGGTAGGTGTTGGTGGTGATCACGGTGATGGTGGTGATGATAAAGGGGTAGGTGGTGGTGGTGATCATGGTGATGGTGGTGATGATAAAGGGGTAGGTGTTGGTGGTGATCACGGTGATGGTGGTGATGATAAAGGGGTAGGTGGTGGTGGTGATCATGGTGATGGTGGTGATGATAAAGGGGTAGGTGGTGGTGGTGATCACGGTGATGGTGGTGATGATAAAGGGGTAGGTGGTGATTGTGATAATGGTGATGACAGTGATGATAAAGGGGTAGGTGGTGATTGTGATGGTGGGTGATGGTGGTGATGATAAAGGGGTAGGCGGTGGTCTGACGATGGTGATGATGGTGGTGCTGATAAAGGGTAGGTGGTCGTTGTGATGATGGTGATGATGGTGATGATAAAGGGATGGGTAGTGGTTGTGATGGTGGTGATCACGATGATGGCGGTGATGATAAAGGGGTAGGTGGTGGCAGTGATGGTGGTGATCATGGTGATGGTGGTCATGATAAAGGGGTAGGTGGTGGTTGTAATGGTGATGATGATGGTGGTGATGAAAGATAAATGATGATGATGGTGATGAAAGATAAATGTTGATGGTGGTGATGATGGAAGTGATGATGATAGT